>NC_000014.9:35672319-35975349 GCF_000001405.40 Homo sapiens
GGCCAATATCAAGACTCCCAAAGTAATTCTAAGGTTATATTTATGACTATTTAATGATTATACCTCATATAATTATCAAATCAATGTAACTGTCACTATGCCAATATAATTGACAGTAATAAGAAAATGTGATGTGCTGATTCTTAGATTGAAAAAAACCTGACTGTTGCATAACTAGATAAACGAATCCATATGCCTCAAGTATCAGTCACAAAATGCCTAAGAGTAGGTACATTAGAATATTATTAAAGAAAGGTATCAGCCTAAGCAAAGGATGGTTTAATTGCTTCAAAAAGTGAACTGGTTGGTACAACATTAAAGATGGAGAACTACTCAAGTCAATCCTCTACCTACAATAATAGCTTGATTTTCAACCATGTTTCAAGAACAAATAAGGTCATAAAATTGAAGTAAATTGTATATAAATCACTAAATAAGGGGGAGAGTTTAACTTCTAGACCTTAAAAAGCAAGAGTTAAACAGAATCAAGAATCAAAGATAATATGATATAAACTACTTCTTAGATGATACATATATATATAGTTACCTGGTCAATATGAAGTAATCCACAATGCATTATATTGTAGAAATGTGTTAGAAAATCTCTATTTGGAGAAACATCTTGTCTTCTTTTCATTGTATTACAAATAAGTTTATATGCATGTAATTTACCTTGTTTATATTTATCAGTCAACATGGTTGCCTAAAATTAAAAGATCAGTTTTAATGTTCAAAAAGAAATACTATTTGCTAAATAACTTAAGCAACTGAATATAGCAAACGATGTATATAATCTCATTTATTTCCATGTTGGCCCAATTTCTTTAATGAACTAAAATTCAGGATTAGTGAAATTATCATCATCCAAAATGATACAATGTAGGTATAACCATAAACTGTTCCACTTAGGAAAATGTACCAAACATATCAATACTTAAAATAATTAAATCTTTTGGCTGGGCACAGTGGCTTAAGCCTGTAATCCCAGCACTTTGGAAGACCAAGGCAGAAGGGTCTCTTGAGGCCAGGAGTTTGAGACCAGCCTGGGCAACATAGAGAAACTCTGTCTTTACAAAAAAATAAAAAATTAGCCAGGCACGGTGGCACACGCCTGTAGTAGTCTCAGCTACTTGGAAGGCTGAAGTGGGAGGATTGCTTGAGCCCAGGAGTTCAAGGCTGCAGTGAGCTGTGATCATGCCACTGCACTCCAAGTCTGGGTGACTGAGTGAGGCCCTGTCTTTTAAAAAACAAACAAAAAAGAATTAAAATTTTTTTTTTGAGACGGAGTTTCGCTCTCATCACACAGGCTGGAGTGCAATGGCGCCATCTCAGCTCACTGCAACCTCCGCCTCCTATGTTCAAGCGATTCTCCTGCCTCAGCCTCTCGAGTAGCTGGGATTACAGGTGCCCACCACCATGCCCAGCTAATTTTTTGTATTTTTAGTAGAGACAGGGTTTCACCATGTTGGCCAGGCTGGTCTCAAACTCCTGACCTCATGTGATCCACCCGGCTCAGCCTCCCAAAGTGCTGCGATTACAGGTGTGAGTCACCTCACCCGGTCACAACTTTTAATACACAGCATATTCTGTGATACAACTCAAAGTTTATACTTCAGTTAAATACAATACAGACATACCTCTCTATATTCACTTTTGTTTTATGAAATAATCAAAAGCAATAAATCCCGAGTAATTTTAGTATGCACATTCTCTTCTCTATATAATGCCTAATGACTTCCTAAGGATACTGGTTAAAAACTAAGTGCTCTAGAAGTCTATATAATAGCCAAAATCTCTATAAAAAGTTTAAGATTTAGTAAATGAGAAGTTTTAAACTAATATTTTATATATTAAGCTTACCTTAAAAAGCCAAGGTGTAAGAATTCTCAGTGGAGGAATTAAAACTGGTGGAGAAGGGGAGGTCAGGTTATCAGTTGAAATGCCAAGGTTATCTCTAATCTGTAATTTTCAAATAAAAAGCAACAAACCTAAGAAAACTGTTATCTCTTCCAGTTTACCTTAAACTGAATTTCAAATCCAGTTTCTACACTTACTATTTAATTACAATTAAGTGACTTTGCCATGCAGGGTACCAGTTTATAGTCAAAAAGGGTGTCACAAATGTTTTCTAAGGCTTCTTCTATTTTTAAATATTTTTATTTTCTTCTCCACTTATATCCGCTATTTCTTTTTTACCTTAGCTAGATTCTGCCAAAGTTCACAGAGGTAATCAAAAACTTGAGCATGTATTTCAGGATCCATGATTGAATTTACATCTCCCAAAATGCCTAGCATTCTTCGCCACATTACAGTAGCAACATCAGCATGCCATCCAGTCAGAGTACCTCCTGCCATCACACTACAACATTCTGATGGAAATTCACTAATTTCTATAGAAAAAAATATATAGTGTCAGCCATTTTTCAGTGAACTGAACATAAAACCCCCCAAGAAACCAAGCTAAATTAACAATCTTAAATATCTACAGAAATGAATAAAAGAAATGTCAACATACATTATTTTTTCCCGATAAGGTCAAAACCTCACTTATTATTATGAGATAATAATAAGGAATTATTGTAAGCATTATGTTAACTAGCTATTCAATAGTGATTCTATGTAACTACTACTCACTCTGCAGATAGAGAAATTTCTATCTATGCAGATAGAGAAATCTGTTTGATAAAAACATCAAATTTATAAGCACATACTCTCACTTTTATCTAATAGCAACTTCAGGTTATATCATCAAATTAATGGAAAACCTCAGGCTAAAGGCAGATGGTGTAGGAAGTCTTCCTAAGCCTTTTCTTTGTAGCTACATCCCAGACCAGCATTAAGAGTTAGCATAATGGCATGAAAAATAAACTTTTTGAGATGGAGTCTTGCACTCTCTCCCAGGCTGGAGTGCAATGGCGTGATCTTGACTTACTGCAACCTCTGTCTGCTGGGTTCACGCAATTCTCCTGCCTCAGCCTCCCAAGTAGCTGGGATTACAGGCTCACACCACCACATCCGGCTAATTTTTTTGTATTTTTAGTTTAAACAGGGTTTCACTATGTTGGCCAGACTGGTCTCAAACTCCTGACCTCATGATCCGCCCACCTTGGCCTCCCAAAGTGTCGGGATTACAGGCGTGAGCCACCGCACCCGACCGAAAAATAAACATTTTAACTAAAATTTAAACATAATCAAAATTACCATAATTGTATTTTGCCTACGAATACTGGCAAGATTATAAGAAACATAGGTAATCTTAGTTCTAGTCTCTTTCTGCTACTAATTATGTGTTATAAAAGTTATTTAATAACCTCTCTAAGGATACATGTCCTAATCTGTAAAATAGATGGTTTTGCTAGATATCATTATAGGTTGCCTCCAGCTTTAAAAAAAAATCCATTATTCTACTCAATGTATATAATGGAAAAGGCTATAGAAAATAATTAAAAAGACAATAAAGATATCTATGCATCTAAAGAACTTTGGGAACTAAAAATTTTGTAGACTGAAAGAACCATAAAGTTATGATTTCTCACACTTGAAAACATTCCAACATATTGAGAATTTATAATCACTTCTTAGTACATGTACATTCTTTACTCCTAATGGTTAACTTTTTTCTCTTTACATATAAAGTATATAACTGACTGTATTATTAAAAAGGTACTAGTCTTTCTCCATTACAAGAAAAAAAAAAGGTTTCTTGTGTAAAGCCACTAAAACAAACAAAACACACTGAAGTGTTAACCATTATTGCTAATGCCTCCCTACTCCAGAGCACCTTCAAAATACAATGATAAATCAGCCGATTTGCCTCTAACTTACCCTTTTCAAAGCTAACAAAATTTTAAATGATTAAAAAGCAAGCAACAATGTGTGGTCTTTGATTAAATTCTTTTTTTTTTTTTTGAGACAGTCTCACTCTGTTACCCAGGTTGGAGTACAGTGGCAGCACGACCTCAGTTCACTGCAACCTCCACATCCCAGGTTTAAGTAATTTTCCTGCCTCAGCCTACCGAGTAGCTGGGATGACAGGCGTGTGCCACCATGATCAGCTAATTTTTGTATTTTTAGTAGAGACAGGGTTTCACCATGTTGACCAGACTGGTCTCGAACTCCTGACCTCAGGTGATCCACCTGCCTTTGCCTCCCAAAGTGCTGGGATGACAGGCGTGAGCCACGGTGCCCAGCCTGATTAAATTCTTTATTGGATTGCTGACGGTGTGGGGTAGCTATAAAGGGCATTATTGGGACAATTGAGGACTTACGACTATAGACTAAAATAACAGCAATGTATCTATGTTAAATATCATGAATATGGCCATTATATTGTGGTTACGCAGAAAACATACACTTATTAGGACATATCCACTGACATGTTTAGGTCTGAAGGATCTGATATTTGCAATTTCCTCTTACATGCCTCAGCAAAAATAAAAGGTTAGGGAGACATGTGGGAAGGGCAGGCTATTTTGTGCATATATGTGCTGTGTGTAAATATAGACAAAGTGGCAAAATATTAATTGATGAATTTATATAAAGGGTTTATGTGCATTCATTTTACTAGCCTTGAAACACTTCTATAACTGAAGTTTTTTTCCAAATGTTGGGGAAATAACTGTAAACAAATAAACAACTGCAGATCAAAGGAGAAAAAGAAAAGGTCAGAAATAATCCACAAACCAGAAAATTAGGGCTATATAATTACAAGGCAATTGCAAGTTAACGAATGGGTCCCTTGGGCCGGGTGTGGTGGCTCACACCCGTAATCTTGGGAGGCCGAGGCAGGCGGGTCACTTGAGCTCAGAAGCTTAAGACCAGCCTGGGCAACATGGTGAAACCTCACCTCTACAGTTAGTTTTAAAATAAACGGGTTTCTTAAAAGAAGTTTAGAAGTTATATAGTTTTAAATTTCTTCCTTTCGTCAGAGAATAAATGTGCTACCTTATCAATGAAAACTAGCTTTTCATTCATTGTAAATATCTCATTAACTGTGTCTTTGACCAATTTATGGCATATTTGCATATGCCATAAATGTGCATATTTGTCTGATGTTTGTTACATTATACAAAATCTAGCAAAAATAACTTTAAAAAAAACTTGGCAGTTACTTAGGTTTCCCAAGTCACTTTTTAACATTTACTTGAAAATATTCATTTGGACCTCTACTTTTAAATTAAATTTAGTTGACAAATTTGCTGAATCAAAATAAAAAAAATGGTTTGATAAACTGTTTCACTGAAAGCTTGATTAACAAGTGATAATGTTACTACGTTCTCCTGTGAGTTACTAGGTTCTTTAGGTATAAAACTAAGAATAAGGATGCCAAATTATGTATTTCCTGTTTTAGGAAACACTACCAATATCAATAAATGATAATACAATACTTGAAAATAATGCAATAACTAATTTGAGGACTCTAATCAACTATAATAAAATGAATAAAACTCAGACAACAAATATCTTTAAGAACAAGAAAAAAGTTACATTAACAAATTTCCAAAGGACTTAGAAAAGTCCAAAATATTTACAATAATCATATATAATCAAATGTAAGATGCCTTATTTATGATCTCCTGACACTGACGCCCTAAAAGAAAAAAGGTAAATATCTAATTTTGAAATATTGCCTAGATCATCTGGTGTCTGAAGAACAGAGTGGTGGAGCTTCTCGTCGAGCTGCAGATCCTTCTGTTCCATGTGATCTATATTCAATGTAGAAGGGGAAGGAGTCTGTGACCTGGAGCCCAGAGGTGAGTGGACTGGGGAAGCACTTTCTGAACCTGTAAATATAATTTCATAAAATTACCATAAAGAGTATTCAATATCCTACCTAAGATGTAATGCTTAACACCCTAAATAAAAGAAATTTTAAACACCAAAAGATAAAACCAGTTATAAACTGGCCAGGGAGGTCAAGAAAATCATAATATTATACAAGCTTTTATATCTAGGAGTCTCCTCTCATGTCTACCATGGGACTATTAATAGTATAGAATCAAAACTGGATGTACCAAATGACAGGAGCCATTAGTGAAACTAAGAATATCTACTCCCATTTCTGGCCCAGCTATAGAAACTCTAGTACCTACTGTCATTCTATTTCACTTAAATCAGACTTGGGGCAATTTAAGAACTGAGGCACTTGCTCACTGCTGCTCTATATGCAACTATCAATGCTTGGTTTACAGTGGTTCCCAGCCTTCAGTCTCTCCCACATCCTGACTTCCCCCTCCCAATCCATTCTCCATAAGTCAGCAAAAAGATCTAAAAATCTAATTTGATCCTGTCACTTCCTCATTTAAAATCCTTCAGTGGCCCCTCACTGGCCTCAGCATAAGCCCTAACTTCCTAGTATGGTTCTCAAGTCTCTCTATAACTTTCTTGCCTCCCCACAACCCACCTAGAACTTCTATGTCTAGTCATAGAAAGTAAACTACTTGTATTTATTAGAGTATTATTGCATCATACCTCTGGCTTTTTCCTTTGCATGGAGCCCTAATCCTCTTTTCGGCCTGGTTAACTCCTATTTATTTTCCAGGTCTCTGCTTCCTTGAGAAGCCTACTCCTGATTCTGCCAAGTATGATTACAGAGTCTCTGCTAGATGCTCTCACTGAACCCTGCACCTCTCTATTATACCACTTATCACACTGACTTGAAACTGCCCATTCAATTTTAAATATTCCCCAGCAGAGTATAAACTTTGTAAGAACAGAAATTCTGTTATATACTGTAGTAGTGCTAGTGCCTGGGTATAGTACCTGGTGCATAGCAGGTACTTTTGTTAACTTAAATAAAGTATAGCACAAATTAATGCTGTATTGAACAACTTGTGGTGGTTATAATATAGTGCCGCTACTACCAAGCAAGTTGTTAAAACAGTAGGTCTTTTTATTTTAAGCTTCTTTGTAGCAGAAAAATATCAATATTCTGAACTCAGTACCTGTAAACCTCTGCCCTCATTACCTCTTTCTACACAGTAAAGCAAAAAACCAATATAAATTAAATACATACAGATGCTCCTTGACTTATGATGGGGTTACACCCCAAGAAACTCACTGTAAATTGAAAATATGGTAAGTCAAAATTGTACCTAATACACCTAATCAACTGAACATCATAGCTTAGCCTAGCCTACCCTAAACATGCTCAGAACACTTAAATTAGCTTACAGTTGGGCAAAATCATCTAATGCAAAGCCTGTTTTGTAATAAAGTATTGACTATCTCATGTAATTTACTGACTACTGTACTGAAAGTGAAAAACAGAATGGTTGTATGAGTATTTGAAGTAAGGTTTCTACTGAATGAGAATTGCTTTCACACCACTGTAAAGTTGAAAAATTGTAAGTTGTTAATTATAGTAAGTCAAGGACGATCTACATTTATATTATTTTAATTCTATAAAAGTGCAATTCCACATATCATACAGGCATTTTTTTTAAGTAGTAGCACAGTAAGTAAGTGCCTAAAAAAGTACATATAGAACTGGATTGTGATATCAGGTGTTATCACAATAATCATATAATCATATGATAATCATATATCAAATGAGTAATCATATGACCCTATCTAGGCTCAATTATGTTACATAGTAGGTGAAAAGTTTCCTTTCCTTTATTTGAGATTTGGAGTAAATTCATATGGCACAAAAATCATATGTTAAAGGACAGTTACAGAAACTTAAGTATTCTATATCTTAGGACAAACACATACTGCTGAAGGCATAATGAAAATTATAACCTTAATGTTTACCAAAAACTTTTAAGTACATGCCAAAGAGACATCAGCCTTTGGTCAAATGCTTTGAAATATAAACCTTTTTATCTCCATGTATTGTTTTGATCCATAAAAATCGAATTCATTTTTAAGAACTAGATTTTATTTTATTATCATTATTTTTTCTGAGATGGAGTCTCGCTCTGTTGCTCAGGGTGGAATGCAGCGGCATGATCGTGGCTCACTGCAACCTCTGCCTCCTGGGTTCAAGCAATTCTCCTGCCTCAGCCTCCCAAGTAGCTGGGATTACAGGTGTCCACCACCATGCCTGGCTAATTTTTTGTATCTTTAGTAGAGAGGGAAGTTTCACTGTGTTGGCCA
Source organism: Homo sapiens (assembly GCF_000001405.40). NCBI lineage: Eukaryota > Metazoa > Chordata > Mammalia > Primates > Hominidae > Homo > Homo sapiens. The sequence continues at coordinate 35,680,420 of NC_000014.9, forward strand.
GGCTGGTCTCGAACTCCTGACCTCAGGTGATTCAACTGCCTCAGCCTCCCAAAGTACTGGGATTACAGGCATGAGCCACCACACCAAGCCAAGAACTAAGATTTTAAATACTTTTATATCAGCTATCACAGAATCACCAGAGAATCACTACTGCCTTTAATTTTATTTATTTATTTATTTATTTATTTATTTTTTGCTTTTTTGTTTTTGTTTGAGACAGAGTCTCGCTTTGTCCCCCAGGCTGGAGTGCAGTGGTGCAATCTCAGCTCACTGCAAGCTCTGCCTCCCGGGTTCACACTATTCTCCTGCCTCAGCCTCCCGAGTAGCTAGGACTACAGGTGCCCACCACCACGCCCGGCTAATTTTTTGTATTTTTAGTAGAGACGGGGTTTCACCGTGTTAGCCAGGATGGTCTCAATCTCCTGACCTCGTGATCCACCCGCCTCGGCCTTCCAAAGTGCTGGGATTACAGGTGTGAGCCACCACGCCCGGCCTATTTTATTTTTAAAAATCTATAATGGCTCACTTACTTAAGAGGCTTTTTCCTCTTGAACGGTTTTTTTAAAGCAATAAAACTATTCCTATAATGATATTCATGACCTAAAAAGAGGTTATCTAATTTTCATTCTTGTTTCCTATACTAGATTTCTTTCGTAGTTTCTGAAAACTTCTATGTTATAGGAAAATAGATGATTTCAGGACTACTAACATCCCTTTCATAAAGTACTATTGCGTTAGTAGTATGATAATGTATGCAAACTTCACTCTTGGAAAATACTGTACTGAATCATTTATACATTGTGTATATGGAGTTTTATCTTTGTTGAATTTTGTGCCTTCTAAACAGAAACAAATACAACTGCCTTAGTTTCTTAAACACCTCTGTGCTGTTACTAATGGTACTGATTAAGATTAGAATGCCTAATAAAACTTCCCAGGAGAGACCTAAAAATAGTCACTACATAGAGTAAATATAGGTTACATAAATATTAAAATTTCTTAGAAGTTAATTATCCAAAAAACATAAAGGCAAAAGACCTAAAACAGGTTCTCCATATACATCATTTTATTTTTAGAACTTTTGTTTGGAACTTTATTTTTGATAACTACAGAGAATTAAGAAATAAAAAATATCTTTTTCTTCTGTATATGGAAATCTTTTGGAAACACAACAGTCTGATTAATAGCTTAAAGTTTTGATAGTATTAAAATTTGTTTTACAGAACATAAAGCCTACATTTTTTTTAAACACACCCACCTTTAAGTATACAGTTATTTGAAAAATGGCAACTGCACATGGTCTTGTAACCAACATCACAAACAAAATATAAAACAGTTCCATCACCATAAAGTTTTCTTATGCCCATCTGTAGTCGATCCCCTCAACTGACACCTATCCTTCCCAAGTAAGTGGTGATTTACTTTGTCACTACAGTTTTTTCTTTTTTAGAATGTTATACACATAGAATAATAACGTATAATTATGGAGTATTTTGTATTTGACTTCTTTCATTTAGCACATTTTCAAGATTCACTTATGTTTTTGCATATATTAATATTTAATTCTGTTTCATTACTGAGTATTATTTCAGTGAATATTCAATAAATGAATATACTACAATTTATTTATCCACTCACCAATTGATGGACATTTGGTTTGTTTTCAATTTTTAACTACTGTGAATAAAGCTGCCATGATCTTTTGCGTACAACTGTCCAAGGAAAATACATACCTAAAAATGGTCACATAATAAACGTATGTTTAACTTTAAAAGTTACTGCCATATTTTCCCAGAGTGACTTGATCAGTTTACATTCTTACTAGCAATGTATGCGATTCTAGTTGCTCCACACTCATTTCAACACTTTGGATTGTCAGTGTGTGGTTTTTTTTTTTTTGAGACGGAGTCTTGCTCTGTTGCCCAGGCTGGAGTGCAGTGGTGTGATCTTGGCTCACTGCAAGCTCTGCCTCCCGGGTTCATGCCATTCTCCTGCCTCAGCCTCCCGAGTAGCTGGGACTATACGCGCCCGCCACCACGCCTGGCTAATTTTTGTTTTTTGTATTTTTAGTAGAGATGGGGTTTCACCCTATTAGCCAGGATGGTCTCGATCTCCTGACCTTGTGATCTGCCCGCCTCGGCTCCCCAAAGTGCTGGGATTACAGGTGTGAGCCACCATGCCCGGCCGTCAGTGTTTTTAACTTGAACAATTTCAGTATGCGTAGTAGGGTCTCATTGTAGTTTTTATTTGCATTCTCTGGTTACTATCAATGTTAAGTATCTTTTCATTTACATTTAAAAACAACTAAAGTAAGAGGTATTCATTATAAAATAAGAATTTTCTCTAGTATTCCACTTTGAGTAATTTAAATCCTATAATGATGGAACTGTAGCTCTAACCCAATTGGTTCCCATTCTCCACTAGGGCCATATTCTGCAATGGGGCTGCTAAAGTTCTTGCCATCTGGGAAAAAAGGAGGCAGGATATGAAAACAGAGAATGGATTTCTAACTTTTAGAATTCCCCTGGCTCAAATTACCTCTGTCTGGGCTGGCTGAGGAAATATGCTTGACTAGTTTAGAGATGCAGAAATCACTGCGCCAGTCTTGCAAGTTCCAGCCAACCACAAGATGCAAAATCACCCCATGGATAATTAAGCTGGAGTGGATAACCACTCATCAAGGGGCAAACTGTAGCCGGAACCACAGTGAGGTTGGATTATAGAGTGGAACCCCCAAGAACTATGGTCTACTAGCTGCTCAGGCTCATTCTAATCACTTCACTAACATTGCAATAATGTGACTCTGCATTTAACATGATTGAAGACTCCACTTATCACATTATGGTTGGGTTTGACTACATGTAAAAAGTTTCCAAAAAGCACAAACTACTATCTAAACACAGAATATTAGTATATTGACAAACAGGCCTTCTATTAAGCAGTGTGCTTTATATTTTCTATAATAAATACTTTGCTAAAGAAATCATAAAAATCTAGGCTAACTCTGAATGACAAAGACAGTCCACTACTTTTAACTTTTTTATTTATTTTAAAAATCACTCCAACTATCTCATGTACTCCATATACATATACATCTATTATGTTCCCATTAAAATTTTTTTTTAATCCTGCAGAAAATGTTCTAGTGCATATATATACAAAATATTGCATAAAATACTACAAGTTCACAGAGTCCTCTGAAGCTTAACCCAGTGGACCTCAGGTCAAGAAACTAATGTCTTTTCTCCCCTTCATTGTTACATAAAGATGAATGAAAAAATATACTTAAATAGTAATAAGTAATACTTAAAATCTCTCAAAATTTTAATCAAATTCTTTGAAGGCTTAAAAAATACATTTAAGAAACACATTCCCATGAATAACTTTACCAGTAATAGTTGCAACTTCAGCAGAGAAAGCTTGCTGATTAAGACTGCTTGTTTCAGAATCTATATGAAGAGTAGTTAGACTAGCCACTTCCTGCTCTTCAGCACTCTGATGATGGCCAGAACCTGAATCCACATCAGCAGAGGACGTAACCCCAGTGTCGGTTCCAAAGCCAAAATCTATAGGAAGAAGAAATGTTATTATATGAGTCCCAATTACAAAGTAAAAATATTTACGAGAGCTAAATCAGCAAAATGATCAAACATAAACATTCCCCGTACATCTATTCTGTTTACATATCACTCAGACAAGTGTAAATAATCTTAATACTCTGAAGATTATAAGTAGATCGGGATAGTGTACAAGCCATGAAGGGAGGAAACATGTAATTCTCCAATGCATATCCCAGCTCTTCACAAACTTAGTTCCCAAGGTTTTGACTTCTTTTTTAAAAATTTGGTGCCCTTCACTGACTGCCAAGTGCAATATAGAATTATAGCTGAATAACTAAGTGGTAATAATATAGCACCAAATAATATTACTGATGTTATTGTAACAAGGGGCAATTATTCAAAGGAAGTTCTGGGTACTGTAGCATTGAACATAATCCAAATATTTGGTTCTCAAATATGAGTGTGTGAAACAGTGGCAACTCATAATCATGACTGGCTTTTTAGTAACAGGTCTATCCTAAATTATTTTCCTTTCTACAGTTTTGGTCTTAAAAATGTCATTTCTTTTAAGAAGGGATCACATTTTTTGTTTTTTAAATGCTCTTAATTTGGCAACATAAAGTAGCTTCAACTTAAGGTGATTCCCTAAAACTTCCTTTGAAATTTCACTGAAAATTGAAATAAAAATAAGTGGGGCCAAGAATGATGCCTTGCACCTGTAATCCCAGCTACTCGGAAGGCTGACGCAGGAGGACTGCTTCAGGCCAGGAGTTCAAGACTAGCCCAGACAACATAGCAAGACCAAATATCTAATTTTTTTTTTTCTAACGTGGGAGCCACTGCCTAAGTAACACTGGAGAGGAAGGTGATGGCTACATAATCCGTAAGTCAGTCTTGAACAGAAGACAATCAACATAAAACATAGTATTCAAATAGAAAAGATACTTGCTGTCAAATTTTCGGCCATCATATTGGAAAGCGCTGAAAGAATCCGAATGACTATCTGAGCTGATAAGATCACTGCTCCCTGCACTGGCAGGAGAAGTCCATTCTGAGGGCACACCTGGGTCATCAATAGGGCGCATCTGGTTCTGCTTGTTTAGAATATCAGGGAGGTCTTTGGGAATTTCCAGGCTGCCTGGACTACTTCCTCTTCTTGTCATAGTCTAAACGTTCAAGAAATATTTTACCATTAAGAAAAAGCTTTTATTCTCTTTAACCATCTGAAACCTTTAATTTCCAAACCATCACAATAAATGCTGAGATTTAGAGGCTGAAGTAGGAGTGGAGAACACACTCACCAAACAATCTATGTAACTGAATGGAGCTAGAGCCTGACCTATTGTTGGTCTGCCTAAAGACCCAAATATCACATGATGCTGGGCCTGTGACTCTTAAGCCTCAGCAGGATCCATGCAGTGAATATAAATTAAAACAGCAGAAAGAGTATTTAGTGGAAAAAAAGCAGCAAATAAAAAAGACAGTGGAAGAGTGGAAAGAATGACAGCAAAGATGTCATTCAATGATTTTTATCCACTCAAGGGAAAAAAGTAAGCCTAAAAAGAAAGGGGCGGGGTATATAATGGAGTTATAGAGAAGTCAAACCCAAATGAAATATGACAGTTTAAAAAAAGCAATTCCAGGTCCAGCACAGTGGCTCACTCTGGTAATCCCAGCACTTTGGGAGGCTGAGGTGGGCAGATCACCTGAGGTCAGGAGTTCGAGACCAGTCTGGCCAACATGGTGAAACCCTGTCTCTACTAAAAATAGAACAATTATCCAGGCATGGTGGTGTGCACCTGTAATCCTAGCTACTCAGGGGGCTCAGGCAGGAGGATTGCTGGAACCCGGGAGACGGAGGCTGCAGTGAGCACTGCACTCCACCCTGGGCGACAAAGCGACACTCTGTCTCAAAAGAAACTAGTTCCATATATATTTATCCTTCCCTAACAATTAAGCATTATTAGGGATAAAAGAGCTTCTGCTTTCATGTTGCCATACTCCTAACATTCAAGATAAAGATAACTTTTAAGTCTCTTCCAAAGTTATCTAAAATGGTTAAGCAGTATTTGTGCTAGCAAAACTATGGGAGCTGGTTCACAAGCAGATCTTGAGACAAAAATAAAAATTATATATGTATTTTTATTTTAAATTATATATTAGATTATATTTATTTATTTATATAACTACGGGAGCTGGGGCAGAAGACCTCCATTGCTATCTTTCCCATTGAGGGCTTGCAGCTGGCACCAGGGTAACCTACGAGCAAAGACAAAAAAAGGGGAGACTAGGAAGGTAGTTGCTTATACCTGTGTATTTGTGCACAGGTACCTGTCTGATCTTTCACCCTGGTGAAAATTATGAGGCTGTTTATGTCTTTAGATAAAAAATGTTATAAAAATGTAATTCAAAAATCTTAATTCATAAAAAGGGTTATATTTTGAGGAAAGGTTATTTTGAATAAAAATTCCCATATATAAATTGACATATATGTACATAGGTATATATCTGTTAGTTTTTCTACCCTCCTCTATAAAACCAAATATATAAAATAAAACTTACCGAGGCATTACCACTTCGAAGTCGTTCTGCTATAAACTCATCCATCAGATCAGGAACATTAGCACTGCTGCCGCCAATATCACTATTAAGAGGAGGCAGTTTTTGGCTCATGTCCTCTTTATTGACTAAAAATAAATAAATAACTATATATAGTGAGGAAAAACTTAACTGCATTTTCTAACTTTGAAACAAACAACAACCCAAAACAAAGTACCTTTGCCAATTATTTGCCAAACATGCATTTATGAATAATTTCCCTTCTTTCAGATTTAATTTTAAGAATTAGTAAATTGATATTTACTTTATTTAACTAAGCAGATGTTAGTCAATCTTCAGTGTAACTTTAAACAGCAAGAAAGCTTATAGATAAGCACTAGCTGAAGTTAGGTTAATATTGCCTATAAAGAAACTGGTATATTTATCTTTTTTCCTGACTCAATGTTTCTTTTTAGAGCCTTAACAATTTATAATTCCGTATTTCCCCCAAAGAACGTTTGCAGGGAATACATCCTTTGAATCTATGCAAAACTCAGTGGGATACAAATGCATTTGAGTATTTATAAATACAAATTCTATGGTTTTGATATACTGCTGTTTCTATCCACTATAAAATCTAATTTTAATGCTTTAAGAATAAAAAGTTGACTTCCACAAATGTTTTTCTTACCAAAAAAACCCAAAATAGTTATTTTGATTTTTTTATCACTACATTATTATTATTTTTACCATTTACATTAACAAGAAAGTTTTAGACTTGGGAAACTAACTTATAGAAAATAATATGGTATCTATGTCACTACTATGCTATTGAAAAGTTGATTTCTCTGCAATGAAAGGAAAATGAGCACTGTTTATATTCCTAATAAACTACAAAGTATTTCAGATTAAAAAAACACACTGGTCAGAAGCTCACTGTGAAATACCATTATCTTTATATTACTGGCCAGGCTTTGCTAAGCTGTCAAATACTGCCCTCAGGTGGCATTAATGGCTCAATGCAAGATGCATTATACAGCGTTGTTAATCATGCTAACAAAACCATGTTAAAACAAATAAAATCAAAACCAACCTTACTGCTGAAAGTTAATAGTCTATATATGTAAAGTTATTTTAACTTTGACTCAAGATAGAGAAAACAGTTACCATAATCTTGCTTTCTGTTATCTGTCCATAGAGGTTCCATATTTAAATCATGAGTGGCTACTGTGAAACCTTTATGCACATTTAAAATCTCAGAAAAAAACAAAGTAATTAAAGTGTTTCAAGGACATAACTTGCATTCTATATAAATGAATGCAAAACTAAAAGCCTACAGCATGTTTGGAAATGGCTTAAATGAAAAGTGATTAAATTCACTTTGAGATTTAAGAAATAATTTCCTCATCACTGATAGTTAACTATAATGTTGGTGCTGGCTGTAGGACCTTGATTTCTATTATGTTAGTTGTCAAAATAATTTCTATCAAGAAAAAATACAAAACCAAATAGATCAGCAGTAAAAATAAGTGAAATCAGTTAGATATATCTGGTGCCCTTTTAAACTATAGTGGGGTGGGGAAGAAAGCATAGTAACTCCTTGATAATCTTAATTTCCATACTTGTGGTATACACTCAGAAAAATACTTGATTTAGGTAGTCTTTGATAGGTTATTGAAATTTTCCTATATATCCACTTTCCTATGTTGTTGTTCAGCAGCAAAGAGGTTTAACTAAATGCCTTATAAGGGAAATTAGTAATTTAAATAAACATTCTATGCTGGGAAAAATACAGCTGGGAAAAGGCGCATGCATAACCAAACAGAGAGAAAGCAGTGACCATCCCAAAGCTTTTTGATTGCTTATAGCTTGCTTCAGTTGCATTAAGCCAAACTGGTGCTGTCTTTCTCCTTTTGCGCTCTGCACACTGTTAGTGCTCACCTGCAGCTTTCCTTCCAAAATAGCCCATTACATGACTGTACAGATCCCTCAGTGGAGCCTCTGGTGGCATTCTGTTCTGCCTCTGTGGGGAAACATTTGCCTTCGGCTTCGAAAGAGCATGTACAACAGTTTTATAAACGCCACCCAGGGAGCCCTGCTGTAGTCCTGCCTCATGACTTGATGACCTAAGAGTACTACGACTACCTAATTGACTACTTGCAATTCCTTCTTTTTGTAATATGGTGGTGGGAATCTCTGTGGATTCCTTCACTGTTTTGCTGCTTACTGATGCAGTACCAAGTGTATCTAGAGGTCTGTACACACCAGGTTTTACTAGCTCTGTAGCACTATTTGTGCTGGTATGGGTGTTGCTAGTGCTGCTATTGCTGCTACCACTACTAAAGCCACCGAGCTTCCGCAGTCTCATCTTCCATGGAGCCTCTTTGTTTTCCAGAGGATTATAAAACTGAACGGACTCAGTGGATGGCCTAAAAGTAACATGAACACTATTTCGTTTTTTAGTAGCAATTTTCATGATTTTGGCTCTATGAGTTACTGTTTCAGACAAGCTCCTTTTAGTTGGAGAAAGTTTGCTAGTACTTGTAACATGAGGCATTCTGCGGTTAACAGGTGCTTTTAGTGTTGCTTTCTTGGCACGCATAACATGTGGGACAGTGATTTTTTCATTAATTTGCACACTCTTAAGCTTTTCAACTAGTGTTACATCAACACAAGCATCTAATTCTGTGGCTGCTTGTCTGTACAGATGTTTCCTTTTTTCTTTATCACAAGGGCTATCTAAACTAGGCTCTGATGGCTGTTTATCAGTGTTTAGTTGCTTAGATTTTTCAGAAGTTTGTGTTCTAAAAAAACTGTCTGACTGGTTAGGTGCGATATTACTCATGAAGACAGCTGAGTTTGGTTCTTTCTGAAACTGTAGGTTTTCAGGAGTCCCAACAAAAGAGGTGATATTTTCTGATTCAGTTTCCTGATCTGTGCATTCTAATTTATCTAAGGATAATCTTTCACCCCTATTTACTGCAATAGTCACTTCCTGAGAAGCTGGGTCTTTCCCTGTCTCATTTTTACTATGATTTTCCTGGTTTTCCTTAAAATATTCTTTCAGGGTGGAAAGAAGATCATCATCTCCTTCAAGGTCAATGTACTGGATTTGTTCAAAAGCTGAATCTGCAAGTTCTACTGGACCTATTAAATGACAAAGATGGTCATATATGCTATCACCAACTTCCAGAGAAGACTCTCTACTATGAGTATCAGTGATGTGGCTTTCAGTGGATCTAGTTATTGAAGAAGCCTCTGTGGAACTCTGCAAGCTTGGTGCATGACGGGATGAACTGTCAATGACAGGAACTGCACCTTTGGCTCGTTCAACAGTGAATGGTTCCAAGATGTCAGAAGTGCTGCTACTTCGAGGCAATGGCTGCTCCTCATTCAAAGCACCAAAAACTTCATTTCCAGTTTCTTCACTTTGTGAAAAATGTCTGACTCTAGTTGAGCGGGGAAGTATTTGAGCATCATCAATATCTGTAAAAGAAAAAAAAATTATGTAGAGAAGAACTACACAAATATAAAAAATAATTATTAATTTCAATAATGCTCTAAAGCATATGCTTTAAAAAAAATCTGAGTTTTTGTAAGCTCAATGAAAAAAAAATCAAAATACAAATCTGCTTTTTTAAAAAAATGATGGGCACAAGCCAATATAGCATGTAGTGTCAATGAATTAGAAAACTACCAAAACACATTTTAAAATGTTAACATGCATAGAAACAGACAGTGAGGTGATGAAACATTTGGAAGTGCAGATAAAGATAGAGCTGTGCCAATAAATCAAGCAACTCAAATGCTATTAAATTTTTCCTACTTATTTACGTTCCAAGCAGAAAAAATACACCTTAACACAGAAAGCCGATCCAAGTATCCCACTGTAGACTCTTATAGGGTCTAATAAATTCTCCAGCTTCCTTCCCAAAAAGGCAAGAGGCATCTTTTCTTCAAATTTTGCTTCTCTGTTTGATTACATATTAGAAATGAAAGTCTCTACCCTCTTCCTAAATTTCTCTTTGTCAGGAAACTGTTCTCCCCAGGTGTTTTACTTTATTACGTATTAAAATCTTATTCACTGACATCAAATAAAGTCAATATATTTTTTAAAAAATCAATTGTATTCTTTTGTTTTTGGCAAAAACACCACTTAAATCTGCTAGGAAGAAACTTTACCTGCCTGTTATTGGCCCTTTCCATTAAACAGCCATCAAGCTCTAAAAACTATATTTCTGGCTTCTTACATCTCTTTTTAAGAATTATAGGCTGGGCGCGGTGGCTCACACCTATAATCCCAGCACTCTGGGAGGCTGAGGTGGGCAGATCACCTGAGGTCGGGAGTTCAAGACCAGCCTGACCAACATGGAGAAACCCCATCTCTATTAAAAACACAAAACTAGCCGGGCGTGGTGGTGCATGCCTGTAATTCCAGCTACTTGGGAGGCTGAGGCAGGAGAACTGCTTGAACCCATGAGGCAGAGGCTGCGGTGAGCCGAAATAATGCCACTGCACTCCAGCCTGGGCAACAAGAGCAAAACTCCGTCTCAAATAATAATAATAATAATAATTATTATTATTATTATAGATGGACATTCAGAGATTATCTAATTTAACTATCTCACAGATGAGAAAATTGAAGCCCAGAGAGGTTAAGTTACTTTATCAAATTTACAATAAAAAAGTTTGAGAAACAGGCTTAGTGTTGCATATCACTGCATTATTTTCACTGCCTTCAGTGTCAGGATGAAATAACCATTTAACTGTTCAGATATATACAAATTCTCAACAGGAATTGTGGAAGCAAAATACAATGTCTATGAATCCATCATGGTCTGTAAGTTACCTAGAAATAACAAAAAAAAATTGTTTTCAGAAGTCAGCAAAATATAATGAAGAAAGGACAGAGTCAAAAAGTCAGCTGTTGCTACTTATTAGGCTTCTTGCACAAAAGTTAAATGCAACAGAACTATAACTGAACAATCAAAATGAGAAAATTTAGATCCAGAAGCAAAGCAGTGACTTGTCCAAGATTACAAAATAATTTGTTGATTCTTACTCTAGATTTTGAGACTAGTTTCCTCATTTATAAAATGGAGATAGTCATTCAAAGTATTTTTGGGATCCATGCTACTATGGCTGAAAAAAGGCTAGTCCCTCTGCAATTTCATTCATATCACCCTATTTGTATGAGGTCCAAATGGACCTACTTTATACTAAATTGAGATCAACATAGGTTTGTATTATGCCAAGATTCTAGTATATTCCTAGTGATATACTAGTAGGCTCTCAACATAGGTTAAATATATAGTATCTCCTGAAGCTGAAACAATTAACTTTTTGTCCTTAAACTGAGGGGAATGTGCAACTTTAAAAAATGACATTGTTTTTCTTCCTCATGCACTCCACTGAGAAATTTTTCTAAGTGAAAAGCGAAACATTTCCTTACAAACTTCACTTTGATGCACTTATACTCATTAAGCGTTTGTTAATACAGCAGATAACTAACTCATATCTGTGCATCTTGACAAACATAAATATTTCGGTTTTTTACATCTGCCATAAGAGATCATAAGAACTTCTGCCTCAATGACAGAGATTATATTCAGCATGCACTCTAAATTTCTTTCCACACAATATTCTAAAGAACTCAGCAAAGGATAAAGACTGTATAGCTGTTCTATAAGAATTCTTACGAATTTTATAGCTTGGAATTTATTTTACCAAAGGTCAAAATCAAGATTTCAAAACATTAAAATCATAAAAACATTATGACACTAGCAAATGTACAAATGTCAGAAAAAAATAAAATATTAGTTTTAATTTTTAATTTCTTTTATAGATATTTCACAATTTTTCCATTCTAAAGAAGCCAGGAAAGATTATTATGATGTTCTGTGTTTAGGAATTCCTTCCCAAACTCAGCCCTCACTCCTTGTATATTAGAAAACGTAACCATTATTTCAGCCTATGTTTTTTTTTTTTCCTAAAACTTGTTACCATATATGACTATCTAAAACTTCTGTGCAAGCTTAAGAGGGAAAGAGCTTTAAAAAAAAAAAATGTAACTGGTTTTTTTCTACCAATATTGTAGTACCGGAGAATTTAAATTTAAACAATGTTTTTAAAAATTCTTAAGATTTAAATATAGTTCTTTCATGGCACATAATAATACTAACTACATAAAATCAAAGAAGAAAATAACACTGACAGGAAACCAACTTTATGCTAAATTCAGATCAAGAGGGCTGAATTATGTCAATACAAATGGCACTTGAATTGAGCATAATTGACTCTAATAAGCCTTACATTAGTTGAGCAAATATATACAGCTGAACTTTACTGAGAAAAAGACTAAATAATAACTAAACTATATATAGTATTTTCCACATGCCAGGTATTGTTGTAAGCATCTGACATATCATTCATTTAATCCTCACAACAACCCCATGAAGTAGGTGCTATGCCTATTTTATAAATGAAGAAACTCTTTAAGTGACTTGTCCAAAATTACACAACTACAAAGTGAGGAGTTGTGGTGTCAAGTAAGGCAGAAATTAATCTTTACTCTTAATCTCTTGAATAATACATCATATATGTTTTGTACTCATGAAATAATTTATTAATTTTTAAATAAAACTTGGTAAAAATTAATTGTATTATTAAAAAACCATAAAGCCAGGCTTTAGTTATATCTCAATATAAACAAAAAAGAATTTTAAAAAAACCACAGAGCAGCATAGTGATTTATCTCTATAAAGATAAGAATGTTAGAAATAAAAATCTAACTAAAACAAATGTTAGTAAATTATACAGAAGGAACCAATAAAAAAACTTTGAATTGCTAAAAATAATGGTGGCATCAGGTTTAAATAAAAATGCCCTCAAAACAATTTAATTATGCTTCTTATATTTTAACTTAAAAAATGAAAGCTTTTAAATAAAATTTTATATATTTTTCTCTTTCTTTTCTTTTTCTTAAGGGAAACCAACTGTGTCCTCTTACTCTCCCAGAGGAAGAGAAGAACGATCACCCATGTTCAGAGAAACTCCTCTACTAACATACCTTAGAAATTATGCTTGAAAGTATAGTCTTTTCAATTAAATGTTAATCTAAAGCATTAGAAACCACTTAATGAGTGAAACAATAAAAACGTTGTTTTCAAGAGATTTACACAAACTGCTTTTGAACATTGAGAAAATGCTTTGGTAAAATAAATTTAAATTTAGAGTTTAAAAACTCTATAAAGTTACAGAAATGTCAAGTTTTATCTCTGGGTTTCCTTAATACTGTTTAGCATTAAAATGGGTCAATTATTTCTAGATTAAAAAACCGGTTTTTTCCCGGAAATATTTTGTTCAAAAAGTTTCCTGTGTTAGTTTGAAAGGAAAGCTGTACATTAAAGTATACTGTCAGCTTATAAAATGTTAAGAAAAAAGTACTCCTTTCCACTAGATTTAAGTCTCTTGAGGATTTTTGTTTTGTTCATTGCAATATCTCTATTGATTGAAAGAGGACCTGTCACATAAGTATGGGCTTAATAAATACTGGTAGAAGAAAAGCTCGCCTTAAAAAAAAAAAGTAGCTGCTTATTGGTAAAAAGCAAGTTAGTTACTCACAAACTCTTCAGTTAAAATACTAACATATCACTAGAAATTTTAATAATTTCTGAAATGAATCATAGAATCAAGGGCCAAAATCCCCTTTACTAAAGTTAAATTATTTTACTGGTCAAGCACGAACGTTAGCTATCAGTAATATTTTTATGGTCCCTAAATTCATAATATCATTTAAACTAGTTTACATAGAAATTGATGCCATTTTGAAACTCAGTTTTTTTCTGCTAATTACCTAAGTTTTTGTCTATTTGGGCAACAACGGCAATGTACTTCAAGGTAAGTAAAAACGATAGAGCATCTATGTTTCAAATATTATTAACAGAGGCTATTAAAATTCTATCTTTTTAAGATTAGATGTTCAATTTGCAGGTAATTCAAAGCAGTTTTTACATTATTGTAATCATATGAAAAGACTTAAAAGCAACAAATCAAGCTCAATAGTTTTCATTTAAACCACTAAAATTTAGCCCAGTCGACTATCTTCTCTTTTATTCTAATATTGTTTTCCTGATTTTAAAATTTTGAACATAAACTACCAATACATTTTTTATGTTAAGAAAAGTATAGTGTTTTGCTTATGATTATGCTATATAATGTCATGTTTAAGTTAGCTTCACATTTTTCTTGAGATGTTCTTTTTAAAAAATTAATGCAGGCCAGGCGCAATGGCTCACACTTATAATTCCAGCACTTTGGGAGGCCCAGGTGGGTGGACCACCTGAGGTCAAGAGTTCGAGATCAGCCTGGCCAACATGGTGAAACCCCATCTCTACCAAAAATTAAAAAAAAATTAGCTAGGCATGGTGGCGGACTTCTGTAGTCCCAGCTACTCGGGAGGCTGAGGCACAAGAATTGCTTGAACCCAGGAAGTGGAGGTTGCAGTGAGCCAAGATTGCACCGCTGCATTCTAGGCTGGGCGACACAGCAAGACTGTGTCTCAAAAAAATTAACGTAAATTATTCCAGGAAAAAAAAATTAATTTGCCAGGAGGCTGAGGTGGGAGGAATGCTGGAGCCCAGGAGTTCCAGGCTGCAGTAAGCTAGGATGGCACCACAGCAATCAAGCCTGGGCAACACAATGAGACCCTATCTCTTAAAAAAAAAAAATCTAATTGGAATTATGCTATAATCAGCAGATTACAAGTGGAAAATATGTAAAATATTAATATCCTATTCTACACTGATGACAGGAAAAAATTCTTGATTGTATAAAGAAGGGCCTACTTCTTTGATGAGATGAAAAATTCTCCTTATTGGGCAGAATTTAGGAAAAGGATAGGCCTGTGAGACATACTATTTTATTTTTCATTGACAGTCACAAAACAGAAGTATAAAGAGCTCAATTCAAATAATAACATATCGTTAATAAAAAGAGATCAGTCCCCAACATTAGCAGTCTACATACTATAGCCTAGATAGACCAGAGTCCAATAGCAACAAAAATGACAAATCAGTTTTGGGAACTGGTTGAAAGAAACTGGGTCTGTAAGCTTAATTTCAGGATGAGAAACTCATAGTACTTGATTAGAAAATACTAAATAAGAAACATTTGTGGAAGTATACACAAAGCTGCCTACCATGTTTATATACTTTTATATTCCTTTTTTCACTAAAGTGTTACTTTTGGCAGTAAAAGTAATTTGCTTAAGAACGATGATTCAGATTTCTGGCTTCTCTCTTATCTGTTTATCAGGAAAATAATGACTGTCAGGCTGGGTTACCAAATGTCTACAATCTAGTGCAGTAATGATAAGTAATTATCAAAGGCCAATGAGAGAGAAGCCAAGGAGTGTACTTGCCCAGACACCAGAATAAATTATATTAGATGTTTGTGCAAGCCAACATATTGTATCAAATTTGATACATATTTTTCAAACTGTTATAGATGAGTCTGATGTTAAGAAACAGTGCATTGACATAGTGCTAATGCCCACAAACTGGTCCCCAGAGCTTAAGAAAAACTCTTTAAGGGCTGGGTGTGGTGGCTCACGCCTGTAATCCCAGCATTTTGGGAGGCCAAGGTGTGGAGGATCACTTGAGCCCAGGAGTTTAAGACCAGCCTGGGCAACTTTATGTTCAGAATTTCCCTGGGCAACAACCCTGTCTCTACAAAAAAATAAAAAAATTAGCCGGATGTGGTGGCACGTGCCTATGATCCCAGCTACATGGGAGGCTGAGGCAGGGAAGTCAAGGCTGCAGTGAGTCATGTTTGCACCACTGCACTCCAGCCTAGGCAACAGAGCAAATTAAAAAAAAAATTTTTTTTTTTAACTCTTCAAGAATACTCAACTATTCAACTAGGTTAGTCTATAGCTGTATATAAAGCTATATCATATAGCATCATACTTACAACAATGCAGGTAGTATGGACAGTTAGAACAAGAACACTGGAGGAGGAAAAATGGGCTGGGAACAAATAAGGTACTTAGAAAACTGATGGTCCTTTCTCATAGATTTTGGTACGTTAAAAAAAAAAAAGGATTTAAAGGACTTCCCTTTACCTCCCCAATTATCCAAAAGTATCAGATAAATATTTTTCTAACAAATTCTACTTCTAACCATAAACTAGAGGTAGATTGTCTATGAGTCGTTTCATTGAGGTTTTTTTTTGGTGAAGTAGTTGAAGAAACCTCATTTCCTGATTTCAGAGATAGACTCAGGAAATATTTTATGAGTTCGTTTAAGCTAATTCACATGAGGGAGAGCTACAAAAGCATGAAAAACCATTTACTTTTTCCCCTTCATACAGTTCACTTTCTTATTAATTCTCTGCACATTAAACTATTCTAAAGTAAAATTTAGTCAAACCTTGGAAGAAACATCAGCAATTAAAAAGTATGATTGGTTGATGATCTAAGATTTTGGTGATTGTTTTTTAATTTAGCACTATTTTTACAACTCTCTATTCTTATAACTCATACATTTTCTCTTATCTCTTCCACTCTCCTTCGCTCTACACCTAACACCTGAGGAATCAAATTCCAAGTCTTTAATTTGCTTCCAAGAATCGCAGAGGCAAAGACCAATCCAATAATTTAGATTTCTACAATGTAAACTGGTAGAAGATTAATCCTGCTTAATTTTCATATTGGTTCTCTCTGGAACCTTAATGGCACAGGATATCAATATGTGTACTTGGAAAGGTGTTCTGTGCTTAAATAAGTCTGAGACATATTCAATTATAAACAGTGTTTTTTTTTGTTTTGTTTTGTTTTGTTTTTTTTTGAGACGGAGTCTTGCTCTGTCGCCCAGGCTGGAGTGCAGTGGGCGATCTCGGCTCACTGCAAGCTCCACCTCCTGGGTTCATGCCATTCTCCTGCCTCAGCCTACTGAGCAGCTGGGACTACAGGCGCCTGCCACCAAGCCTGGCTAGTTTTTTTGTATTTTTAGTAGAGATGGGGTTTCATCGCGTTAGCCAGGATGGTCTCAAACTCCTGACCTCATGATCTGCCTGCCTCAGCCTCCCAAAGTTGCTGGGGGTACAGGTGTGAGCCACTGTGCCTGGCCAACAGTTTTGTTTTTTTTTTTAACAGGTTTTCTAAGGGCCTTTGGTATGTTGATTTGCACTATGAATCTTTAATCTTTTCCTCTACACACCTATTTGCATCTCCTGGAAAGTGTTCTAAATTTACGTATCAGCTTGAAAAATCCTGACTTCATTTGCAATCAGGAAAGGAGGGATTTTGCTATTTTAAAGTGACAGGTTCCTTGCCTCTTTCAAATTCTAAGAGAAAAAAATGATTTTTAATTCAAAATAACTGTAATTATGCTTTTATATTTTAAATGTACACAAGCATAAAAAACTGGCAGTAAAAGCATCTGAAGTTGTCAATAAATTATCACTGGTTTTGGAGGATTATGTGTATTTTTGCATATGCTTTTCCATATAATCCATGTTTTCTAAAATGAACATTATTTTGATAATCAGATATAAAGTTTGTTTTGTTTTAGTGACTGATGTCTCAACACCATCTAAATCTTTAAATTTATCATAGAAGGCATATTACCCCAGATAGGGAAAAGGAATACAACAAATAAAATTGCCATTTAGAAAATTCCTTTCCAACAGTGCTCATAAATGTTTAAATCATAAAATCATTAAAAAGGTAAACTTTCTGAATTATGTATTTACAGCAAAGCAAGAATTCTGAAATAGGAACTTCTCATCCTGGGTATGGCACCACTCTAAAATATTTTGAAAGGAACAACCTTATCTTTGTTTTAGCTATTCAAAAATGTTTTAGCACTTAACATGAATATTTGCCAATATATTAAGTTGCAGATGAGAAATTCTGTAAATCCCTTAAGATGTGGAGAAAAAAATAAATCTTTCTGACAGTTTTTTTAAAACAGTAGAGGAATGGCTAATCCAATCAAACTTTTAAGAATTAGTGGCCAAGAGAATTCAAATTCTGTACTCGATATAAATAAATAAATAAATAGAATAAAATAATAATGGAAGTGTTCAAAGCTCATTTTAATTTTTCTAAACATGTCAAGAATGGTTTGCATTAAATGCTCTAAGTGTGTCTTTTATAAAAGCTAGGAGCAAAAAATGTATCCAAGAGAAGTTTACAACAAACTCAGAGTTTCTTTTAGCTGTATCTAATTCAGTTTTAAGAACAGAAACATTGTTTGCCAACTTAAGTAGATTATAATTTGATGTAAGCAACCAAAATCTGTGCTACTTACATAAGGAGGTACAGTGCTTAAATGGTGCACTAAAGAGACAAAAATATCCTAATTCTTTATTTGTAGCTAAGCATCATACGTAACAAAATTGTGTGCCATTTTCTACCATCTATTAAAATTTATATTATTACATCTACATATTTTTAAATCTTACTAATTTTCTGTACTGGTAGCTTAAAATATTCAGGTTGCCTAATTTCACTGATGTAAAATACGTCCATTCATTCATCAATACTTACTGGATATTAAGGTTTGAATTGAGGCCAATTTTTCTATTATTGTCATCAATTAAAAAATCAACTCCAATTTCTTATAAACCATTTCTAATTAATTATATTATGGTTCCAAAGTTAACAAAACAAGTAGGTTTCTTTGAGCTAGCACAGTATGCACAATCATTTTATTTATGCCAAAAAAATTTTTTTTAAACAAAACTGATCTATGGTGATGAACAGCAAAAAGTTGTATTTGCGTGGAGGGGAGGAGTGTGTGGTGATTGACTCAAAAAGGTCACTGGGAAACTTTTTGAGGTAGTGGAAGTGTCCTATAATTTGTTTGTGGTGATGGTTAATAGGGGTATGTACAATTTTCAAAAATCATTCAGTTGAGTCTATGGATCTATGCATTTTATTACATGTTAATTAAAGCTTAATAGAAGAGCAGACCGTGCCAGTACTGGGGACCAACGACCTGAGGCAGAACTGGAAAGCTAAGCAGGTTTTGAAGCTCCTTGGAAGTTAGGGCTTCACAGAATGGTTTAAAAATGAGTGAATCCTTAGAATTCTATATATGATTATATGTAATATAAATACAAAGATTTATTCCAAAGCAACTTTTAGATTATATACTTTTCCCAAATACTGATTACCCTTACTTAGTTCCATTACTATAGATAATGCAGAATAAATTATTCA
Organism: Homo sapiens; assembly: GCF_000001405.40. Taxonomy (NCBI): domain Eukaryota; kingdom Metazoa; phylum Chordata; class Mammalia; order Primates; family Hominidae; genus Homo; species Homo sapiens. The sequence goes on from NC_000014.9 coordinate 35,699,746, forward strand.
AGATTTACGATATTATTAGTCAAAACAATGGGAAATTAAAAGTCAATGCTCTGATTATCTTCCTAAGTCATCTTTTACAAGACTTCTATTATATAAATGTATACTACTACTTCTTTTAACCACCTGAGAGGAAGAAAAAAATCAAACAGCAAAAAAAAAAAAAAAAAAATTGGCCATTTACAACAAAAAATACTGGACATTGGCACAGCACTAAACTTAGCACTTCCAGAATGAACTGCAAGGACAGGATTAGAGTTCAAATAACTCAAAATGTTGATTTCTCAATCACTTTCCCACTTTCCCACACCTCCCCCAAAGAAATTAACTTTAAAGAGTTTATTTGATTAAGCAAAATTTGAAAGCAGAGGATTAAAAAGTGAAAAAGGTGGTGCAGAAATTAGCAGAGGTGGCACTACCTGAAAGCTCATCAGAAAGGGGAGTGAGAACAATATCAGGCAAGAAGGGTTTGGAAGTATGGATCAGAACAGGAGCACTTTTAGCACTGCGTATATAGGCCGATGGCAGAGCACATTCACCAATGGATCGGCTTCTCATGGCTTTAAAAAAGGAAAAGAAAGAAGTGGGGAAGGAAAAAAGAAGAGTGACTATAATGAAAGGCTCGTGTCACAGAAAAAGCAGCAACAGAGAAAACTAAAAGGTACAAAGGAAGGAAATTATAAATTAAAACATTTCAGCACGGCAAATACTGGCAAGCTGTAAGAAAAGAAATCAGAGAACACACACAACATTTTGAATATAATTTTTTTATATAAAGCAGAAAAATGCTATTATTATTAGCAGTTACAATGGAATAGCATTAAACAACAGCAGACACTTTAATTAGCATTATGTTCTCAAAACCAAGGGTTGAGAAATTCACTGAATGAAAACATTGAAAATAACTCAATATTAATAGTTCAAAGTAACTTTTGGAACAATATTTGGGCATTTCTCTAGGCAATCCTGAGCCATTCTTACTAACGAGGCTGAATTATAAGAATAAATCATTCCTACTTTCATACTCTTTACCAAATAAAGTTTTCTAAATCACTCACAGGTCTTTCTTAGAAATTTTTAGGTAATTCATAGTCAAAAGGATTTAATCTCATGTCTAGTATGTGTTTCTGGTAAGAGGATGCTAATCAAATCAGTATCTTTTATAATAAAGTATAGGAGTATAATTAAAATTTTTACATAGAAACAGAAAACAATTTGCAGAGCATGAAAAATTGGGTTCTTGACAAAAATAGATAATTTTGTGCTTATTCAAATCATAAACATAAAAACTTAAAATTGTTTTCAAAGAAAGCTTTAAACTGGATTACTTTTTAAAAATTGCATTTGTAGTTGCATTTGATAATTTCTTAGGAGAGTCCCTAGTTCACAAAAATTAAAGATAAATTATAGTTCACTTAGAAATAAATAATCAAGTTTACTCTTCCCAGAGATTTTTAAAAAAACATTTATTTCAAGGATTCTTAATTAAGTTATAGGTATTGTTACACATGAATCAAGGACTTAAAAGAAACAATACTGCATAATATCCAGTGTAATAGTAATGGTGGCAAAATAAATAGTTTGAATATTAACATCAATTCAAATTGCTGAGTTTCCTTGATTACTGGACAGACTTGGTTCCCTGAAGTCTAAATTCCTTAGATTATCACACAACTCACACAAGGCCTTTACGACTTGCCTACAATCTACCACTCAGTAAGACTTTTCTTTTACTGTCCTCCCGTGCTGCCGCCACTCAGAATTTTATAATGTTCCTTAAAATTTTCATTCTCTTTCATCATCACATCATGACTTTGTATGTTGCTAATTTCCTTGGTCTCTTTTTCTTCCTGATATACTCCTTCATACTTGAAGTATCATCTCACCTGAAAAACTTTTTTTTCTTTTTCTTTTTTTGAGACAGGGTCTTACTCTGTTGTCCAGGCGGGAGTACAGTGGCATGATCATAGCTTGCTGCAACCCTGAACTCCTGGACTCAAGCCAATTCTCCCACCTTAGGCTCCAGAGTAGCTGGGACCACAGGCATATGTCACCATGCTTGGCTAATTTTTTTTTCTCTATTTTTAGTGGAAACAAGGTCTCGCTATGGTATCCAGGCTGGTGTCGAACTCCTGTGCTCAAGCGACCCTCTCACATTGGTCTCCCAAAGTACTGAGATTACATGAATAAGTCACCATGGCCAGTCCCTGAGAGGTTTTTCTAACTCTCCCAAACAATTATTTACTGGCAACACAGCAATAAACAAAAACAAACAAGAATTCCCACTTTTGCAAAACTTACAATCTATTTTTAGTGGACTGTATGTTTTTAGGTCAGCCTCCTCAACTTTTCGAATGCAAGAACCATATCCCCTGATCTTTGAATCCCTACTCCCTACCACGTATAAGTGCAATAATTTTTTACTTTTACTGAATATCTATATTTGAGCAGGAGTCCAGCTTAACCATTTGAAAAACAATTTCAGGCTGTGAAGATACAGAGGAGAAAGTAAAAACAAACATTAAGCAAAAACTAAATGCATTTCATAGTTTATAACTGGAAAAAGATAATCATAGATTTAAAAAATGTATGAATGCCAGCAAAATTAAGGATTCTTTAAGAACAATCTGTAGGTAAAAAATATAGAAGCATGGAATATGCTAAGATAATGGCAACAATTTGTCTTTAGTGTATGGCTTACCATGCTGTGTATTAAAGATCAAGTGTATTTTAAAAACAACCCATATACAAAATGTCAGAATCTCACCCTATTCCAGTTTTCCCGCTAGCTTCTTCCCTTCTTGAGAAAGTAACCAACAATTTTATAATCTAATTTGAAACAAAAGTTACGTTGACTCCAACACAATCACTCATTAAAATTGGTCAGAGCAAAGACACAAATACATATGCAAATCTTAAAGTGTTGTTACACAGAGGGTGAAACATCATCTATAGTTGTAATCACCTTTAATTAAAAAAAAAAAATATATATATATATACATTTTTTTTTTTTTTGAGACGGAGTCTCGCTATGTCACCCAGGCTGGAGTGCAGTGGCGCGATCTCGGCTCACTGCAAGCTCTGCCTCCTGGTTTCATGCCATTCTCCTGCCTCAGCCTCCTGAGTAGCTGGGACTACAGGCGCCTGCTACCACGCCAGGCTAATTTTTGTATTTTTAGTAGAGACAGGGTTTCACTGTGTTAGCCAGAATTTTTAAATATATTTTTTAAAAACCTGAATTGAGTTTTTGATTCCACAGATAAATTATAAGTTTTTCTTTTTTCCCCTAGGGGATAATTTCTGGGAAATAACAACTCCTTTTTTTCTTTCTTTCCCAACACAGACTTGAAGGAAGAGCTTGGGCATTTCCCTTGGAACTTTTTCCATATTTGCAGTGGAATAAATTTATGTTGTGATTCTGAATGAATTCTTTAAAAATGTACCCCTTGGCTGGTGTGGTAGCTCACACCTGTAATCCCAGCACTTTGGGAGGCCAAGGCAGGAGGATGGCTTGAGCCCAAGAGTTTGAGACCTGCCTGGGCAACTGAGGGAGACCCCATCTCTACAAAAAACAAAAACTAAAACATTAGCTGGGTGTGGTGGTGCCTCCCTGTGGTCCCAGCTACTCCGATGGCTGGAGGTGAGAGGATCACTTGAGCCCAGGAGGTCAACGCTACAATGAGCCATGTTTGTGCCACTGTACTCCAGCCTGGGCAACAAAGTTAAGACTCTGCCTCAAAAACAAATTTAAAAACCCTAAAAAATGAAGCAAAAATGGTCACCTCCTTTTGTTGTTGTTTTTGTTTTAACTAAAAACTCTTAAGTCTTTAGGCATACCTAGAAGTCTGTCAAGGGCTTCACAGCTATGCAACCCTCACTATAGAAAATTATTTACAATGAATTAGCTATTGAGATCTTTTGGGATTTACTAACCTAAACACTTAGTTACTGACATTTCTATTAGCACATACATTCCTAAGACACATACATCAGTGATCATAAATCTATAATATGCTTAATGGGCAGTATGAAAAATATAACATCAAAAAGTAAAAACAGATTTTCAAATTACGAGCATGACAATTTTTGAAGGCTTCCTATCTTTTCCCCTCTCAAAAAAAAAAAATGCATTCCCATAAATTCACCTTGGACCATACAGACTATATAAAAAACTGTAACTTGCACTCTAGAGTTTCCGTATAGCATAAGAAATTCATGGACCGCAAATGTGATGGACCCTTAACAGCATATAAATACAAAAAATAAACATGAGGAAGGCAACTCCAGAATTTTCTCATTTCCAAAATATGATACATTTTCCTCCTTATTTATTAAAATTCACATTATGTATACATTCCTATCCATTGGCAGAAATACCTGTTAAAGTCCCCAAATGTAGGCCTATTATCATAATACACATAAATGAAAAGCAAAATCCGAAAACAAAACAGTGATATATATGCTCCAAAAGTTGAACACCAGGTCCTAAATCATAAATGCAAGCAAGTTACACTGCTTATGAGTATGTTCAAAAATAATTCTTAAATTCATTGCAATCTCTCTTATTTGTTAGCATAAGCAAAACCACAGACATACTCTCCACATTTTTTACATTTTAAACTTAACTATTAATAACAAAATTTATCTTAAAGCCATCTTGAGTATTCTAAGATAAAAGGATTATATCATGCTTAATATCTTTTAAATGCAGGTAAGTTCCCTTTCTGTTTATTAAGTGAACAATAATGAATAAATTCTCTTAGACTTTCAAAGAAAAAACAAAAAAATTCTCTTACAATTTCTATCTGAAAATTCTAGAAAGCAACCAGTAAAATAAGTCTTCGAAACATCATGTGACAAAACTGTTACTTTGCAAATTTCAACATAGACTATACTAGTGTCTTCATGAATTGTAAGGACATAAGGTCCTTACATCAGTTTAGATCACCAGCATAAAGAAAGCTGTTTAAGTTAGTCAGAAAAAGTTAAATATTGTATCACTCTATCAGGTAATTCAAAGTCATAGGAAAAAATACAGTTTAACAAGAGAAGAACCAGGTTTGTTATTAAAGGAAATAATTCATAAAAGAGAAATGTAAATCAATGTCAGAAATAAAATTTGTTTCTCCCAATGCAAGTCAGAAAGTAAATAAATGGAGAATGACACAAACTAAAAAATGAATTAAAAATTTTAAAGATAAATCTGTGGTTATTTCAAATGTCTAAATTATTTTCTATTCCAAAAAATACATTTTTTTAAATATACATTTTTCAAAACAGTTTTAGGTTTACAGATAAAAAATGAGTGTCAACTACAAAGAGTTTCCATACATCCCTTTCCCCCTCCCTACCAGTTTCCCCAATTATTAACATCTTGTATTAGCATGGTACATTTGCTACAATTAACAAGCTCATATTGATACAGTATTGCTAAAGTCCATAGTTTACATTAGGGATCACTGTTTATGTAGTACCTTCTATGGGTTTTGAGAAAGTATAGTGACACATATATACCATTACAAGTATCATACAGAATAGTTTCACATCTTTATTCTCTGTGCTTGCTTCTACCTATTCATCCCTTCTTCTAGCCCCACCCCCCTATTCCTAGTGCCTGGAAACCAGTCATCTTTTTACTGTTGACAAAAGTTTGCCTTTTCCACAATGTCATATATTTGAAATCATACAGTATGTAGCCTTTTCAGATTAGCTTCTTTTACTCAGCAATACTCATTCAGTTTCTTCATGTTTTTTTTTTCATGGTCTGAAAGCTCATTTCTTTTTATCATGGAATAATATTCCATTTTATGGATGTACAACAGTTTGTCCATTCACCTACTGAAGAATATCTTAGACAATTACAACTAAAGCTGCTATAAATATTCATGTGCAGATGTTTGCGTGGACATGTTTTCAACTAATATAGGTAAATACAAAGAGTGCTATGGCTGGATCCTACAGTAAGACTATGTTTAGGTTTGAAAGAAACTACCTGTCTCCCAGTGTGATGATATAATCTTGTATTTCCACCACCAGTGAGAGTTCCCATTGCTACACTTCCCTGCCAGCATTTGGTGTTGTCAGTGTTTTGGATTTTAGCCATTCTTTTAGGTGTGTAGTGGTATCTTGTCTTAATTTGCAATAGTCTAATGACATACGATGTTGAGTATCTTTTCATATGCTTAGTTGCCATCTCTGTATCTTCTTTGGTGAGATGTTTGTTCACATCTTTTGCCCATTTTTCAGGTTGTTCTCTTCCTGTTGAATATTAAGAGCTCTTTGTATATTTTAGAACCAGTCTTTTATCAGGCATGTGTTTTGCAGATTTTCTCCCCATCTGTGACTTGTCGTTTCATTCCCTTAACAATGTCTCTCACAAAGCAGAAGTTTTAAATTTAATAAAGTCCAACTTAGCAATTTTTTCTTTCATGAATTTTATTGTTGGTATTGTATTATAAAACTCATTGCCAAACCCAAGGTGTCCTAGACTTTCTCCTATGTTGTCTTCTAGGTGTTTTATACTTTTGTACATCACATTTAGGTCTATGATCTGAGTTAATTTTTGTGAAAGATGTAAGGTGTCTAGATTCATCTTTTTTTGGCATGTGGATGTCCAATTGTTACAGCACCATGTTGAAAAGACCATCCTTTCTCCATTGAATTGCCTTTGCTCCTTTTTGAAAGATCAGTGGACTCTAGTTGTGTGGGTCTTTCTGGAATCTCTATTTTATTCCATCTATTTGTCTATTCTCTCACCCATACCATACTTTCTTGATTACTATATTAAATTTTGAAGTCAGGTTCTGTCCCTTCTCTGAATTCATTCTTTTCCTTCAATATTGTGTTGACTCTTCTGGCTCTTTTGCCTTTCCTTTTTTTTTTTTTTTTTTTCTGATACAAGATCTTGCTGTGTTACCCAGGCTAGAGAGTGCAGGGGCACAATCATGGCTCACTGCAGCCTTGACCTCCTGAACTTAAGCAATCCTCCCATCTCAGGCTCCCAAGTAGCTGGGACTACAGGCACATGACACCACATCCAACTAGTTTTTGTATTTTTTGTAGAGACAGGTTTTGCCATGTTGCTCATGCTCTGCCTTTCTATATAAATTTTAGATTCTGTCAATATCCACAAAATAACTTGTTAAGAACAAAATCAACTGAGATTGTGTTGAATCTACAGATTAAGTAGGGAAAAAATGACATCTTGCCAATAGTGAGTTTTTCTATCCATGTACATGAACTAGACCTCTCAACTTATTTATTCTTTGATTTCTTTCATCAAAGTTTCATAGTTTTCCTCATATAGATCTTGTAAATATTTTGCTAGATTTATACCTAATTGTTTTGGAGATTTTTGATGCTAATGTAAATGGTACTGTGCTTTCAGTTTCACATTCCAGTTGTTCATTGCTGGTATGGAAGGAGCGACTGACTTTTATATATTAATCTGGCATCCTATAACCTTGCTATAATTGCTTATTAGTTTCAGGAGGTTGTCACTTTGAAATTTTCCACATAAATAATCATGTCATCTACAAAGATAGCTTTATTTATTTCTTCTCAATCTGTAGACCTTTTATTTCCTTTTCCTGTCTTACAGGAATAGTGAGATATCCTTGCCTTGTTGTGGATCTCAGCAGAAAAAAACCTAGTTTCTCACCATTAAGTATGATGCTAGAGGTAAGTTGTCCTGTGTTTTTATTTTTTAATAGATTTATCAAGTTGAGGAAGTTCTCCTTATTCCTACTTTGCTGAGAGTTTTTATCCTAAATGGGTGTTGGATTTTGCCAAATGTTTTTTCTGCATCTATTGATGTGATCATATGGCTTTTCTTCATTAGCCTGTGGATGAGATGAATTGCATTAGGGTAATGCAGTAGTCCTCAAAAGAATTAGGAAGTATTCGTTCTGCTTCTATTTTTTGAGAAAAGTTATGGAGAATTATTTCTTTCTTAAATATTCAGTAGACTTCACCATCTGGGCCTGGTGCTTTCTAATTTGGAAGGTTGTTAGTTATTGATTCAATTTCATTAATACATACCAGGCTGTTCAGATTATCTAGTTCTTCTTGTATGAGTTTTGGTAGATTGTACCTTTCAAGTAATTGGTCTATTTCTTTTAGGTTATCAAATTTAATTCTTTTATCAGTAAATAAAAGGATCACAAAAACAGACACACAGACCAATAGAACAGAACAGAGAACCCAGAAATAAATCTACACATCTACAGTGAACTCATTTTCAATAAAAATGCCAAGAACATACACTGGGGAAAGGACAGTATCTTCAATAAATGGTGCTGGGATAACTGGATACCCATATGCAGAAGAATGAAACTAGATCCCTTTCTCCATATAGAGAAATCAAACAAAAATGGATTAAAGACTTAAATCTAAGATCTCAAACTATGACATTATTGAAAGAAAACTTTGGGGAAACTCTCCAGGACAATGAAGCAGGCAAAGACTTCTTAAATAATATCCCCAGGCAACCAAAGCAAAAATGGACAAATGAGATGACATCATGTTAAAAACCTTCTGCACAGCAAAGTAAATCATCAACAAAGTAAAGAGATGACCCACAGAATGGGAAAAAATATTTGCAAAGTATCCATCTGACAAGGGATTAATAACTAGAATACACAAGGAGCTCAAACAACTCTACAGGAAAAAAATTAATAATCCAATTAAAAATGGACAAAAGATCGATAGACATTTCTCAAGAGACGACATACAAATGACAAACAGGTATGCGAAAAGGTGCTCTACATCACTGATAATCAGAGAAATGCAAATCAAAACTACAATGAGATAGCCCACCCCAGCTAAAATGGCTTTTATCCAAAAGACAGGCAATAACAAATGCTGGCCAGGATGTGAAGAAAAGGGAACCCTCACATACTGTTGGTAAGAATGTAAGTTAGTACAACCACTATGGAGAACAGTTTGGAGATTTCTCAAAAAACTAGAAATAGAGCTACCAATCCAGCAATCCCACTCCTGGGTATACACCCAAAAGAAAGGAAATCAGTTTATCTAAGAGATATCTGCACTCCCATGTTTATTGCCAACACTATTCACAATAGCCAAGATATGGAAGCAACCTAAGTGTCCATCAACACATGAACAGATAAAGGATATGTGGTATATATACGCAATGAAGTATTATTCAACCATAAAAAAGAATGAGATCCTGACATGAGGTCATTATGTTAAGCAAAATAAGCCAGGCACAGAAAGACAAACATCACATGCTCTCACTTATCTGTGGGAGCTAAAAATTAAAACAATTGAAATCATGGAGATAGAGAGTAGAAGGATAGTTACTAGAGGCTCAGAAGTACAGTGGGGGAAAGGGTAAGTGCAGATGGTTAATGGGTACAAAAAAAAATTAGAATGAATAAGACCTAGTATTTGCTAGTACAACAGGGTGACTATAGCAAAAAATAATTTAATTGTGAATTTAAAAATAACTAAAAGAATATAATTGGATGGTTTGAAACACAAAGAATAAATGTTTGAGGTAATGAATACCCCATTTACACTGATGTGATTAATACGCATTGTACTCCTGTATCAAAATATCTCATGTACCCCATAAATATATATACCTACTATATACCCACAAAAATTAAAAATAAAAGAAATAATAAAAGGATCACTGGTAATGGTTCTTCTTTCATTTCTGGTATTAATAATTGATATCTTCTTATTTTCTTATTTAACTTAGCTACAGATTTATTGGTTTTGTTGATATTTTCTAAGACCCAACTTTCGGTTTTGTTGATTTTTCTCTAGTGATTTCCTATTTTCAACTTCCTTGTTTTCTGCTTTAATTCTTATTATTTCTTTTCTTCTACTTACTTTGGATTTTTTTTCTCTAGTTTCCTATGGTGGAAGCTTAGATTACTGGTTTTAGATCTTTCTTCTTTAGTAATATATATTTTCAATTCTGTACATTTTCCTCTAAGCACAGCTTTCACTGCCCACAAATTTTGATTTTATATTTTCATTTAGTTCAAAATATTCTACAATTTATCTTGAAACATCTTTGAACTGTGCGTTATTTAGAAGTGTGTCGTTTAATCTCCAAGTATTTTAGAGTTTTCCAATTTTTTCCATCGATTTATAGTTAAATCCATTGCAGTCAGAGGGTATATTATGTACGATTTCTATTCCTAAAAATGTTTAAGGCATGTTTTATGACCCAGAATGTGGTCTTGGTGAATGTTTTGCATGAGTTTGAGAAGAATGAGTATAATCTCTGCTGGATTAAGCAATTTACAGATGTCATAATTAGATCCAGTTGACTGACAGTGCTATTCACTTCATTTATGTCCTCACTGATTTTCTGCCTGCTGGATCTGTCAATTACTGATAGAAAGATGTTAAATATCCAACCACAGTACCACTACTTCTTCTATTTCTCTGGGCAGGTTTATCTGTTTTTGCCTCATGTATTTTGATACCCTGTTGTTACTGAACACACATTAAGGATTATTACGTCTTCTTGGAGAATTAATCATCTTTTTTTTTCTTTGAAATGGAGTCTTGCTCTGTTGCCCAGACTGGAGTGCAGTGGCACGATCTCAGCTCACTGCAACCTCTGCCTCTCGGGCTCAAGCAATTCTCCTGTCTCCCAAGTAGCTGGGACAACGGGCATGTGCCAACAAGCCCGGCTAATTTTTTTGTATTTTTAGTAGAGACAGGGTTTCACCATGTTGGCCAGGCTGGTCTCAAACTCCTGACCTCAGGTGATCTGCCCTCCTTGGCCTCCCAAAGTACTGGGATTACAGGCATGAGCCACTATGCCTGGCCAGAATTAATCATCTTTATGTAATACCCCTCTTTATTCTTGATAATTCTCCTTGCTCTAAAGTCTGCTTTGTCATGCACTGCATAATGATGTTTCGGTCACCAACAGACCGCATGTATGATGGTGGTCCTTATGGATTATAAAACTCAATTTTTACTGTAGATTTTACATTTATAATACTCTATTTTAGCTGTAGGGATTATAATACTTTATTTTTACTGTACCATTTCTATGTTTAGATATGCTTACACAAATATTTACCATTGTATTATAATTGCCTACAATATTCAGTACAGTTACATATTGCACACGTTTGCAGCCTAGAAGCAACAGGCTACACCATACAGCCTAGGTATGTAGTAGACTATGTCACCTAGGTTTCTGTAATACATTCTACGATGTTCGCACACTGAAGAAATCTCCTACTGATGTATGTCTCAGAATATATCCCCATTTGTTAAATGACACGACTGCATAATTAGCTTCACTTTCTTTTGATTAATGTTAGCATAGTATACCTTTTGCCATCTCTTCATTTTTAATCTGTCTAATCTATGTATCTTTATATTTTAAAGGGACTTCTTATAGTCAACATATAGTTGAGGCTTGTTCCTTTATCTGTTGAGACAGTCTTTGTCTTTTAATTGGTTTATTTAGACAGCTAATGTTTAAAGTGATTACTGCTATAGTTAACACTGTACCACATTTGTTCCGGTTTTCTATTCAGTGCCTTTCTTTTTTTATATTCCACTCTTTACTGCCTCCTCTGGTTCTGAGTATTTTACATGATTCTATTTTTCTCCCCTCCTAGCATATGAATTACACTACATTTTAAAAAAACCTTTTTTAGTGGTTGCCCCTGAGTTTGCAATATACATTAACAACTAATCCAAGTCTTCTTTTTCTTTTTAAGACAGGGTCACATTCTGTCACCCAAGTGGGAGTGCGGTGGCATAATCTCCGCTCACTGCAGTGTCAACTTCCTGGGCTCAAGAGATCCTCCTACCTCAGCCTCCTGAGTAGCCGGGAGTACAGATGTGAGCCACCACACCTGACTAATTTTTTGATTTTTTTTGTAGAGACAGAGTTTCACCATGTTACGTAGGCTGGTCTTGAACTAGGCTCAAGCAACTCCAGCCACCTGGCCTCCCACCTGAACTCCAACCACCCTGGCCTCCCAAAGTGCTGTAATTACAGGCATGAGCCACTGTACCCCACCCAAGTCCTCTTTTTAAAACAATGCTGTACCACTTTCCAGCTAGACATACTTAAAAGGATTCCCAATTCCTCCTTCTCATCCCTTAAAATACTGCTGTCAATCATTTCACTATCCACAAGCTATAATCACCTAATATGTTTTCGGTTTGTTGAACAAATCATTAGCTGTTAGATTAATTAAGAATAAAAAAGGCTGGGCGCGGTGGCTCACGCCTATAATCCCAGCACTTTGGGAGGCCAAGGTGGGTGGATCACTTGAGGTCAGGACTTTGAGACCAGCCTGGCCAACATGGTGAAACGCCATCTCTACTAAAAATACAAAAATTAGCTGGGCATGGTGGTGCACACCTGTAATCCTAGCTACTCAGGAGGCTGAGGCAGGAAAATTGCTTGAACCTGGGAGGCGAAGGTTGCAATGAGGCCAGATCACGCCAAGGCACTCCAGCCTGGGTGACAGAGCATGTCTCAAAAAAAAAAAAAAAAAAGGAAAGAAAAAGAAAATATTTTATTTTATTTTACTTTCTTTTCCAGTGTTGGTGGTAAGTAAATATTTTACTTTCATTCATTACTTCTCTAACACTCTTCCATTATTTATGTAGTTTCTGACCTCTATCACTTTCATTCTTTATAAATAATTTCTTTTAACATTTCTTGCAAAGCAAGTATACTGGCAACAGATTCTTTCCATCTTTGTTCATCTGACAGTCTTTATTTCTCCTTCATTTTTAAATTTGTTATATTTATTATTTTTCTTAGACTGGAACTTGCTCTGTCACCCAGGCTGGAGGGCAGTGGTGCAATCATAGCTCACTGTGGCTTCAAACTCTTGGGCTCAAGCAATCATCTCACCTCATTCTCCTGACAAGCTGACTACAGGCACGCGCCACTGCACCCAGCACATTTTAAAAATTTTTGTAGAGACAGGGTCTCACTATGTTGCTCAGGCTAGCCTCCAACTCCTGGCCTCAAGCAATCCTCCCACCACCTCAGTCTAAAGTGCTAAGATTACAAAGTGCTAAGATTACAAAGTGCTAAGATTACAGGCGTGAGTTAATGCACCCAGCCTCTACTTCACTTTTGAAGGACAAATAAGCTGGATCTAAAACTCCAGGTTGGTTCATTTTCTTCTCTCACTTCTTTAATAAATGAAGTCTAGTAATGTGGAAAGTAGAGAGCAAAGGAGAAAGGAATAAAATGAGACTGGAAAAGTGGGCAGAGGCCTAATCATGCAGGGCCTTATAAAAATCATGGTAAGATTTTCAATTTTATCCCAAGAGCAATAAAAGACCACTGAAAAATATAAGCAAATAAGTTACATCAATTTGAAATTATTCTCAATATCACTATGACAAGAAGGTAGAAAACGGATCTGGAGGTTGTGAAAAACTGATGCAGGGAAGTTAGGAAATTCTTGCAGCAATGTAGATGTAGTGGTGTACTGGACCAAGATAGCAGCAGTGAAAATGTAAAGAAGTGAAGAAAGGTGAGAGATACTTAGCTCAAGATACAATCATCAGGATATGATGATTCAATCAGAGTTTGGGGATATAGGAGAGAGAGAAGAGTTGAAGCTAACTCCCAGACTTCTAGCTTGAGCAACTTGGTTATTCTCTATCCCCACTGTTTGTCCTTCATCCCTGGTCCTGACTTTACATTAATAAAGCTACCCACTTCAGGTTCCATTAGTGTCTTCTTAAACTCACAGTACTCAACATTTCCAAATTAATTCTAAAAACAGTTTTATTAGGTTACTCCCCTTCTCAATGATGAGGAGGAATCCAAAGTTTTTTGTGTTTACAGGATTATTCAGTAGTTCTTTTTCAGCTTTTACATGTAATAAGCAAAAGGGAAAAGTGAGAAATTATACCAGAAAAATCCATTAAAATAAATCAGATTGGTCCCAATACTATAGTAATACTAGAGCATATGGACATGAATTTGTCAGTCTCAGAAGGTCATGAAATTCTTGAGAATAGGAAATAAACTGCACTTTAGACTAAAAATGATTTTGGCAACAAGTATATAAAATTGATGTGAGCGGGCCAGGTGCGGTGGCTCACGCTTATAATCCCAGCACTTTGGGAGGCCCAGGCGGGTGGACTACTTGAGGCCAGGAGTTCGAGACCAGCCTGGCCAACGTGGTGAAATCCCATCTCTACTAAAAAACAAAAATTAGCCAGGCGTGGTGGCAGGCGCCTGTAATCCCTGCTACTCGAGAAGCTGAGGCAGGAGAATTGCTTGAACCCAGGAGGCAGAGGTTGCAGTGAGCTGAGATCATGCCACTGCACTCTAGCCTGGGTGACAGAGCAAGACTCCGTCTAAAAAAAAAAAAAAAAAATTGATGAGAGCAGCCACTCTTCAAGTCTCTTGGATATATACCTGTGAATGGGATTGCTGGGTCATATAATTTTAACTTTAAAGGAACTGATTTCGAGAGTGTTTTTCAAAGTAGCCGTACCATTTTACACTCCCACTAGCAATATATAAGGACTCCAATTTCTCCACATCCTCACCAACACTTAATATTCGTATTTTGATAAACAATAGCCATCCTAGTGGGTGGGTGTAATGTGGCATCTTACTGTGATTTTCATTTGCATTTCTCTGATAGCTAGTGTTTCTGAGCATGTGCTTATTGGCCATTTGTGTATCTTCTTTAGAGAAATGTCCATTCAAATCCTTTGTCCATTTTTAATTGGGTTGTCTTTTTACCTTATATTTTTAAAGTCTAAAGTTAATGCAATAACACCAGCTCTCTACCTCACCCTGAACAAGATAAGGATTTGCGAATATTTATACTCTCACCAAACTCTTCCTGAACTATATGTTATGAATGCCCTGTATTTAAATTCTACCCTTCATTTTAATTCCAAAATTACTATATTCAGATAATATCTCTTTAGATTTACCTACACATTTACGACTTTCTTTGATCATTTATCCTTCTTGCATCTCGGACTTTAATTCTGGGGTAATTTTTTTTCCTGACATATTCTTTTAGAAGTTATTTCATGAAGGTCAATCCATAGCAAAGTATTTTAAGCTTTTGTCTTTGTTTTACCCTCCATTTGAAAGTTTGGTCAGTACACAATTCTATAATGATAGTTATTTTTCCTTAGCACTTTGAAGATATTATCATGCTGTTCAGTCTTCCATTGTCAGTGCTGAGAACACTGTTTTCAGCATAACTGTTTTTCTCTGGCAGATTATGCATTTTTTCTCTTTGCAGTCTTTATGCTCTTTTCTTTGTCTTTCCATTCTGCTATGTCACTGCAGTGTGTTTAAGTACGGGCTTCTACTTACTCATTTGGTATATTATGTTCTTCTGTTTCTATAGACTCATAGCTTTAATAAATTCTCTGTCATTCTTGAAATACTGCCTCTCCTTCATTCTCTCCTTCTGGTATTCCAACTAGACACATCAGACCCTCTCATCCTGTTCTACAAATTTCTTACCCTCTCCTTCACATTTCCCGTCTCAATGTCCTGGGTAATTTCCTCAAATTTCTAATCCAAGTCACTGATTCTCTCTTTATTTATATCTTATGTGTTGCTTAATATTGTTTTTTTTTCTTTCAGGAATTATGTTTTTATTTCTCAAAGTTCTATTTGATTCTTTTTAATCATTT
Organism: Homo sapiens; assembly: GCF_000001405.40. Classification (NCBI taxonomy): domain Eukaryota; kingdom Metazoa; phylum Chordata; class Mammalia; order Primates; family Hominidae; genus Homo; species Homo sapiens. The sequence goes on from NC_000014.9 coordinate 35,715,403, forward strand.
TAATGAGCTTATCATTTTCCTCTTCAAACATTTCAAACATGGTTATTTTATAGTCTGGTTATTTATTTATTTATTCCATAATATTTATTCCAATATTAGGGATTAAAATCTTAAGGAATCTAAATTTTCTCTCTCTTTTTTGCTAACTCATTTACATAATTTGTTTCCATGTTTACTGAATAATCTTTGTGAACTCATATTTGGTTGATTCTAATCTGTGGAATTTCTGGAGGCCTAACTGAGAGTGAATTACTCCAGAGGTAATTTGTGTTTGCTTGTACAACTGTCAGGAAGCATTACTGACCTGAAATTAACTTGTATCCTTCTCAAGATAACCAATTTAACATGGAAGTCTTCAATTCAGTCATCCAACCTTGAAGCTTGCTCAAGTCTCAGTCTGAATCCCAGAAGTGATTATCAGCAATTTGCTTCAAGATCATCCCACTTTTCCAGTGTGCTTACTGCTCATCACTCCATTTTCCACTCATAGTTTTATTTTGGTCAAGGAAATGAGTAAGAAGAGTCTTAGAGGTTTCTCTATTTGCAAACCAGTGGTACGACGAAATGCTAGCAAGAATATCTAATAGCTCCAGAATATCAAGTTCACTATGTTGCTGGCAATACGAGTCATGTAATGACTTTTTAAAAAGCCCCTTTCTTCCCAATTTTTTATTAAGAAAATTTTCAAATGTAGAAAAAATTAAAAGATGGTGAGGCATGGTGGCTCATGCCTATAATCCCAGCACTTTGGGAGGCCGAGGAGGGTGGATCACTTGAGGTCAGGAGTTCAAGACCAGCCTGGTCAACATGGTGAAACCCCTTCTCACTAAAAATACAAAAATTAGCTAGGCGTGGTGGTGTGCGCCTATAGTCCCAGCTACTCTACTTGGGAGGCTGAGGCAGGAGAATCACTTGAACCCAGGAGGCGGAGGTTGCAGTGAGCTGAGATCGCACCACTGCACTCCAGCCTGGGTGACAGAGTGAGACTCCGTCTCAAAAAAAAAAAAAAAAAAAAAAAGACTATTGCAATGTAAACAGGTATACCTCCCCTAAATATTTCAGGATTCATCTACAGGTAAGATCATCCTTCTATATACCATTATCACACCTAAGAAAATTATATACCATTATATACCTATATACCATTATCACACCTAAGAAAATTAACAAAAATTCCATAATATCATCTGATATTCAATCCATATTCAAAGTTACCAAGATATCCCCAAAATAATTTTTATGTTTTTCAAACCAGGATTCCATGGGAGTTCATATATTGCATTTGGTTATTGTCTCTTGAGCCTAAAACAGACCCCACCTCAACTTTTTAAAAATGATACTGTGTTTTTGAAGAGGCTAGACCAGTTGTCTCATAATATGTACTACCTTCTAATTTTAATTATTTTCTCTTGGGGTCATTTAATTTGTTCTTCTATCTCCTATATATACTATAAACTAGAAGTTAGGTATATAGGCTTGATTCCAGGTCCCTCCATTGTAAAGGTATATTTACCCTTTGCAAATATAAATAATCTGTAAGAGAATCCTTGGCAACAAGTGAATATCCTCTTCCCAAGCAATCCTTTACACATTAATGTTTTTGATATCTACTAATGATCCTTGCTTAAATCTATTAAGGCTACAAAGGTTCCTCTCTTTAGAGGGCAAATTAATTTCATATCCTACAGACTTAACCTATAGATATACTTGCATATATGCACAAAATATAGAAGAATACATAAGTATATTCTATACCATTTTTTTTGAGACGGAGTTTCGCTCTTGTTGCCCAAGCTGGAGTGCAATGGTGCGATCTCGGCCCACTGCAACCTCTGCCTCCCGGGTTCAAGCTATTCTCCTGCCTCAGCCTCCCGAGTAGCTGGGATTACAGGCACAGGCTACCACGCTGGCTAATTTTTTGTATTTTTAGTAGAAATGGGATTTCACCATATTAGCCAGATGGTCTTGAACACCTGACCTCAGGTGATCCGCCCGCCTCGGCCTCCCAAAGTTCTGGGATTACAGGCGTGAGCCACTGCGCCCAGCCTATTCTACACCATTTTTAATAGCACAAAATTATAAAATGTATATTCATCTTCAGGACATAGGTTAAATTTTATAGTACTTCCACGTAATTATGATACAGGAAGTTCCAACTTATTTTATTTTTTTTTTGGAGACAAGAGTCTCGCTCTGCCTAGTGCAGTGGTACAATCTTGGCTCACTGCAACCTCCACCTCCTGGTTCAAGCAAATCTTGTACCTCAGCCTCCTGAGTAGCTGGGACTAGGGACTACAGGCGTGTACTACAACGGTCAGCTAATTTTTGTATTTTTAGTAGAGACGGGGTTTTACCATGTTGTCCAGGCTGGTCTCAAACCCCTGGCCTCAAGTGATCCTCCTGCCTTGGCCTCCCAAAATGCTGGGATTACAGGTGTGAGCCACTGTGCCTGGCCAACATTTTTTTGATATATAATAATCTTTAAGATATATCACTATAGCTTGACTTTATCTCCTAACGCTCTCTTCTTTCCTTACTCCTCCTCAAACACTCAAAAGCCCTAGAGCATATTCCTAGCTCTGGGACTTTTATTTTTCCTTCTGCCTGGAATGCGCTTTCTCCATTCAGGTCTTTGTTCTTATAGGATAGAATAAGCTTTCCCTGACCTCCCTACTTAAAACAGTCGTCCTATGTCCTTAGCTCTAACACTTTCTATTCCTTTAACCTGATTGACTTTTCTTCATACCTTTACTAACTCCTGACATGTTTATTGGTTTATTTGCTTATTATATTTCTTCCCCAACACTAGAATTGTCAGCTCCAGTGGAATTTACTTGCTTTGTTCACAACTATATCCTTAATGCATAGAACAGCAATTCCATAGTGAGTACTTAAAGGAATTTTTTTTCATTCACATATGTAAAGCCATGATTCACAAGATTTTATATGTTATGCTATAAGCCTGTATCGACATAAAGTATCTTTAGGATTCTCAAGAAACTGGTAATAATGGTTGCCTCTAGTGAGGTGAAATGGGAAGGTGGGGAATAGTGATGAGGGAGACTTACTACAATGTATACACTTAATCACAGTCTAAATTTTTAACCATGTACGTTCATGAAAAACATAAAGGCTGGGCACAGAGGCTCACACCTGTAATCCTAGTACTTTGGGAGGCCGAGGTGGGCGGATCACCTAAAGTCAGGAGTTCGACACCAGCCTGGCCAACATGGTGAAACTCCGTGTCCACTAAAAATACAAAAATTAGCCAGGCGTGGTGGCATGTGTCTGTAGTCCCAGCTACTTGGGAGGCTGAGGCAGGAGAATTGCCTGAACCTAGAAGTGGAGGTTGCAGTGAGCTGAGATCATGCCAGCCTGGACAACAGAGCAAGACTCCATCTCAAAAAATAAATAAATAAATAACTATAAAAAAATGGATTTTTTTTTTTTTTTTGGAAACAGGGTCTCACTTTGTCATCCAGGCTGAAGTGCAGTGGTGTGATCTCAGCTTACTGCTGCCTCAACCTCCTGGGCTCAAGAGATCTTCCCACCTCAGTCCTCCAAGTAGCTGGCACTACGGGCATGCGCCACCACACCCAGCTAATTTTTTTGTATTTTTTTGGTAGAGACAGAGTTTCACCATGTTGCCCAGGCTGGAAAAATTAATGTTAAACCCAGCACTTTGGGAGGCCAAGGTGGGTGGATCACTTGAGGTCAGGAGCTCAAGACAAGCCTGGCCAACAGGGTGAAATCCCATCTCTACTAAAAATACAAAATTAGCTGGGTGTGGTGGCATATGCCTGTAATCCCAGCTACTGGAGGCTGAGTCAGGAGAATCACTTGAACCCAGGAGGCAGAGGTTACAGTGAGCTGGGATTGCACCTCTGCACTCTAGTTTGGGTGACTGTCTCAGAAAGAAAAAAAAGTAATGTTAAAAAATTTTAAAAATATGCCCAAAGAACATCCTAATTTAATCTGCTGCCCCTTTTTATAACTCCATGCAGCTACCTTTCTTAACAAATTTTTAAGGATTTAACTTTGATAGGCTTGTTCGGTTCAGACAAAACTGTTTTGACATTAGTACAACTAGAAAGTAATCACTATGAGCTATGAAGTCAGCATGAATATTTTACTCATTACATGCTATGTAAAAGACTACAAAGATACACGCCAACATGTTAACAATGATTACTTCTCATTAGACAGCTAATGGGTCTTTATGCTTCCCTAAATGTAACTTTCCACACTAAGCATAAATTACTTCTATAATCAGAAAAAAATGTACTTTTAAAAAAAGATTTGATTTAAATAAAATAAAAATTTAGACTTAAAAGAACAATTTCTTCTTTTTTTTTGAGACAGAGTCGCCCTCTGTCGCTCCCTCTGTCGCTCCCTCTGTCGCTCCAGGCTTGATCTCTGCCCACTGCAACCTCTGCCGCCTGGGTTCAAGCGATTCTCCTGCCTCAGCCTCCCGAGCAGCTGGGATTACAGGCACATGCCACCATGCCTGGCTAATTTTTTTTGTATTTTTACTACAGACGGGGTTTCAGCATGTTGGTCAGGCTGGTCTCGAACTCCTGACCTTGTGATCTGCCCGCCTTGGCCTCCCAAAGTGCTGGGATTACAGGCGTAAGCCACCGCGCCCGGCCAACAATTCTTAATACACAAATATTTTCTATAATTGTGACATTAATATAAAGTGAAGGAAGGCATTTCAAATATAATCATTTTCCTTAGGATTCCAAAAAGTAATTTTATAGTAAAATTCCCATTATATTCATTTTAATACTACAATAACTTTTTCCCTTATATCTTGTCTTATTCTTCTAGCTTGGAATATACAATTAATGTAATTCTATGCTTATTTTAAAAGCATAAGACAATTCTGAATATGTGATCCTTTTAAAGGATTTTACATTAACCATGTATTTTAATTCTTTTAAAATCTTTAATCTCTTATTTTCTTTCTAGTTGTTTCTTCCTTTCAAACCATAATTCTTAACACTTTAGAACCTAATTTTTTATACAAGATGTATCCTTACAATAATGGCTTTACATTTCTTTAAAATTAATAGTGTTTTTCACTGATTACCATTAAATACGGATACATTCCCATGGAAAATTCTCTTTTCATAGAAGCATTGATTGTAAACCTTGGAATAACTTCAGGCAATTTTGTTTCAGGAATGAGCAGTATTATCATTCCCACTACACAGATGAAGTACTTAAAAAGCCTAGAAAAGGCTGGGTGCCATGGCTCACACCTGTGATCTCAGCACTTTGAGAGGCCAAAGTGGGAGGACTGCTTAAGGCCAGGAACTGAAGACCAGCCTGGGCAACATAGCAAGACCCTGTCTCTATGAAAAATAAAGTTAGCCTGGCATGGTGGCAGGCGCCTGTAGTCCTAGCTACTCAAGAGGCTCAGGGGAGGCTGAGGTAGGATCACTTTGAGCCCAGGAGTCCAGGGCTGCAGTGAGCTATGATCCAACAAAGGCAACAGAGCGAGATCTCTCTTTTAAAAAAAGCCTAGAAACGTTTGGTAGACTGTCCAAGGTTACCTACCTATTTAGTGATCAAAGAGAGTAAGAAAAGAGATTAGGAAAAAGCCCTCCTTATTTCTCATTGCAGTGCTTTTTCTACTATAATTCAGCCAAGTTTATAAACCTCTGAGAAAAAGGAATGAGATGGTAGCTAATTCCACAGTACACTGTGCGATTTTATGCCCAGAAATTGTTCCCAACGTTGTTCCTTTGCTGCTATTTCCCAGGTTATAGAACTTTCTTCCATTTTTTGTTAAAAGCAGCAAGAAACTCAGTAACAGACTCCATGTTGGCCTTAGCTGTCTGCCAGCAGAGAAAATGAGATTCTTGTTGGAAGTCTGTGAAACTAATCTACTATATAATTGTAGCACAGGAAATTAGCTACCCTAATTTTCCATATTTGTGAGTAAATTCCTTCAATGAAACCACATCAGTTAATGCTTGAGTTCTGTAAAGTGAATCACAGTTCTACTTCTTCAATTCCGTAAAATAACATTTTAATATTAGGGCTCTCTACAGTAAAATAAACCACATAAAAATAATGTCCAATAAATCTTAATAGCATAAAGGGATAACAGCCTATCACTAGACTCTGAGTACTTCTGGAAAAAAGGCTTTGCTATAGCAGTTTTTCATTTCACAACAATAATCAACTGGTAAGAAAAATTTATATTGATATAAATTGTTACCAAGGACTATAAATGTAGTGCCCTGTACCATTCTCATGATTTTCAAGAGTACATACCGACAGTTTTTTGCCGTACTATACTCCTCGCCTTTTCGGTTCCTGGAGAACCAGTGGTTGTTGCACTCCTCTGTCTCATTGGGGCTTGGCCAGGCTGATCACGACTCCATCCTCTAGAAAATGACTTGTCAACTGAAACTTTCTGAAATTCATGTCCAACTCCTGGAAATGTAGATTTTCAATCTCAATATACTGTTACTTGATCAATAATATCTTCAAGTTATGCGTGCTACCTTGCCTCAGAGTCTTAGGTTTGCTCACATAAATTATAAAGTAATAAGACAAAACGCTGTGTACTGTAAGGCTTTTATGAGCTTCACTTTATGTATAAATCATATTCCAAAACTGATGCGCAATTTTAAAATTACACCATTAGCAATAAGCTATTAGAAATTCTCTGCCACCCACTTGCTTTGGAATAAAAATGAAACATTTAGACAAGAAAAAAAAGACAGGAAAGGTGCTAAACAAAACCCATCCTGTGGTGATGATTACTAAATCTCTAATCTGCCAATAATAGCCACTTGGGAAATATAGTCCAGGAAAAAGTAGTTTGAGTACATAATACCCTGGACAAAAGTATGAAATGTGACTTAGATGTAAACTCTAGCTAGCAACTAATATTTAACAATGCAAAATACTGGCTGGGAGTAGTAACTCACACCTGTAATCCCAGCACTTTGGGAGGTGGAGGTGGGCAGATTGTTTGAGCCCAGGAGTTCAAGACTAGCCTGGGCAACATGGTGAAACCATGTCTCTATAAGAAATACAAACAAAAAAATTTAGCTGAGCATGGTGGCCTGTAGTCCCAGCTACTTGGGAAGCTGAAGGTGGGGATCCCTTGAGCCTGGGAGGTCGAGGCTGCAGTGAGCCATGACTGTGCTACTATACTCTAGCCTAGGAAACAGAGTGAGGCCCTGTCTCAGAAAAAAAAAAAAAGCAAAATCCTAACTAACTGAGGATTTTAAAAACATATATTAATGATATAATCATTAGGCTACTGCCCCACTCCCTTTTAACATTAGACAGATACATATTTCATGTCTAGGGAATGTTTGCTTTTAGTTAAAACTAAGTAAGTGCTTTCAAAAACAATTTTTAAAATAATTATTGTACACATTTTAAATAGAGTAACATTAAACCACCTTCTCAGTTCTAAGAAAAAATTGCTTACGATAAAAAGGAATGGTATTTTATACATTTTCATTTTGTTTAATTCTTAAAAATAAAATATTTAAGATTCTACTTATTTCACCCTCACCCCTCTCCCTGGAATGGTTTTCCCTGACTCAATTATTTAAACAAATTTATATAGAGCATCTCTATGAACAATTCTTACCTTTCCCTTTGTGCTTTTTTTGTTTCTGTTCACTCAGCTTATCCAATGGTAAATCACTGAGATCCAAACTATATAAATTCCTAGCTAAAACTTTAGTTAATGTCTCCATAGTCAGTGACCACTCAGTGGCCAACTCTTCCCAATAGGTCAGCGATGACAATACTGACAGTAAGTCATCCCAAAGTTCTCGGGAGATGTACACATTTAGGTTTGCTTTGATCCAGGCAACTATAAGGGTCTATAAAGACAAATATCAGAAATAACAATAAAATGTGTTTAGTGTGTGACTTCAAAATCAGACATTCAATTCTTAAAAAAATTACTTAAAAACAAGCAACATTTAAAATCGCATGCTTTTTTTAATAGATAATACTACTTGTAAAAGCAATTCATGCAATCATTAGAATCTACTATAAATTTCATTTCAACAACTGCCAACTCCCAACACCCAGCAATCTAAAAAGAAATCTCCCTAAATTTATAACTGTCTCTTATGCTGCATTATATTAATGTTAAATAAATGCTATTTAAAAAATAGTCTCCATACTTTTAAGTGTTGAAAATGTTGAGTTACTGAACTAAAAAGCCAAAACCTACATTCCCAAATTAAGGATGGAAATCACTAACTACAACTCGAAAATGTTTTTTAATAATATAAAGAAACAACATACTAGAGACATATTTAACTTAATGAAATGTAGTTTTGAAAATGTATACATAAACTAAAGGTTGAAATTAAATATTTTTAAACACAACAAATTAAAAGCATTCTGTAATAAATCTGATCACAGGATAAAAAAATTCATAAAAGGACAGAAATGGATTAGCCAGTAAGTACCCCCTGAGATTTTGTGGATTTCTACTAAAGATATGTCCTCTGATTGAAGAAACAAGTCATAAAATAACGATTCTCAAAAGCTTAATTCTACAACATTTAGAAAGGAATTCACATAAATTTATACCTGAAATGTAAAGATGAAAATGAACAGAGTTTAGGTACAGAACTATAGTAACTACTGACCTCCCAATCTATCTTTAATTTAATACAAAAAAAAGACTACTTTAATACTCAGACTATAAAAAAGTTGTTTCACATAGCAAGATAAAATTTTATCTTCCTGTAGCTCCCATCATCGGGTTAGCTCTAACAATGGAGAAACCTGAATGAAAAAACAAAAAATGGCTAATGAAGTTAAGAGGAGTTTAGATGATACATGTAGCTGGTTTTAAAGGACTGTTCAACACCAGCATATAATTTTAGGTAAATGGCTAATATATGAAAAAAAACTCCAACCAATTTAAATGGCTACTCTTGGCCAAGAATTAGATCTGAGACAGCTTTTACCCTTGACATTAAGAATCATGTATTTGTATTTCATGTATCATCTTAAAAAAATTTTTTGTTTTCTTTTTTTCAAAGAATCCATAATACATTTAAAGTCAGCACTCTATCCTCAGATTTAAAAAACACAATATAGAATTCCTGTGTAATCAAACTACCACCAACTGAGAAGGGAGGATAATAAAGTCTTATTAAAAAAAAGCATGATAAGAATCAATCTTAATTATTTATTACTTTTTCATTATTACAGAATAACATAAAAAGACAGTTTTTCCTAGCAGTCCCAGAGATACGGAAACTCATAAAGCAGTCAGGTCATTATCCCTAAAACACTGCCAGGTTTTTGCAACCACATATTATGTATACTACACAAGAGATAAAATAAATATCATTAGCCTGTTTGTTCACAGACCTGATATTACCTCCACTCTTATACTAGGTTTTATGTATGGCAAATAGCTTATTTAGATGAGCAACTTTTAAGTTAGCTCTACAAAAGATCCCTTAATAAATAAGAAATAATCTCTAATTTAAAACTTTTTTTTCTGGTAACAAGTTCAGGGTTCAATGAATTTTAAAAAACAAACAAACAACAAAACAAAACAAAACAACCCATATCTATCCAGCTATTCATCTATTTATTTATTTTTATTGCCTGGAAAAGTGGTCCTGCAAGTCGACCTGCCAAGGTCATATTTTTTTTCCCTTGGAACTGTAGAAAAGCTTGTGATGGCATCTTCAGTACAGATTCCGTGACTCTGAGCAACACAAGCAGCATCTGTTCCCTTAAAATAAAAAGACTGATTAATGTTTCCTTCTTGCATATGTTTGCATTTGGTTAATAGTTAACTTTCAAATACATACTTCTTATAAAAATTCAAATATTAAACATCTTTGAAAGACAATTTCAAATGTTTAGAGTTCCTTAAATATTAAAAATTAAAATTACATTTTATGTATCTACATCAATCATTTAAAATCATTTATCGGCCACAATATCCTCTCATCAAATAAAAACCTATTCAAAAGCTGAGGAACTGGAAGTGATAATGTGGAGAATGCTCCCGTCTCCGCAACCACAAATTAAGTAGTGACCTTAAGGAGCTATCTGAAGAACACTCATCTACACAATATAGTTCTACCCAGATGGAATCCAATCAAATCCATCTTTATAATATGGAGAATAACTATATCAAATCAATCAAATCCATCTTTATAATATGTTGAGTAACTACATATTGAGAATCATACCAATCTCAATTTCAGAAATTATATGACATCTTAATTAATAGATCACAAAGAAGCCTGGGCAACACAGCAAGCCTTGTCTCTCAAAAAAAAAAAAAAATTAGCTGGGTGTGGTGGCACATGCCTATAGTCTCAGCTACTCAGGAGGCTGAGGTGGGCGAATCACTTAAGCCTAGGAGTTTGAGTCTGCAGTGAGCTTGATAATTAATCAAGGGCCATTACTCTATTGTTTCTTTCCACTCTTTTCATTATGCAGTTTTTTAATCTTTTTTTGTCTGTACTGCAAGTTAAACCAATTCTATTATTATCCTTACCTTGCCTCCTTCTCTTAGATGCTTATTATTAAAACCATAAAACTACCTTATTTACACTGATACTTCAAAACTTGATTCAACCACATATGAAAAAGAGGCTAAAGGGACTTTCAGTTGGGTGTATCAGCCCAATTCTCTATCACAGCCTCCTCCCCTCTGGTTATTTTGCAAGTCCATTCCAGGCATAGCGATACGTGGAACAGTCACTGTGAGAAATGTGGCAGGGGCGGCAACAGATCCTAGATCTAGATGTCATGGTTCTTCTGAGAAGTCAGAGTAGAATCAAACAGAAAACTATCACTACATTAAAAATATCCTGGACGTATTAGCAAACAAATGCATGCATTTATTCACGGAATAAAAATCAAAGGTGCCACATTTGTAACCTTATGCTTCTAGCTTAGCTACATGAAATAAAAAGCTATTTGAAATCAACTACAAATGCAATAAAGCATAGATTTTCCAAATAAATCTTATTTGCTGTCAAACCATAACTCACTCATAAATCATACAATATTTTCACTTTGTAATACAATAAAAATGATTTTAATTAATAAAGTTTTATAAATTCTGGCCAGGTGTGGTGGCTCACACCTGTAATCCCAGTACTTTGGGAGGTGGTCAAGGCAGGTGGATCGCTTCAGCCCAGGAGCTCAAGAACAGCCTGGGCAACAAGGCGAAACATCTCTCTCTATATAAAAATTCAATGTAAAATATATGAAAAACCTCCCAAAATGCTATTACTTCAAGGGAAGTTTAAAAATTAAGAAAAAAATTCTAAAATTGTTTTCTACATAGCAAGTCAGTCACTATAATCTGGCTCATCAATGATTCAAAGTATACAGAAAGAAAAAAAAGGACTAACAAGATAATTGTCCAATGTAGTTATTGGCTAATAATAACTTGGGCTCTGAAGTCAGAAAAACCGTAGTTCAAATCTCTGTCCACTGCTTAACAGCTGTGTGAACAAGGACAAGTTACTTAACTTCCCAGTATTATCTGTATCATAGGGTGCTGTAAGAATTAAGTAAGAAAATATGTGTAAAGTGCTTAGAAAGCTATGTGGCACAAATAAGTGTCCCAAATGTGTTAATAATAATAACTACATCTATATGCCATTCTATTAATACTGTTAGTAAAGAATCTTTTCAAAATATAAAGCCATTTTATACATAAATTAGGCATATGCTTTGACTAAGTAGTCTTCTTTCTTAAAAAAAATTAGGAGTACTTAGTCAAAGCATATACCTAATTTATGTTTTGCCACATGTAGAGGAAAATAAAATACATATAAGAATGTTCATTGTCCTCTCTTTGCCTCAAAACAGAGAGAAATAACTACATGTCCATCAGTACAGGACTGGTTAAGAAAATTATGGCATATATATATATATATATATATATATATATATATATAGTATAATACTATATAACTGTGTGTGTGGTTTGATGAGCTAGATATTCACCAAAGGACAAACATCACTACTATCTCTAGAGAGTGAACCTTTGAGCTTTTTTCTTTTTTAAACTTTTCTTTGTTTGAATTTTATGATAAACATTTCATTTTTACAAAAACTGCAGAACCACTTTCCCATCTCCCCAAAAGGTCTATTTTTCCAATCAATTAGACAACTATTTATAGAGCACCAATGATATATAATGTACTATACTAAGAAATGTAGGAAATATAAAAATAAGAAAACCAGTAAATACCTTCTAGGGGTTCTCAGTTCTATGGTGGTAAACAGATATTTACACAAGTATTTTAGGGATCAAGACAGTTTTCACAAGAACTATACAGAAGTACAAATATAGAATGGAAACAAGTGAAGAAAAAATTTAAGTAAGGATATGTAGAAACAGGAAGGTGAATCTAAGGGACAGTTACGGTGACAACAGGAAAAACAGCAGAATTAGACATTCTAAAGGAAAGTTCAGAAGGTGCCCAGGGAAGAACAACTTGATAAAGCTGGGAAGCAGGATCTTATCCTGAAAGCTGGAGGTTAGACTTCAGACAGGAAAAGTAGGCAGGGCCTGACGGTATACAGCTCTGAATGCCAGATTAAGGATTCAGGCATTCACATATTCAGTCAATCATCAACTTATTCATTAACTCATTCACACACAAGTAAACTTCATTTACTCATATACATTTGTATGCATGTATTCTTTCCTTAGGGGTTGAGGAGGATGAGGCCATTATATGCTCACTTCAGGAAGACAGTCCAAGGGGTCTTGCGGAAGTCCGAACAAAGTTTCAGATAAGCTGAAAGGAACTATTGCCACTATGATTAATTTTATATTTATTCAATAATAGGAGCCTCTATAATACTGTAAACAAACCCTCTTCACAGACACTATTTCTCTAAAAATTACTATACCTGTGTACACAATAAAAACACATAGACATAAAGGATAAAAATTTTTTTACCAAGTCTTTTTGTCCATTGATACTTGTACAACCATGTACCGATAAATGTTAAGAATGCGTTTACACATATCTGTGTGTTCATCCAGAAGATTTTTTATTTCATTTGCAGGTTCAAGAAGAAATATATTTGATGAGTTTATAATAAACACCTAAGACAAAAGAAATCATTAGCTATTCACAAAGGAATTTCAATGGCAAATTTCTTATTCAAAGAGAAACAGACACTGATCACACTGTGGGTAAATTCTACAAGCTTAATAACTGAAACATAAACTCATTAAACCTACCTATTTTTATGTTTACCTAGACAAATATAAAGTTAATAGTAGGTACCCAAAGAAAATAAACCAAGTGCAAACAACAGTATTTCTTTCTTTTTTTTTTTTTTCGAGACAGAGTCTTGTTTAGTCACCCAGGCTGGAATGCAGCGGTATGATTTCGGCTCACTGCAACCTCTGCCTCCTAGGTTCAACAGATTCTCTTGCCTCAGCCTCCCAAGTAGCTGGGATTACAGGCATGTGTGCCACCATGCCAGGCTAATTTTTGTATTTTTACTAGAGGTAGGGTTTCACTATACTGGCCAGGCTGGTCTCAAACTCCTGGCCTCAAGTGATCTGCCCACCTTGGCTTCCCAAATTGCTGCGATTACAGGTGTGAGCCACTGCACCTGGCCTAAAACACAGTACTTCTAAACTGAGAAGCTTTAATAACTCTATTGCTATAATAAATTGAAAAAAAAATAAATACACATAGTTTAGAATAAAAGATGACACCTAAATCAGGAAGAATTTTCTGAATGAGTTGTTCAAAACATTTTATCCTCTTTTTCTTATTTATTTTTATGTTTGTATATCTGTTTTGGTGACAGAAGATTCCATTAGAAAAATTACTATATCCCATCAAAATATTAAAATGGAAAAAACTGATTATCACTATGTATGCAGAAAAAGCATTCAACACTTATGACTGAAAACAATTTTTAGCAAACTAAGAAAAAAGCACACATTCATTGAAATAAAAAAGAGCATTTATAAAAAAGTATAAAAAAAAGTATATACATAGTAATAGAACTTGAGAAATACCACAAAAAGCCAAGAATAAGACAAGGGTGCTCACTCTCATCCCATGGATCTGAGGGGCCCAGTAAGCATAAAAGGAAGAGTGGGTGGTAGAGAATAAGTATCAGCAAACTGAAAAGGAAAAGACAAATGGAGCTACGTTCCTGTCTAGGAGAATAGTATTTCAGAAAAAGAGGAAAATCAAGTTTAAAGGACCTGAGGTGAGAGCCTGCCTAACATGCTTGAGGAACGGCAAGGAGTACAGAGTGAAGTAAACCAGGGGAAAAGCAGTGGAAGATGATGCTGAAAAACAGCCAGAGTATGTGGAGCAGAGATTCTCACACTACCTGTAGTGAAAGAACAGGTCTTCCCCAGCCCCAAACTTTTGCAGATCAATCCTATTTTAAAATACAATGAAAAATGAACAGAGATTGGGAGAGAGATCATCATGGCTGACGGGAAGCAGAACTAAATTGCAGCTCCGACTTGGACAGACAGAGCAGCGTGTGGAGGCTCATATCATGAATTTTACCTCCAGAACAACTGCAAGAACAAACACCAGGAATCCCAAAAGGACCCACAGACCTCTGAAGGAAGCAAACTGCTCCTGCAGGACCCAGGAGACACTCCAAATGCTGTGAGTGCCCAAACGGCAGAAGTGGGAAATGGAGATCCTTCTCTCCCGAAAACACACACCCATTGGGGAAACTGAAGGTCTAGTTTGTGGGAGAAATTTCCGACCTTACCTGGAGCGGAGTAAATTTAGAGAGCCGAGGGAAATACAGGGGTAGAGGAAGCAGTAGGAAATGCCCTGGGAGCTTGCTGGGTCCCCAGGCAGGCCATTCCTGCCTGGCACCACAGGGATCCTTTGGGAGGGTGGCCAGAGGCGTGTGGAAAATGCCACAGGGAGAAGGAAGTCTCCAGATGAACTTTGTAAAAATTTGAACCAGGCAAGAAGCCTCCTGGCCAGAACTCAAAGGAGGGTGTGAATCCGGTGTGCAGACTCCACAGGCAGGGGAAGAACCAAAGCCCATTTCTTTCACAGCTGGGAGGAAGGTAGCCCAGGGAAAGTTCTCAAACCCTGCTCGCCCACTGCCTGGAAACAGACTCAGTGTTGTTAGGGCGGGCATGGTGGGAGACAGACTGGCCCTTCAGATTGCTTGGGAGGTGGGTAAGGCCTGTGACTGCCGGCTTTCCCTGAGTTCCCTGACAACCTGCATAACTCAGCAGAGGCAGCCATAATCCTCGTAGGTACACAACTCCATTGACCTGGGAACCTCACCCCCATCCCTCACAGCAGCTGTAGCAAGACCCACCCAAGGAGAGTCTGAGCTCAGACACACCTAGCCCTGCCCCCACCTGATGGGCCTTCCCTACTCATCCTGGTAACTGAAGACAAAGGACATATGCTCTTGGAAGATCTAGGGCCCCATCCACTGCCAGTTCCTTTCCATACTACCACAGCTGATGCTCTCTGGAATGTGCCACCTCCCGGCAAGAGGCCAACCACCACAAAAACAGAGAATTAAACCACCAAAGCTAAGAAACCTCACAGACTTCATTTCACCTGCTGCCACCTCCACTAGAACAGTTGCTGGTATCCATGGCCGAGACAACCACAGACAGTTCACATCACATGACTCTGTGCAGACAAACTCCACTACCAGCCTGGAGCCGGGGAGACTAGCTGGGTGGCTAGACACAGAAGAGAGACAACAATCACTGCGGTTCAGCTCACAGGAAGCCACATCCATAGGAAAAGGGGGAGAGTACTACATCAGAAGAACACTCTATGGGACAAAAGAATCTTAACAACAGCCTTCAGCCTTAGACCTTCCCTCTGACAGAGCCTACCCAAATGAGAAGGAACCAGAAAACCAACTCTGGTAATATGACAAAACAAGGCTCTTTAACACCCCCAAGAATCACATTAGCTCACGAGCAATGGATCCAAACCAGGAATAAATCCCTGATTTACCTGAAAAAGAATTCAGGAGGTTAGTTATTAAGCTAATCAGGGACACACCAGAGAAAGGCAAAGCCCAGTGCAAGGAAATCCAGAAAATGATACAAGAAGTGAAGGGACAAATATTCAAGGAATTAAATAGCTTAAAGAAAAAGCAATCAAAAATTCAGGAAACACTGGACATACTTATAGAAATGCAAAATGCTCTGGAAAGTCTCAGCAATAAAATTGAACAAGTAGAAGAAAGAAATTCAGAGCTGGAAGACATGGTCTTCAAATTAACCCAACACAACAAAGACAAAGAAAAAAGAATAAGAAAATATGAACAAAGCCTCCAAGAAGTCTGGGATTATGTTAAACAACCAAATCTAAGAATAATTGGTGTTCCTGAGGAAGAAGAGAAATCTAAAAGTTGGAAAACATATTTAGGGGAATAATCAAGGAAAGCTTCCCTGGCCTTGATAGAGACCTACACATCCAAATACAAGAAGCACAAAGAACACCTGGGAAATTCACTGCAAAAAGATCATCACCTAGGCACATTGTCATCAGGTTATCTAAAGTTAAGATGAAGGAAAGACTCTTAAGAACTGTGAGACAAAACTACCAGGTAACCCACAAAGGAAAACCTGTCAGATTAACAGAGATTTTTCAGCAGAAACCCTACAGGCTAGAAGGGATTGGAGCCTTATCCTCAGCCTCCTCAAACAAAACAATTATCAGCCAAGATATTTTGTATCCAGCAAAACTAAGCATCATATATGAAGGAAAGATACAGTCTTTTTCAGATAAACAAATGCTGAGAGAATTTGCCAATACCAAGCCACCACTAAAAGAACTGCTAAAAGGTGCTTTAAATCTTGAAACCATCCTAGAAACATATCAAAACAGAACCTTTTTAAAGCATAAATCACACAGGGCCTATAAAACAAAAATACGATTTAAAAATCGAAAACAAAAAAAAAAAACCAAGGTACACAGGCAACAAATAGCACAATGAATGGAATGGTACCTCACATCTCAATACTAACATTGAATGTAAATGGTCTAAATGCTCCACTTAAAAGATAGAGAACTGTAGAATGGATAAGAACTCACCAACCAACCATCTGCTGCTTTCAGGAGACTCAACAAACACAGAAGGACTCGCATAAGTAAAGGGGTGGAAAAAGGCATTTCATGCAAATGGACACCAAAAGCGAACAGGGGTAGCAATTCTTGTATCAGACAAAACAAACTTCAAAGCAACAGCAGTTAAAAGAGACAAAGAGGGACATTATATAATGGTAAAAGGCCTTGTCCAACAGGAAAATATCATAATCCTAAACATATATGCACCTAACACTGCAGCTCCCAAATTTATAAAACAATTATTAATAGACCTAAGAAATGAGATAGACAGCAACACAATAATAGTGGGGGACTTCAATTCTCCACTGACAGCACTAGACAGGTCAAGACAGAAAGACAACAAAGAAACAATGGATTTAAACCATACCTTGGAACAAATGGACTTAACAGATATATACAGAACATTTCATCCAACAACTGCAGAATACACATTCTATTCAACAGTGCATGGAACTTTCTCCAAGATAGGCCATATGATAAACCACAAAATGAGCCTCAATAAATTTTAAAAAATTGAAATTATATCGAAGCACTCTCTCAGACCACAATGGAATAAAACTGGAAATCAACTCCAAAGGGAACCTTCAAAACCATGCAAATATATGGAAATTAAATAACCTGCTCCTGAATGAGCATTGAGTCAAAAACAAAATCAAGATGGAAATTTAAAAATTCTTCTGGCTGGGCACGGTGGCTCACACCTGTAATCCCAGCGCTTTGGGAGGCTGAGGCGGGCGGATCACCTGAGTGTGGGAGTTCAAGACCAGCTTGACCAACATGGAGAAACCCCGTCTCTACTAAAAATACAAAATTAGCCAGGCATGGTGGTGCATGCCTGTAATCCCAGCTACTCAGGAGGCTGAAGCAGGAGAATTGCTTGAACCCGGGAGGTGGAGTATGCAGTGAGTTGAGATCGCACCACTGCACTCCAGCCTGGGCAACAAGAGTGAAACTCTGTCTCAAAAACAAACAAATAAGCAAACGAACCAAAAAATTCTCCAAACTGAACGACAATAATGACACAATCTATCAAAACCTCTATGATACAGCAAAGGTGGTGCTAAGAGGAAAGTTCATAGCCCTAAAAACCTACATCAAAAAGACTGAAACAGCACAAACTGACAGTCTAAGGTCATACCTCAAGGAACTAGAGAAACAAGAACAAACCAAACCCAAACCCAGCAGAAGAAAGGAAATAACCAAGATCAGAGCAGAACTAAATTAAAACAACAAACAAAATACAAAAGATAAATGAAAGAAAAAGCTAGTTCTTTGAAAAGATAAATAAAATTGATAGACCCTTAGAAAGATTAACCAAGAAGAGAGAAAATTCAAATAAGCTCATTAAGAAACAAAACAGGAGATACACCAACAGCAACCAAGCAGAGAATCAAATCAAGAACTCAACCCCTTTTATTATAGCTGCAAATAAACAAATAAATAAATAAATAAATAAAATACTTAGGAATATACCTAACCAAGGAGGCGAAAGACCTCTACAAGGAAAACTACGAAACACTGCTGAAAGAAATCGCAGATGACACAAACAAATGCAAACACATCCCATGCTCATGGATGGGTAAAATCAATATTGTGAAAATGACCATACTGCCAAAAGTGATCTACAAATTCAATGCAATCTCTATCAAAATGCCACTATAATTCTTCACAGAATTAGAAAAAACAATTCTAAAATTCATATGGAACCAAAAAAGGACCCACATAGCCAAAGCAAGACTAAGCAAAAACAACAAATCTGGAGGTATCACACTACCTGATTTCAAACTATACTGTAAGGCCATGGTCACCAAAACAGCATGGTACTGGTATAAAAACAGGCACAGAGACCAATGAAACAGAATAGAAAACCCAGAAATAAACCCAAATACTTACAGCCAACTGATCTTCGACAGAGCAAACAAAAACATAAAGTGGGGAAAGGACACCTTTTCAATAAATGGTGCTGGGATGATAGGTTAGCCACATGTAGCAGAACAAAACTGGATCCTCATCTCTAATCTTATACAAAAATCAACTCAAGATGGATTAAGGACTTAAATCTAAGACCTGAAACAATGAAAATTCTAGAAGATAACATTGGAAAAATCCCTCTAGACATTGGCTTAGGCAAGGATTTCATGACCAAGAACCCAAAAGCAGTATAAAAACAAAGATAAACAGCTGGGACTTAATTAAACTAAAGAGCTTTTATACAGCAAAAGGAATAGTCAGCAGAGTAAAGAGAAAACCCACAGAGTAGGGGAAAATCTTCACAATCTAGACATCTGACAAAGGACTAATATCCAGAATCTACAATGAATTCAAATAAATCAGTAAGAAAAAAAACAAACGATCCCATCAAAAAGTGGGCTAAGGACATGAACAGACAATTCTCAAAAGAAGATATGCAAATGGCCAACAAACATGAAAAAATGCTCAAAATCATTAATGATCAGGGAAATGCAAATCAAAACCACAATGCGATACCATCTGACTCCTGCAAGAATGGCCATAATAATAAAAAAAAAAAAAAATCAAAAAACACTAGATGCTGGCATGGATGTGGTCATCAGGGAACACTTTTACATTGCTGGTGGGGATGTGAACTAGTACAGCCACTATGGAAAATGGTGTGGAGATTCTTTAAAGAACTAAAAGTAGAACTGTCATTTTAATCCAGCAATCCCACTACTGGGTATCTACCCAGAGGAAAACAAGTCATTATATGAAAAAGATACTTGCACACACGTTTATAGCAGCACAACTTGCAACTGCAAATTGTGGTACCAACCCAAATACCCATCAATCAACGAGTGGATAAAGAAACTGTGGTACATATAGACAATGGAATACTATTCAGCCATAAAAAGGAATGAATTAACGGCATTTGCAGCAACCTGGGTGAGACTGGGGACTATTATTCTAAGTGAAGTAACTCAGGAATAGAAAACCAAACATCATATGTTCTCACTGATATGTGGGAGCTAAGCTATGAGGACACAAAGGCATGAGAATGATACAAGGGACTTTGGGGACTTGTGGGAAGGGTAGTAGGGGGGCAAGGGATAAAAGACTGCAAATAGGGTGCAGTGTATACTGCTCAGGTGATGGGTGCACCAAAATCTCATATCACCACTAAAGAACTTACTCATGTAACCAAATACCACTGGTACCCCAATAACCCATGGAATAATAAAAAATAAAAATAAAGACTATCAACTGGGGGAAAAATGAATAGAAAAAAGGAAATGAAAAAAGAGTAAGACAAAATTCAAATGCAAATTTTTTAACAGAATCAAGAGATATTAAATTATTTCATTTCTAAAGTTTTACTCTGTTTTGCAGTTATGCTGTGGGCCAGCCCTAGTCTATGCACCACACTCTGAGGAGCAATGATGGCCTTATAGACCATTATAAAGACTTCTGCATTGCTGCCTAGTGATAATGGAAAGTCACTGGAGGGTTCTGAGCAGAAAAATGACATAATCTGACTTACATTTTACAGGATCCCTCTGGCCAGAGCAGAGTGACAGGTGGGCAGGGCAGAAGCAGGGAGACTAATTAGAAATTTACTACAATATTACAGATGAAAGATTAGAGAGAGAAACTTAGACACAAGAGGTAGTGTGTGTGCTGAGCAGTAGTCAGATTCTGTACACATTATGAAGGGAGAGCTGACAGGATTTGTCATCAAATTAGACAAACGTTAAGGGAAATGGAAAACAGAGTTGCCAGTAAATGAAACAAGGAAGACTGCAGGAAAAGCACTCAAATTTGAGATACTTATTAGATAGCCAAGTGAAAATGACAATTTGATATTTGAATATTTTAGTTAAGGATTCACAGAATTCAGATGAGAGATCCTAGACTACATATAAAAATCTGAAGCTGTAGCATACAGATGATATTTAAAGCCATCTATATGTATGAGACAAGAGAATAAGAGATTCAAGAACTGATTCCTGGGCACTTCAACATGAAAAGGTCAGGGCTTTACAGAAAAATCAGTGAAAGAATCTGTTTTAAGAAGTGGACAATGAAGTGAGAAGAAACAGGAGGATATGCTATTCTGGAGGCCAAGCAAAGAAGCATTTCAATGGGGAAGGAATGATCTACTCTGTAAATGCTTCTGATAAATCAAGCAGGATTAGGAATGAAAAAATGTACATCTGATTTAACAATGTAGAGGTCACATGTGGCCTTGACAAGGACATTTTGATTTAAAAAGTGAATGATTGGCCAGGCACAGTGGCTCATGCCTATAATCCCAACACTTTGGGAGGCTGAGGCAGGCAGATCACTTGAGGTCAGGGGTTTAAGACCAGCCTGGCCAACATGGCAAAAACCCATCTCTACTAAAAATACAAAAGTTAGCCAGGCATGGTGGCGTGTGCCTGTAATCCCAACTACTCAGGAGGCTGAGGCAGGAGAATTGGTTGAACCTGGGAGGCAGAGGTTGCAGTGAGCTGAGATTGTGCCACTGCACTCTAGCCTGGGTGACAGACCGAGGCTCCATCTCAAAAAAAAAAAAAAAAAAGTGAATGAATATAATGAACTCCTACAAACCATTAAGAGAAAGACCAACACCCAAAATAATGGAAAAGCATATGAATTCATAGATAAGAAAAGATGCTCAAATTCAGTACTGATGAAGGAAAAGCAAATTAAAATGGAAAAACACAAACTTTTTTTTAAAAATGAGACAATATTTCACATATAAAGGACCAGCAAAAAATTAAAATCTGACAGTACAAGTAATAGGGAGAACATAAGGAAATGAGAACTCCCAAACACTACTAGAGGGAATGTAAATTATTCTGACAAAGTGGAGAACAATTGGGCGATAATAGTAAAGTTATTAATGTACAAATCCTACAACTCAGTAATGCCACTTTTGGTATATAACCTAGGGAAATTTTCCCAGCTGCATATAAAAATACATGTATAAGAATGTTCACAGTTGGGCGTGGTGGCTCATGCCTATAATCACAGCAATTTGGGAGGCCAAGGCAGGTGGATTACCTGAGGTCAGGAGTTTGAGACCAGCTTGGCCAACATGACGAAACCCCATCTCTACTGAAAATACAAAAAAATTAGCCAGGCGTGGTGGCGGGCACCTGTAATCCCAGCTTCTTGGGAGGCTGAGGCAGGAGAATCATTTGAACCCAGGAGGCAGAGGTTGCAGTGAGCCGAGATCGTGCCATTGCACTCCAACCTGGGCAACAACAGTGAAAATCCATCTCAAAAAAAAAAAAAAAAAAAAAAAAAAAAAAAAAAAGAATGTTCACAGCCAGGCATGGTGGCTCACACCTATAATCCCAGCACTTTGGGAGGCTG
This sequence comes from Homo sapiens, assembly GCF_000001405.40. Classification (NCBI taxonomy): domain Eukaryota; kingdom Metazoa; phylum Chordata; class Mammalia; order Primates; family Hominidae; genus Homo; species Homo sapiens. The sequence goes on from NC_000014.9 coordinate 35,737,854, forward strand.
AAGCGGGTGGATCACCTGAGGTCAGGAGGTTCGAGACCAACCTGGCCAACATGGTGAAACCTTGTCTCCACTAAAAATACAAAAATTAGCTGAGCATAGTGGCACGCGCCTGTAATCCCAGCTACTTGGGAGGCTGAGGCAGGAGAAGCATTTGAACCCTGGAGGCAGAGGTTGCAGTGGGCCAAGATCGCACCATTGCACTCCAGCCTGGGCAACAAGAGCGAAAACTCCATCTCAAAAAAAAAAAAAAGTTCACTGTAGTACTATTTGGAATAGTGAAAAACTGGAAACAAAAGACCATCAACAGAAAAATGAATAAGTCAAATGTGAAATAAAGTACAATACCACAAAATAGTTAAAATGAATTATGGCTGTATAGTAACAACAAATCTCATAAACAGAATGGCTAATAAAAAAAATCAGTTGCAGATGACAGTACACCATAACATAATTTATATAACATTTAAAATTATCTAGAATAATATGTAATGTTTATTAATATATATATTAAGTGATGAAAGGAAAAAATAAAATATGGCATAATGATAAATATAGGTGGTGAATTTATTATATTGTGAAAAGTATACTGTATACTGAAATACTGAACAGAAATATTTAATGATTATTTTATTTTTAAAAATAGCCATAAAGTGATCCACCTGCAAAACTGCCTGGGTACCAGCTCGTATGTTTTGTTCTGTGGCTTCTTCAGAGGCGTTATGAAGAGCACCTTGGTAGGAGCCGTTTTTTGCCCAACTGGAATTTCGAACATGATCAGCAGTATTGGTCCCATTTTCCTGAAGCAAAATATCAAGTTTTTAATATTTCATTACTAAGAATGCTGCAACTAGTCAGTTAAGTTGAAAAGGTAAATGAAATTGTTAGGTCCCACTGCTAAACAGGTTTCTTTCTCTCAAAATAGATGATGTCTTATCCAAATCCAAAAACAATGTATATTCACTGTAAAAAAGGATTCTCAATGACAAAAATATAAAGTAAAAAACAACAACAAAACCCATAATGAGCAGCCAGAGATTATATCATTCCAGAGAGTATTCTTCTATAGGTCTAATGTATAAACCTCCCTTTCATACTCTCACACACTCAAGAATGGGATTATACTACCTATAGCTTTGTAAAAAGATGAATTCTGTTCTAAATTAAATGCCAGAATTCAAATAAATGACAAAAAAAAAAAGGCTTATGTTTATCCTACTTAGGAGTACTAAAATTCTCATTATTCAAAGAATACTGAAACTTCAAATCACTGAGACTACAGCTTTCTGCCTGCATTTTAGCTGTAACAAGTCTTACAGACAAGGGAGTTCCCTCAGTTAAAAAGTACAAACAGAAATGCCACTCTGCAGTTCTCTTTTTAAAGTGTCCCTCCATTTTCTTCCTTCTTGTCATTCACCAATATCTTTAAATAGTTAAGTTTTACAAAAATATTTTGTATAGGGTTTGTAATATGCAAAAGGTTTAGTCCAATACAAACAGTTCTGCCATTACCAGAAACAGTACTGGAACCCTGCCCTGAGTAGCCAATAAAACATGCCATGGTCTAGTCTAGCCTTTCTCTTAAGCTCCATGTCCCTGTAATCAAGTGTCTTCTGAAGAGCCCTTCCTGAATGACCCACAAGCATCTCAAACTTCAGATATTTTAAAATAAGTTTATTAATCAGATTCCCCCCAATTCCTGCCAACCCAATCCCTCCAGCTGCCTTAGCCATCACCAAACTTGAGCTGTTTAAAATTCCCATCCATGTGTGAATGGCAACTACTCTGGTTGCAAAAGAAAGAAACTTGCGACACCTCCCCATTCCTCAAAAACACTAGTATATCTGTCCTCTCCCTTATATTTCCACTGCAACTACCGCTGTCCTAGATCAGGTACTTATCATCTCACTTCCAAACTTTGCTAATCCTTCCTAACTGGTCTCCTTGCCTACAGACTGACCTACAATCTATCCTCCATTCTGGGCCTGGTATGACCTTCTCAAGTATGTAACTGTTCATGCTACTCTCTTATTCAAAGGCTTTCCAGTTTCTAGAATGTAATTAAAGCCTACTAACATGGCATACAAGTTACTGAACAGAATCTAGTCCTGTCTATCTCATATTTCCTGCTGTTCTGTCTCATCTACTCTACGCTGCAGCCAAATAAAAATATTTTCAAGGTTTCTCATACATTTGCAGGTGCTATTCACACGGTGTGTTACCTTTCCCATTTGTCTACCTGTTCTTTTATCTTATACTATCTCTTCCATGAAGCATTCCCTGATTTCCCCAAGCAGAGTTAGGTGTTCTCTCTTTCATGCTCTAGGATCATAGCAGTAACACTGTTTTATAATAATACTTATTTTGTATGTTTGTCTTCCAGCTAAACCAGAAGTTATGTGAAGGTAGAAATAATGTCTGCTCATGTTTCTACCTCCAACACTTGTTCTCAATGTGGGCAACCAAAAGCTTTGTATGGTATTTTGAAATTTGTGAGTGTTTTCTTGTCACAATAAATAAAAGATACCACTGGAATTTAATGAAATAGGACAGAGAATGCTAAGCATCCTACACAGCACATGACAGTCCTACACACAAAAAAGAAACTGTCTTGTATTCTGTATGTCTTTCAAATGTCTCACAGATGCTATGAGAATTTTAAAAGCCCACTTAGGTCAGGGGCTGTGGCTCCCGCCTGTCATCCCCAGCACTTTGGGAGGCTGAGGTGGGCAGGTCACTTGAGCTCAGGAGTTCAAGACCAGCTGGGAAACATGGTGAAACCCTGTCTCTATTAAAAATACAAAAAAATTAGCCAGGCATGGTGGCGAGTGCCTGTAGTCCCAGCTACTTGGGTGGCTGAGGCTGGATGATGGCTTGAACCCGGGAGGTGGAGGTTACAGTGAGCTGAGCTCATGCCACTGCATTCCAACCAGGGCGACAGAGGAAAACCTTGTTTCAAAATAATAATAATAATAAATAAAATTAAAAACCCATTTACAATTATCTGAATTTATAACATAATTCCACTTTATAACTGTAACACCAAAAATTTAAATGACTCCCTTATATATTGAATTTATCAGAAATGTAAACCAGAACATTATACCTTTTGGGTTTGGTCCACACCATTTGCAAGAGTCGCTGGCACTTCGAAAAACCACATCTCTAATGGCAGCCAGTGCTGGTTACACTACTTGAGTAACGAATAGAACAAACCTACACAACATACCTAACATCACCAATCTACCCTTTCCTCTCTCCTTTCATTCCTTCCATTGTTTGTTTTTCAATTATGTATGTAGATAGTTTATATTATCCATCATTCTTATTTAAGAATAGTAAATGATGTGGGGTAGGCTCATTATATATGGCACATCATGACTAAAAAAGTCAGAGAAAACAAATTCTTTTTAAACTCATAGGTTTATTTTCCAGCATAAAAATATCAATAAATTTGATATTTTTCATTGGTGTGTAAGAATTAGGACTGTAGATATTATTTCATAATTCATATGGTTAATTTTATTTACTTCAATTATATTTCTCAGTTACATTTTTCCCTTTCTTAGAAGGGGGGAGGGTGCTCTATGTTTGTGTGTATATATACATATACACGTATACACACACACACACACACGCTCAGGCTCATCAAATCCCTACAGAACTGGCCTATTCATCCACACATTAGTATCCTGACTAAATTCCACTGATGAGGTTAGATTAACCACTAAAGTGAATAAGCATTACTCAATCATTCCTATCTAGATTTAGCAAGATATGTATCAATCGCAGACAACTTTATGGTGAAAGGCAAATCAGACAAAACAGATAAATCACTTTCAATAAACTTTCTGCACTCCTAACTCCATCTTAGCATCTGCTGTTGGAGAGTCTGACCTGTGACAAAGGTTGAACAATCAAAGGAATAAATGGAACCCCAGGAACCCAAATGCCACCTCTACTACTCTCTCTTTTCTCATCTTTTCCCTGCTGTGAGTAAACTCTAGTCTTTCTTATCACAGAATAACTTATTTTACCAAGTCAAGAAGTTTCACATTCTGAAATCAGCTCTAGTGCAAAAGATTCCAAGGAGGGGGCACAAACACTGTAGCTTATGCTGGGTAGCCACTCCTAAATAGTTACTCCTTCCAGGAAAGGAGGAACTGTGGTTTGGTAATAACAACCCCCTGAAAGTATGTATTTTAAAATCCATTTTGATGTAGTACCACAGTTTGAAATATTATACCTTTATAACAGTACCTAATTTTTATCTAGACAATGGCTTAAAGAATCAGTATACAACCTCAATACTAATTTTTAAAAGTTGTGGTATCACAGGGCTTTGCTATACGGTACTGAGATGACTACTTATATTACCTAAATTGTTGCAAAATATACTGAAAGATATCTTTATCTTCCCATTTAATAAGTATATTTGTGTTAACCCATTATTATGTTTCTGCAAAACTCTTAATCTATTAGACTAACACTAAAATATATAAATCTTATAACTTCACCTCTTCTCTTTTTTCTCCTTCTTCCATTGAAATATCATGGTCTGTGACATTTTCAATGCAAGGGAGGTCTGAAGAAGTGATCACAATTTCTTCAGGCTCTTGCATGAACAAAGGTTTTTCCTCTTGTTGGATCCATTCTTGATATACTTTTACCACTTTTCTCATAGCTGCTGCTTCACAAATTGGTAATAAAAATGCCTAGGGAAAAAAAGGAGAATCAAGATAATGATACTTTTTCCTTTGCCACAAACCACTAACGCAGTAATGTTTTTCACATCACATCATAGATTCTTGGAAACTGCAACTTTAAGCAAAACAATGACATAAAACAAAACTCATTTTGCCATAAGCTAATTGATATAAATAAGAGTTAAGTTCCTAAGGTATATTTCTAGTAAAAAAAAAAAAAAAAATCACCAAACTTCTAAATAGAGACCACAACACTTACAATATTAAACACTGAAATAAATGTGAGCTATATGTACACTTAAGAAAGATTAATAAAAATAAGTAAGACAATTAATTACCCAAATATTCTAATTCAGGGTCACTGGTGGCCAGTGTATCCCAGCAGCTCAGGGGCAAGACAGGAACCCAGTCCTGGACAGGATGCCATTCCATTGTGGGGTGCAATCACATACACCCCAACACTCACCCGGACTGAGACCATTTAGACACACCAATTCACCTAATGTGTACAGTTTTGGGATATGGGAAGAAACTGTAGTACCTAGAGAAAACCCACATAGACATGGGGAGACCATGCAAACTCCACACAGACAGTGGCCCCTGCTGGGAATCTATTTTTTTTTTTTGCCATCAACATTATAGTTAAACAATGTTCTTAAAGATCTGCTGTACATTTATTTATCGTATTATAAAATGTGAGATAAAAAACAACTTTTAAAAGTTAACCAATTCATTGTCGTAAAAAGCCTATTGTCTCCAAATTAATTTGCACACTGATATAGGAATGTTTGTGGTAGATAGGCACTGACTTCAAGTAGAAGAAATAAAGATTAGTTGAAATTGTATTACTCAGAATGGTGATATTCCTTGCTTCCTGAAATAATTGAGCTCTTACAAAGGTCAATATAAATACGACTTTTCATAAGTTACACTTTTTTGTAACTCACATTATTGTGGTTTTTAAATTTTTTATTATTTTAGGGACAGGGTCTTGCTATGTTACCCAGGCTAGACTGAACTGGCCTCAAGTGGTTCTCCTGCCTCTGTCTCCTGAGTAGCTTGAACTACAGGCACACACCACCACACCCAGTCATCATTGTCTTTTTGAGAACTATTTCTTTTAAAATAGATTTTGATTTTAAAATAAAAATTAAATTTGCCTCCAGAAACTAATAAAAATCATATGTAATAAGGTACCTCACCTTTTCTAAGCATACAAAGAAAAAAATTAAGGCTTGCATATTTCATTTTATGTATAATCAAGTTCTATAGTTTAACAATAAGGCAAAATTTAAAAGAAAAATCTCATTGTTATTCTTTTCTTCCAGTATTTTCTGGGATCTTAAAAAAAATATTTTCCTTATCACAAATACACATTTTCATAGAAAAAAAATTTACACAATCCAGACAGGGAAAAATAAAACAGCAAAAATACGCTTAATCTCATCACCCAAAGTCTTTTCCTTGTGTGTGTTTGTGTTTATGGGTTAATATTTTTACTTTACTTTTTAGGTGCAAATAGAATTAAATTGCTGCCGGGCGCGGTGGCTCACGCCTGTAATCCTAGCACTTTGGGAAGCCAAGGCTGGCAGATCACCTGAGGGCGGGAGTTCAAGACCAGCCTGACCAACATGGAGAAAGTCCGTCTCTACTAAAAATACAAAATTAGCCGGGTGTGGTGGCGCATGCCTGTAATACCAGCTACTTGAGAGGCTGAGGCAGGAGAATCGCTTGAACCCGAGAGATGGAAGTTGCGGTAAGCTGAGATCACGCCACTGCACTCCAGCCTGGGCAACAAGAACAAGACTCCATCTCAAAAAAAAAAAAAAGAATTAAATTGCTTTTACTTTTTATTTTTTTATGATACTACCTGTTAATATCAACCTTAAAAATCACAAACCCTTTATCTAAAATCTGCCACTTTCTATTATAGAGTTATCAGTAGATGTATTAAATAATAATCACGTGGTCAAATGAACTTATCTTATCGGAATGAAATCAGCAAAAAAGTCAGCTCCCAAGATGATGATGGAAAGTTAAGGTGCAATATCAACAGAATATTTATTGTTGTTTGTTAAACCTTTTATTTGCTATTATTAATTCCTTAGTAAACTACTTTGTTATTTTCTTTAATCAACTCATTCCTAAATTATCACTCTCATATTCTAGCAGCTTAATGGTCAAATGGCAAGATTTTGATCATCACTGCCTGCTTTAAGAATATTTATTTTACAGTTGTAGCAACAGCTCAGCCTTCCTTAAAAAGATTCACAATAAAATTTAAAACATTAAAATAGTTAAAATGATCCCAAAGAAATTCTAAGATACAGAAAAATTAGTATGTACTTCCCACTCAATTTTGCTGTCAATCTAAAACACTGAAAAATAAAATTTAATAATCTTAAAAAATTAATATCATCCAGAGCTAAAATATTACACAAGTTGTCAGACTACAACCTAGCAGCTTGAATTTACTATAGACCAGAGACCTATGTCCTTGCAGGTTCCAAAATATGATTTTGCCAACATGCTAAATATGAATTGTGAGGAAAGACTGTTATTAGCCATAGCTAAAAACTGATGTATAAAACCAGAGTGATAATTTATCAATTTACAATGAGAACTAACTGTCAAAGAAATCAGAATATTCAAGTTCATAAATCAGCAGTTAATTCGTCTATGAAGAAGCAACAAAAGACCTGGAATAATCTTGACAAGGAGAACAAAGCAGGAGGTACCCACATGTCTTGATTTCAAAATACATTACTAAACAGTAATCAAAACAGTATGGTACCAGCATAAAAAACAGACATATAGAGCAATGGAACAGACAGCCAGAAATACACATACACAGACACACAGACAGACACACACACACACACACACACACACACAGTATTATCCAGCCTTTAAAAAGCAGAAAATCTGGCCGGGCACAGTGGCTCATGCCTGTAATCCCAACACTTTGAGAGGTTGAGGCGGGCAGATCACGAGGTCAGGAGTTCGAGACCAGCCTGATCAACATGGTGAAACCCCATCTCTACCAAAAATACAAAAATTAGCTGGGCATGGTGGCGCATGCCTGTAATCCCAGCTACCCAAGAGGCTGAGGCAGAAGAACTACTTGAACCCGGGAGGCAGAGTCTGCAGTGAGCCGAGATAGTGCCACTGTACTCCAGCCTGGGTGACAGCACGAGACTCCATCTCAAAAAAAAAAAAAAAAAAAAAAAAGGCAGAAAATCCTAGGGCCAGGCACAGTGGCTCATGCCTTCAATCCCAGCACGCTGGGAGGCCGACGAGAGAGGATGGCTTTAGGCAAGGACTTAGAGACCAGCCTGGGCAATATTATAGCGAGAACCCCTCTCTACAAAATAACTTTTAAAAATTAGGTAGGCATGGTGGTGTGCACCTGTAGTCCCAGCTACTCAGGAGGCTGAGGCATAGGTATCAGTTGAGCAGTGAGTTGTGATCACACCACTGTACTCCAGCCTGGGAAATGGAGTGAGGCCCTGTTTCAAAAAAACAAAAAGAGGGAAATCCCACATTTGCAACAACATGGATTAATCCAGCAGACATTATTCTAAGTGAAATAAACTAGACACAGAAAGACAACTTACTGTATAATCTCACTTAAATTTGCAATATAAAAAATCAAACTTATAAAAACAGAGTAGAATGGTAGTGACTAAGGGCTGAGCAGCAGGCAAAATGGGAGATGCTGATCAAAATGTACAAAGGTTCAGTTATGTGGGATGAACAGGTTCTGGATATCTAGCATGGTGACTATAGTTAATAATCCCATATTTTACACTTGAAATTTGCTAGAAGATTTTATCATAAGTGTTCTTACCATATGCAAGCAAATGAAATTTTATCTATGTAAGGCCATGATTATGTTAACCAGATTGATTGTAGTAATCATCCGCAATGTACAGGTATATCAAAACATCACAATGTACACCTTAAATATATAGAATTTTTATTTGTCGGGTATACCTCAATAAAGTTGGGAAAACCCCATAAAATTAGAAGTGTTTGATACCAACATACATCCACTAAAGTAATTTCTAAATGACGAACTTCAAGCAGAGGAAAGTGATTCTAAATAGAAGATCTGAAAGGGAAGAAATCATGATAAAATAAAGTGGCAAATATATAACAAATACACACCAACACAAAAAATAGAACTAAATTACTTGATAGTAATATATATGTTGGGGGGAAAATCAGACTAGTAGGGTTCTAAGGTCCTTGTATTGATTAGGAAGAGGGTAAAAAAATAACTTTAGAACTTGAAAAGTGAAGTATACATGTTAAAACTTATACGATAACCACTAAAGGAAAAGGAATGGGGGCTGGGGGGAAAAGATAGAAAAAGACAGAAAGAAAAGACTAATAAAACTGACAAATCTCTGGCAAGAATCATCATTAAAAAAAAGAAAAAAAGAAAGAGAGAAAAACAAACAAGGGATAGGGCCAGGCACAGTGGCTCATGTCTATAATCCCAGCACTTTGGGAGGCCCAAGGCAGGAGGATTGCTTGAGGCCAGGAGTTCAAGACCAGCCTGGACAACAGAGCAAGACCCCACTCTACAAAAAAAATTTAAAAATCACCAGGCAATTAAATACTGCATTTATGGGAATGAAAAGGAGAAACATGACTATAAATGCTTCAGAGGTTAAAAGGATTATAAGAGGATGTGATAAGCTTTGTCAACAAATTTGAAAACAAACACAAGAAGAAATGCCTAGAAAAATAAACTTATTTAAACTGACTCAACAACTGGAAAGCCTGAATAGTTCTACAAGCTTTAAAATTCCCCATGAGTATTCCAACATAATTTGTCAAATGTCTTTCCTTTCCCAATTGTTACATATTCTGTAAACACAAACCTTAAATCTGGCTGGAACCACTGCCAACACTGGACAAAAATGAAAATGAGTTTGTTTCTTTAACTTAGGCTGACAAGGCTAATGCTGTCTCATGCTTTGTTTTACACATCAATAAGTATGTGTGGAGATCAAGATTATTTGCTTTGCCTAGAGAGCTCCCTGGAATGTGAATGCAGTGTGGCACTGAATAAAGAGCACTGACATGGGAACCAGGATGTGGGCATTTTATTTGAAGATCTACCACTTACTTGCTGAGACACCTGAATGATCCCCCTCAGCTGCAAAACTCAATGTTGTTTACCTGTAAAAGTTAAGTGCCTTTGCCATCAAGAGCAAATAGTAGTTTTCATAAGGTTTCTCTTCCACAAAATTTCTACATATTTGAGAACATGCACTTAGGGATTTCCAGCTGTTTCATGTGAAATAGCTTTTTGTTCTTTTATTTTCCCTTTTTTTTTTCTATACTTTCCTTAAGAAATATCTGTCTTAATCAACTTTGACTTCAGAATGCCTTAGAGGACAAAACTAAGCCTTGAGGGTAAAAGCAATAAAAACCTCCCTTCTTATATCATAAACCATTTACTGATGATAGAGTGGAAGATAAAATAATTTTACCATAGTTTATTAATCAAATGATAGAAGAGTTTCAATCTATAATGAGTAATTTAAAAAATTATTCTAGTAACAGGAGTATAAGGGGAAAATAATTATTACGCTAAAAGTATCACAAACTAAAATATATAAAGAATAGAAAATACTAGAGGATTAGATGTAAATTATATAAACTAAGTATAAACTTAGTTTAATAATTACTTAGTTTAAAATTCTTAAACTAAGAATTACTACTAAGAATTACTTAAATTAGTTTAAAAATCTACATGAAGAATATATTTTAAATAGCTAATAATCAGTAATTTCTCTCTCTCGCTCTTTTTTTTTTTTTTTTTAAGAGATGCGGTCTCTCCATGTTGTCCAAAGTGGCCTCAAACTCCTGGGCTCAAGCGATTCTCCCACCTCAGCCTCCTGAACAACTACAACTAAAGGTACACACCACTGTTCCCAGCTAAAAATCAGTATGTTTAATATTAAAGATAAAAGCCTTCCTTATAAATTAAAAATACTGAGAGGTATGTTACCTGACGAAATATCTCTGTCACAAAGTTTACATTACTCCTTTTAGAAGAAAAAACTCTGCGAACTATTTCAATGTCTGTGAGATGTTCTTCATCAATACTACAGAGACTAGATGAGCTAGGTTCTCGCTCCGTGAGAGTGCTTGTATTGGAATGAGACTGTTCGGGTTCTGTAGTTCTGTCTGTTTTATCAGCATTATCATTTTTGCTTTCTTCTCTGGATACTAAACTAGCAGCTGCTCTCTAAAATACAAAAAAAAAAAAAAAAGAGAGAAACAATATCATAATCATTTAACTATGTATTTTGTCTTTTAATAGGTAATACTGACAAAATCCAAAACATTTCCCAAGTAATTTATACCACTGCTTAAACTCCGGGCATAGAGTTTCATTTAAAAGCCATTCTAAATAATTAAGTGGCAATGCAAGTAACTCAACATCTAAGTGACAGATACTCCAAAATGTGTGGTAATTAATCATCTACCCACCTATAGTTATATATTCTTCTCAGTAAGTTTGCAGTTCAAACAAGTTATTAATCAAAGCTGGGTGGATGAATAATGGAATTAGAGACAGCTCAGACCTTCAAGAATAAGTAAATAACTTAACATCAGAATGTTTACCTAATAAAAACTTAATGTTTAAAATTATCTCTATTTTACTGTGGACAAAAATTTAGACAAGTAAAAGTTTCCTAAACAAAACAAAAAACAAAGGAACAAAATTTATGACAGAAGTAGGAACAAAACTAACAGAAAATATTAGAAAACTTGAGAGAAAATTCTATAATTCTAATAATGGAATTTTCACCAAGTCTGAAGATCAAGCCTAACCAGATAGGGAAAAATTAAGTCTTAAGGTGGTGATAAGCAAATTACTATATGGTAAAAGTAGCACTATTCTGTGGTATAAATTACTTTCTGTTAAGTTATTCAATTTTTGGCCTCAGTTTTGTCATCCATAAAATAACAGAGCTTAAATAAATGACCTCAAATATACCTTTCCAACCAAAAACATTTATGATTTTCATCCATTACATTCTAGGATCAGAAAGCAGATAGTTCTGCTTGAGAATTTTCGCACTTAATAGTTCTTAATACAGAAGTTAGAGCAAAGTTTTGGAGGAAGACACACAATACAGTTTGCTAAAGATAAATAAACTAAGAGGAATAAAAGTCAAATTTTCTGAATTCTGATGAACTAAACACACGTTATACCTTTATCCTACTTATAAAAGATTTAAGGTGTTATAGAAAAAACACACATAGTTTAAGATTTTAAAAACTAAGAAAATCTGAGGAGAGGAAAATAAAAGTAGTAAAAATACTGTAATATAGACATGTTTAGAAAAATGTACGAGGGAAAATAGAAGATAAAAAAGAAGTATGAGGGAAAAAAGTAAACTGTTAAATCCAAAACAACAGTTTGAAATATTAGTTCCTCTACTGTATTGCTTTGTAATTTTATATCACATTTCTAGACTTGGCGTCTTTGTTGAAAAAGGGGGGAAGGGGGTGTGAACAGGTCTTTTAATCTGCATTTTGTGAATGCCCCCAAATTAAAAAGGGCCATCAAGGTTCTACCATTTGATCACAGTTCTTTTCACTTGTAAGATTTATCTGTACAATAAAGAATATTTTTAGTATTGTATAATTAAAATACAGAAATAAGAAGCTGAGACTGACATACTAATGAAATTATCTTCTATACTTCCCGTTTCATTTCTTTATTAAGAAACTTATTAATTCTATAATTAAAATTTGCATTTACAAAATATATTTATACAAATAAAATAGCACTATTATTTAAGTGTACGCTCCACCTAAGGCAACTGAACTCAATGGACTAAATCTCAAAAGCCATTTCTAACTTTAACAGGCCTGCCTCATTTGTGCATTACCTGAATATTCTTTGGCAAGACTTCACCTTCCATCCCAGGAATATGAGGTCCTGTATGTGGTTTTGGCTCCAGCCAGAAAGAAACCAGCCAACGAATGACAATAACACGAGCCTTAATGAAAGGCTCCTTTGTACAATAGATTGCTTCATTGGTTTCAGCATCTTTCTTTATCACGACATAATGTGGCTTTGGTCTCATCTGCGGGATGTCTGTGCAAAATAAAAGGAAGATGAAAACCAAAATAAGAAAGAAATTATGTTTAGAAAAAACCTACATTTTTAAATACTTGAGAAAATATTGTTATGCTACTCTGGTTTCAGAAGTAGCTTTAGCACAGAAATGACATTTCAAAATTTGCCAGATGTTTGCATGGAACTCAGAAGAGTGAACCATATATACCAGGATGATATGTGGAAACATGTATTTTTACAAAATATCAAAAAGTTCAGTGAACCTACCTAAGTACAAAGAAGCTTCCAGAACCATTTAAAATAAATAAGAGCTCACACTTCAATTAACCTACCACTGAAACACATAGTTTGAAGTCATACAAAATATGAGGTTTTACCTGAGCCTGTTAGTTGCCTAAACTTGGTATTAGGAACATCTTTCTGGGAAAGAGACAATTTACCTACGGACTACCAATACCTTCTATATATGGCAGAGATATGCTTCTAACCCAGGATTTGTACACAAGGCTCTAGGCTCAAGGTTCCAAGAGATATGTTGGCACAATAATTATTAAAAGTAATTGCAAAAACTGCCATTACTTTTGCACCAATCTATATAAATACTGGATGAAACATGGCTATGTAATTATTCACACAGAATTTGAATAAGACTAACACTTGATTGAACCCCCATATGGGGGGACCTTAAAAAGAAAATTTATAATATAGTCTAAGGATCATGCCAAACAAGAATTCAGTTTAATTTACAATCGCAAATATTTCTGGTGGGCTAACTTTTATAATTGATAAGATCCAGAGAACAAGTGTTTTTAAAAATCTGTTCATTGTTGGCTGGGTGTGGTGGCTCATGCTTATAATCCCAGCACTTTGGGAGGCTAAGGCAGGAGGATCACTTGAAGCCAGGAGTTCAAGACCAGCCTGGGCAACATAGGGAGATCCCATCTCTAAAAAAAAAATAATTAGCCAGATGTGGTGGTGCATGACTGTTGTCCTAGCTACTGGGGAGGCTGAGATGGGAGGACTGCCTGAGCTCAGCAGTTCAAGGCTGCAGTGAGCTATAATTATGCCATTGCACTCCAGCCTCCTGGGTGACAGAGTGAGTCCCTGTCTCTTAAAAAAAACAACAACAACAACAACAACAAAAAAAAACAAAAAAAGAAAAACTCATCCTCATTGAAAATTTCCTATTAATATAAATTTGCTTTCAGTATGAATCTAGGTATCATATCTATACCAACCAATACAAGTATTAAATATGATCAGTTTCCTGCAGTAACAAATGCCAACTTTACAGTAAGAGATTATTTTACTCTTAAGTGTGATCTTTCAGAAAATTTCAAACATTACCTACCAAGTATAGGATGATATAAACTGTTTTCCTTACAGATGTTTGGAAAAATATAAGGCAAGTAATATTTCTTAAAATGTGAAAACAAAAATGAAAATCCCCTTTCTTGGTTTTCTTTGTTCTTCCATTCTAAACTTTTTACCTAAAAATAAATTATATAATTAGAATCATTCCAGAAGAAAGAATCTCTTAAATGCAAGTATTAGCAATTATAAACAAGCTTGTAAAAGGTTGCAATACACTGAACTGTTAACACTAAAGATCATGATACATAGCATAAGGACAAATCTTTTAAATTGGTCTAATGTCAAACAAGTACATTATGTATATGTTTAAAAAACCTTAGAAGTATGCTTCAAAAGACTATGAAAATTACACAAAAGTGGCCCTACTAATGACAAAAATATTAAAGTTCTTTCCCTTTTGCCCCTTCCTGAATAATTCAGCCTAAAAAACCATACAAAATACATAAGCATATGTGGCAGGGGTGTGTGTATGTAAGCAGTAGCAGCAGTCAAGTGCAGACGATCAGAGCCTGACACAGGACGCAGGGCATCCATAAAGGGGGTACAGTAACCCAGTGGTGACTCACAGTCTGAGAGGAGTGAGGAGGGTGTCCATGAAGTGGAAGAAGTGAGGACAGAAAGAGATACAGCAGTATAATATAGGGTATGAGAACTCTAAGAAGGTGACGAAGACATCCAAGCAGGTGGTTGGCAAAGGCCCAGAGTGGGGTACTGGAACCCAATCAAGTTAAGGAGAATGTCTGCAGAGGAGGGCAATGGTGGCAACGGGAGATTGATTATACACAAGGGGGACTGATTAAATAAGTATATATACTAAGAATAATATGAGCCACATTTCTCATTGACAGGTAAGAGTTATAAATATGGAAAGGAAGAAACCAGAATGAACCCTGTGGTACTAGACTAAAATCTGGAAAATGGGTATGAATTAACATTAAGATAGATAGATAAACAGACAGACAGGCAGAAACATGGATTTGTGTGTGTCTGTGTCTGTGAATACAATTCTTCATTAAAATGAATGACAGCTCCTTAGAGAAGCAGCAGATTCCAGAGTGGACAAGGAAGGTACGAGATGAGCTTGGAACATCTTGTGGTGCCAGGAAGTAAGGAAGTGCTTAGACAATGACGGAAACAATTCAAAGGCATAGGATTCAGCTTGAAGGAACTTCCACTAGACAAATTTAGGACAACCTGAGCATCAAAATTGGTAACTGTAGTAAACATTAACACATGAATTCACAGGAATGCATAAATCCGTCTTGAGATAAATAAGTAAGTAAACAAATGGGGAGGGGAGAAAGCTTTTTCCTACAGTATGTAGCCAACTCTTGAATGTAGAAGTAATGATGGAATTAATATCACCAGTTGGCCAAAAAGTAGAAACAACTCAAATACTCATCGGCTGATGAAGAGATAAACAAAATACTGTATATGTATACAATATAATATTATTCACCGCAATAAAAATGAAGTATCGATACGTGCTACAACATGGATACACCTTGAAAACATTTGCTAAGTAAAAGAAGCTAGTCAATAAAGACTACATATTGTATGATCCTATTAACATGAAATGTCCAGAATAGGCAAATATATAGAGACAGAAAATCAATTCATGTTTGCCATAGGGGTGGGGATGAAAGGGTTGAGGGTAAGAGGACTGACTCCTAATGGGTATGAGGTTTCTTATTAGCACTAAAATTATACTGTGATGGCTGTGTAACCCTGTGAATACACTTAAAACACACTGAACTGTACGTTTTAAGTGAGTGAACTATATAAAATGTGCATCATATCTCAATAAAGCTGTTTTTTAAAAATTACCATTTGGTAACCCGCGTAATTACAAAGTCAAAAGCCTTCAATGGATCCTAAAACATGTGAAATTTCTGTAAGAAAGGGGATATTTAGGTAGTTACACAGTACTTCCCCACAAAATACTTGTTGATTTTCCAGTGTAATACTTACTGATATTACACTGGAAAAGCCTGGCAGACGCTACCTTAATCAAAGGATTAAAGTCAACATTGCTCATACATCAGAATTAGCTTAAAATGGACCACAGACCTTAATGTAAAACATAAAACTATAAAACTTCAAGAACAAAACGTAGGAGAATATCTTTGTGACATTTGATTAGGCAAAGATTAGAAACAATTCCAAAAGTCAGATCCATTAAAAAAGTGGTATAGTGGACTTCATCAAAATAAAAAGCTTCTAAAAAGACTGCTATGAAAACGGAAAGACGAGCTACTGGGAGAAAATATTTGCAAAACATACATCTGACTAAGGACTTCTTTCTAAAACATATAAAAAGCTTAAACTTAATAAGACAAGCCAATTTAAAAATGGGCAAAAAAAGTGAACAGACACTTCACCCAAGATATATGGATGAAAAATAAGCACATAAAAAGATATTCAACATACCATTAGCTGTTAGGGAAATACAAATTAAAATCATAATGAGATACCACTACACATTCACTAGAATGGCTAAAATTACAAATTGACCGTACCAACTGTTGGTGAGGATGTGAAGCAATTGTATAAGTCTTACATATTGCTGGTGGAATGTAAAAAGGTACAGTCATTTGGAAAACAGCTTGGTAGTTTCTTAAATAGTCAATATATACCCCTACTATTTGACCCAGCCATTCTACTGTTATTATGTCCACACAAAAACTTGTTTACCAATATTCACAGCAGTTTTACTTTAAATAGCCAAAAATTAGAGACCATTCAAATAACCATAAACAAATAACTGAATAAACTGGTGCATCCCCTACAATGGAATGCTATAAAAGGAGCAAACTGCTGACACATACAAGAAGATAGACAATTCTCAAAATAATCAAACAGAAAACAAAGCAAGACCAAAAAAACTATGTACCCTATGATTATATTTACATAAAACTATGGAAAACAAACTATTCTATAATGACAAAAAACAGATCAATGGATGTCTAAAGATAAAATGGTGGTGTGAGAATTCAAGGGGATGAATTACAAAGGGATCCAAGGGGCATGGTGGCTCACGCCTATAATCACAGCATTTTGGGAGGCCAAGGTGGGAGGATCACTTGAGCTCAGGAGTTTGAGACCAGCCTGGGCAACACAGTGAGACCTTATCTCTCTCTAACAAAAAAAAAAAAAGTTTTAGTTCGCCAGGCTCAGTGGTCTGTAGTCCCAGCTACTTGGGAGGTTGAGGTGTCAGGATCACTTGGGCCCAGGAGGTTGAGGCTGCCGTAAGCCATAACTGGGCCACTGTACTCCAGCCTGGGTTACAGAGCAAGACCTTGTCTCAAACAAACAAAAAAACAAAGCAAACAAAGATCCAAGAAAATGCCTAGAGGTGATAAATATATACATTATCTTAATTGTAAAGGTTTCATGGATGTATACACATAATAAAATTCATTAAACTGTAAATTTCAAATATTGCAGTTTATTGTGTATCAATTATAGCTCAATAAATCAGTAAAGCAATCTTTAAAATCTATATGAAGTACAAAAGTATTTTTAAAGAAAAATTAGTAATAACAATGATGATCATAACACCTGCCCACTACAGAACACTTATGGCATGCTATGCATTATTTTATTCTAAGCACTGTGCACTATTTAGGCCTCATACACCAAAATGGTATTATTTTTATCTCTATTTCACAAATAAGGACACAGAAACACTAAGTGGTTATTAAGTAATTTGCCAATAGCCACACTATTAGTAAAATGTGGAATCAGGGTTCAAACTCTGGCAATCTAGTTTAGGGTCCAAATTAACTTTATAATGTTTGTTTCTGAGGTATGAGGAATTTTTGTGTTTGGAGCCATTATAAGAAATGTGTGAATAAAAGCGTTTTCATCAGTCAATCAGGGTATGCACATTTTATATCTAAAGGTGAATAGGTTACCTTGCAAAATACATGCACCTAGAAATTCAAAAGGTACAAACAGGTTTAAGTGTAAATTACATTTCTCCTAATCATTATCCTGCAGCCTACCTCCCTAGTTGTTACATATTGGCAGATTGATTCCTAAATCAAACAATTTTCAGCTTTTCATTTGAAGTATCACAACTGCTGATCACAAATGAAAGGATTAGAAAATAAGCACAACTGTCTCACATAAGAAGGTATACGCAAAGAGTCTACAAAATTGTCCCTCTCTAGATTCCTAAGAGTGTCATCATCCCTCCAGTGATTTGAGAAAGAGATATTAACATATTTTCAATAGCAAAAATTTGTCACTTCTTCTTCGAGAAAATAAGCAACTATATGCATCTACTATGTGACAGACCTGGAGCAGTTCCTGTCTGCTGCTAAGGTTTCCACTACAGATGCAAGAAAAACATGTCCTTGTACTTTCTGTCTTTTTTATTGTGGCAGCCAAGGATGAATAGAGGGATACAGGGAAAAAACACGAAGAGGGAATTTTTTTAACTAAGGGATACCCTTCTAAAGAGTGAAGAGTCTATTTTTACTCCAAAGAAGAATCTAAAACTTGAGTTTACATGAGAAGTGTAGGAAATATCCCCTACCACCATCACTTGGTTGATTACACTTGTAAAAGCTTAAAAGCTAAAGCTAATTAAAAGCAAGCCATTGACCCTTCCCCTCCAACCTCCCTGACAAAAAGAAAATAAGCAAATATCTACTATGACAGAATAATGGTAAGAGACAGAAAAGGGAATCACCCACATAGGATAGTAAGGAGTGTGATATCAAAGAAGATAACAAGTACCTGAATGACTATGTATTTTAGAAGTGCTTCAAGAAAATAGCTTGTGAGATCTTCTTGCCCTTTATCTCCTGATTGTGGGGGGACAAGAGGAGTGATTTCTTCTATAGTGACTTGAGCTATCCAAAGACAAAAGAATAGTATATAGTTACAAAACAAATTTAATAAAACAATAATATAACCAAATAAACTTTAACTGCAAAATGAGTATGCAATGAAAATTGCTTGAAAACTTTCTAATGACTGATCCTTGAAATAAATCTTAAGATCATCCCTGATAGTTGATCACAAAAATAAATTTTATTTATTTATTTATTATTATTATTATTATTTTTTTTTTTTTTTTGAGACGGAGTCTCACTCTGTTACCCTGGCTGGAGTGCAATGAATGGCACGATCTCGGCTCACTGCAACCTCCGCCTCCCAGGTTCAAGCAATTCTCCTGCCTCAGCTTCCCAAGTAGCTGGGATTACAGGCTCCTGCCACCATGCCCAGCTAATTTTTGTATTTTTAGTAGACGGGGTTTCACCATGTTGGCCAGGCTGGTCTCAAATTCCTGATCTCAGGTGATCTGCCCGCCTCGGCCTCCCAAAGTGCTAGGATTACAGGTGTGAGCCACCGTGCCTGGCCACAAATTTTAACAATCAGCTGTTCTGTGAACCCTTGATTGAGAGAATGTGACAAAGGGATGGACAGACAAATAACACAGTGATTACAAGTATGTAACATCTCAGTTGAGAAAGAACTTCTGGTAATTTCAAATTCACATGAAAACTGCCCATTACAAAAATTCCATAAGATGACAAACATTAGTAATAATGCACTTATTTATCAAAGTACCAATCTGTTAACACTTACAAAATAAGAAAGTTCTATATTGTTTACTTTTCAGATGTTCAGAAAAATTCATTATAACAAATGCAAATGCAAGAAAGTCAACCCACAACTAGCTGAATTCTCTTAAATATTTCCTAAGCTGAACAATTAGTACCTGGTAAACATATGTAGGTCCCTAAACCTGACTCCCAATAAATATCAACCAACAAGCTCACAACAGAGGTAGATTTCAGTTTTTAAATAATACATGGTATGTTATTCTGCCACTCATTTTAAAAATTATTCTTTAAATTATTCTAAAAAGTATTTTAAAAATTATTCTTTAAAAATACAAACTTTAGGCTGGGCGCAGTGGCTCACGCCTATAATCCCAACACTTTGGGAGGCCGAGGCGAGTGGATCATCTGAGGTCAGGAGTTTGAGATCAGCCTTGGCCAACATGGTAAAACCCCATCTCTACTAAAAATACAAAAAATTTAGCCTGGCGTGGTGGCACACGCCTGTAATCTCAGCTACTTTGGAGCACGAGAATCGCTTGAACTGGGTGGTGGAGGTTGCAGTGAGCCGAGATCGCACCACTGCACTCCAGCCTGGGCGACAGAGCAAGACTCTGTCTCAAAAAAAAAAAAAAAAAAAAAAACAAACCGAAAAGAAAAGAAGTAAGAAAATACAAACTTTATCATCTGTACTCTGGACTTCCTGGACCACTGTCATCATACAGAAGAACACACTTTATGAAAGCTTTATTTTGTGAAGCTATAAAAACCCCCTTAAAATCCACTGTTCCCATAAAGACGTCTTAGTCTCTGCCGGGGAGTATACAGAGACTCCATATTTTCCACATCTTACAGACTAAAAAGCAAAACTTCTATTCTTAAAAAGAGAAGGGGCAGAAGTCAGTCACAAATATATTTAAAATAAATAATAATTATTTTTAAAGTCATCCACAAAAACACTGATAAAAGAGTTGGTGTGGTGGTGTGCATCTGCAGTCCCAGCTACTTGGGAAGGCTGAGGCTGGAGGATTGTTTGAGCCCAAGAGTTCAAGGCTACAGTGCATTATGATCGCACCTGTGAATAGCCACTGCACTCTAATCTGGGCAACATAGCTTTGAGACCTTATCTCTTAAAAAAGAGTGATGAAAGAAAACCTCTCTATAATGAGAGGCAGAGAAAAAAAATGCTTATAGAACATCTGTTAAGTAGACCAGACATAGTGGCTGACACCTGTGATCCCAACATTTTGGGAGGTTAAGGTGGGAGGACTGCTTGACTTTAGGAGTTTAAGACCAGCCAGGCAACATAGCAAGACCCCATCTCTACAAAAAATTTTAAAATTAGCCAGGTGTGGTGAGTGGCATGTGCCTGTAGTCCCAGCTACTGACTTGAGCCCAAGAGTTTGAGGTCACAGTGAGCTGATCATGGGACTGCGCTACAGCATAGGCAACAAAGCAGGACCCTGTCTCACTCAAAAACAAAACGCAACAAAACAAAAAACTTCAAAATAACACATAATGTAAATAAGCATGCATATGTAGCCTATTTGAACTGGTTCATTAATACATTTTATGCCAGCTTGGTACTGTTTCTAAAATTTTGTTCTACAAACATAGTTTTGCTTTACCACAAAACCTAAATTTATAGAAATAAAAATTATAAATAAGAGGTAGTACCTAACAGAGTACTTGCTCTGGATTGAACTATGTACCCTGAAAATTCATATGTTGAAAACCTAACCCCCAGTGTGGTTGCACTTGGAGAGAGGGCCTTTAAGGAGGTAAAGTTACATGAGATCATGTGAATGGGCCCAATTGGCTGTTAATTAAGCCACCCAGTCTGGTTATTGCAGCCTTGGCTGACTAATGTAGCACTGTATATGACAATGTTTGCTCATGAAAGAATAAAGAAATAACTTTAACTTATTTAAATAACAGGATTCGTACACGAAGATGAGAATTAAAGAAGTAAAAAAAAAAAAAAAAGTGAATGTTAGAAAAATCTGGTCGGGTGTAGTGGCTCATGTCTGTAATCCCAGCACTTTGGGAGTCCGAGGCGGACCAATCACTTGAGGTCAGGAGTTCGAGACCAGCTTGGCCAACATGGCGAAACCCTGTCTCTACTAAAAATACAAAAAAATTAGCTGGGCATGGTGGCACACACCTGTAGTCCCAGCTACTCGGGAGGCTGAGGCAGAAGAATTGCTTGAACCCAGGAGGCAGAGGTTGCAGTGAGCCAAGGCCATGCCACTGCACTCCAGCCTGGGTGACAGAGTGAGATTCTATCTCAAAAAAAAAAAAAAAAAGAAAGGAATATTAGAAAAAGTTAAGGTAAACCACAAAGACTCACTAATGAATGAAAGCAAAAATTAAACATTACTGAAATTATACATTTTTAAATAGCAGTACTATTTATGAAAATTTATAAAAATTCAATTTACATATAACATTTTCACAGTCATCTAATGGACAAAATAAAACACACTTGTACTTCAATGTACATCCAAATTAACTCCAGGATACAAGGTGATATGTAATAATTAATGAAAAATGTTAAATGATCTGTATTAACCATAGGTTTTTGATGCTTATACCTCTGGGGCTTTACTGACTCTAGAGTGAATATGTCCTTCCCAGGGCTAGCCAGTTCCTAGAGACAGTAAGTGACTAGCCTGTGAGCATGCCTTTCATATTCAAACCAACCAGTCCAGAGCCCACACCGCTACCACCTCCTCCACACTCACATTCAGGGTGACTGCTCCTCTGTCCTAATTACAAAGGGGCTGGGTACCAGACAACTAGGGACAACTCTTAACAATCTACAGCCCACTGGAATTATTCAAACTAGCTAATCCTAAACTTGCTTAATCTGGGTTGCCTGTTTCTTCCCATAGAAACCATAATAAAGACTCTTGCCCATGTTTTCCCCTGTTCTCTCTGCCTCCTGACCAACTCTGGTGCTTCCCCCACATAGCCCTTGTGGCATGGCATGCCCCTTCCTCTTGGGAACTGTGAGTAACAAACTATTATTTCAACAGCTTTCTTGATCTGCTGACTTCACCATACCTGAATAATAATAAAAGCTATGTTTTAAAGCATTGCCTTGGATTACCCAGTTAATGAATGCACAGACATTTGAAAAAATACACTAAGAGACTACATAGAGAGCTTAAACCTACTGACGGATAACATCCCATGAATCTTACTTTCTTGAAGGTTGAGTGGAGGATTAATGAGATTATCTAAAGTTCGAGGTCCATGTTCAGACTGTGGTGCTGAAAATCCAGGGATTAAGCATGAAAACATCCAGAGCTGTTCTTTGCTACAGTTATTCTGAAGAGCTTGCAACCATAGTAAGAAAAGACGAACACCTTCCCGCCTAATCTAAAATAAAATGAAAATAGACAGTATTTTTATTTATAATGGAAATATTTTCTTCCTTTGAAAAACAAAGTTCTCTAGATGATGACAACAGAATGATACTTTCGAGAGGCAGGGTAGGGAAGGAAGGGGAAGTTGAGGAGAAGAGAGACAGCATCTATTGAAATCATTATTTAGAAATACAAATGCATGGATTTTTAACAAGTATAGAATGAACTTGTTCTCTATTTAAAGCCATCAGGTAATTTTTATTCTGTAAGTTCCATTTATAAAAATTAGAAAATCTTTTCCTTCTTGTCTACTTCCCTCCTTGCCTACCTCCCATCACCACTAGTCTAAACCAAGAAGCGAGAGAGAGCAATGACTGTTAGTGGTGAGAATGAGTTTGGTAAAAGGAGGAATGGTTATGGGGATCCTGGCACACTGCGAATTCAATGTTCTTGCCCCTGAAAAGTTCTGAAATTATTAAAATTATTAAGTTACAATTAAATTATTAAAAATAAAATGATTTAATTTAAATAAAAATTATTTAAAACCTCTCTGCAATTATCTCATGTACTTATTATTTGATTCTAAGCTCCAAGATACCAACTTTGTTCTACTCTATTAAAGCATCTAAAACAATACCCTGTACACAGAAGACAATAAATATTTTAACTGATTAATGAACATTCTCTCAGCATAAAAACAGTAAAAGAGAAATAGAGGAAAATTCAATCTCTGACAAGCAAAACACTTAGTCTTCCACTAACCTAACCTCACTGATAGCTTTGTAAATTACCTTACCAGAGCTTGTTCATGGCCACTGTCAAAGGTATTCAACTGCTGTTACTTTCATGGTTCAGCCAGATAACAGGAGAAAAGCTACAGGAAGGCTTATTCCTTTGTACTTTTATACCCAAGCCATGATGCCAAAAGCACCTGTAATAATGTTACTTTACCTAACCTACAGCAAGATATTTTCGGAATGGGCAGCTTCTCTTACTACAGTACAATGGCATAATGAAAAAGAAACAAAAATGTTTATATATATATGTGTATCTCCCCTACTTCCCTCTACATCTAATAGTGGCTATGGTGGAATGAAGAATAATCTGTTGAATGACTAAACAATGTTTTCCTTCTGGGGACCATAAAGAGGAAAGATTGCTGGTGAATGAGTCCATTGAGTGGCAAAGTACAACAGTTTTTTCAATGTCCCCAGTCAACCTAGAATGGTTTGTCAAACAAACTCTTGCTACGTTTTTTTTTTGTTTTTGTTTTTGTTTTTAAGATACAGTCTCACTCTGTCGCCCAGGCTGGAGTGCATCGGCTTGATCTCAGCTCACTGCAACCTCTGCCTCCAGGGTTCAAGCAATTCTCCTGCTTCAGCTGCCCAAGTAGCTGTGAGTACAGGCACGTGCCACCACGCCCGGCTAATTTTTGTATTTTTAGTAGAGACAGGGTTTCACTATGTTGGCCAGGCTGGTCTCAAACTCCTGGCTTCAAGTGGTCCACCCACCTCAGCCTCCCAAAGTGCAGAGATTACAGGCGTGAGCCACTGCACCCAGCCTCTTGCTACATTTTAAGGGAACTCACTTCAATTAAATAAACTGAAGACAATTCAGAGATCTTTAGGAAAAAGCTTAGGTAGGAAAAGTGTTAACAGGTGGGATGTATGTTCTACTCAGTATTTTTAAAGTCATGGAAAGTAAACATAGTTGTACCTTTAAGGAGTTTCCTGTGTGAAGTAGCTTCTTTAAAATCAATCCTGAAAAGAAAATATGATTTTAAATATTCACATCTTATCTATTTGTAAATGTCAGAGTTCTCGGTCGGACTTGAAAACACTTTTAAATAAGTCCTTGGCAACCTCCAAATTATTCTTGGTGACCTTTATATCCTTCTGCCATACTTGGGATCAGAAGGGCATATAAAAAGAATCACCTTTTCAACACATGCTTTATTGCAATTAAACATGATTTATTTTATTAACAAAACCTAGGCCCGAAATTGCATTTAACACAACAATCTATTATAAATCTCTTATTTAGACTAAGAATAAAATAAAATACTTTTATCACTATCCAAATGAAATCCACTATAGAAAATTTTCATTTAGTTAACCACATGAACATCCTTAACTGTAATATTTCCTAATGAATATTTCCATTATACTAATTTTCTAAGTTTTGAAAAGTCATTAATATTTCCTTTTTTCTTTTAAATTATGAAATATTTCAAACCTATAATAAAATACTGAAAATAACATGAACAAACCTGCAGAGGACCACCACTCAGTATGAATAAATCTACACGTAGTTCCATGTTTATTTCACTTACCTGCATTATCTCCAATGTTTTACTTAACTGTACAGGTATCACTGAGGCCCAAATCATATTGTTCCTTTCTTCCCCAGAGGAAACCATTATCTAGGCTTTGGTATTAATCATTTCAAAAAATATTTTTATATTATTACTACACATTTATAAATCCATAAAAAATAATATAAACTGTTTCATATAACTCATTTATTTTTTTAAAAAGTTATTTATATGTTACTTTTCACATCCAACATTAGCTTAAGAAATTTATCTATACTTATCTATGTAGCTCTAGTTAATACATTTTAAGAGGTGCATACTATTCCACCGTATGAACATACCAAAATTTATTTATCGTCTTTATATTAAGACATTTGGTTTTTTTCAAATTTTTGCTATTCCAAGAGTACCGTAATAAATAGTTATTGTTCATGATTCCCTGTACACACCTGAGTTTCCCCGGGGTGTGTATATATATATATATATAGAGAGAGAGAGAGAGAGGAATAAAATTACTTTCAGCTTTACCAAATATTAGATAATTTTCTCCAAAGTAGTTGTAACAATTAACAGTACTACCAGCCGTATATGGGAGGGCTCTAGTACCATATTGTTGGCAGCACAAAACATTGACAGATGCTCTAATATTTGATAATCTGATGTATGTTAACTATCTTAATGTTGCTTTCATTTGATATTTCCTAGTGACACTGAACATCTTTTAATTTGGCTATTCAAGGTTTCCTTGTTTTATCCTTTGCACAATTTTCAATTTAGTTGTTCTTTTTTTTTTTTTTTAAAGAGATGGGGTCTTGTTCTGTTGTTCAGGCTGGAAAATAGTGGTGCAATCATAGATCACTGCAGCCTCAAACTCCTGGGTTCAAGTGATCCTCCCACTTCAGCCTCCTGAGTAGCTGGGACTACAGATGTGCACCACCAGGTCTGGCTAATTTTTGTAATTTTTGTAGAGGGCTTCATTATGTTGCCAAGGCTGGTCTGGAACTCCTGGCCTCAAGGATCCTCCCACCTTGGCCTCCCAAAGTGCTGGGATTACACGTGTGGGCCACTACACCTGGCCTTCTTTATATACATATATATATATGGAGTTCCTTCTGTATTACTAATTCTGTGTCTATTTCTATGAATTGAAAATACATTATCCCAAACAATTCAATCATGTTTTTGTTGGGTGGGGAGGTGGTATCTTCTGATGCAGATAAGTTTTATTTATTTATTTATTTATTTATTATCATTTTGAGACAGGTTCTCACTCTGTCACCCAGGCTAGAGTGCAGTGGCATGATCATGGCTCATTGTAGCCTTGACCTCCTGAGCTCAAGTAATCCTCTCGCCTCAGCCCCCAGATAGCTGGGACTAAAGGCACATGCCACCATGCCTGGATAATTTTTGTATTTTTTGTAGAGATGGGGTTTTGTCATGTTGCCCAGGCTGGTCTCAAACTCTTGAGCTCAAGTGATCTGCCCACCTTGGCCTCCCATCCCAAAGTGCTGAGATTACAGGCATAAGACACCATGCCTGGCCTTAAATTTTAATATAATCAATTTGCCAGTGTTTTTCTTTCTTATGTGTTCTTTGTATGTCTAAAGAAATCCTTCCTTACATTAAAATTATAAACCAAATACTCACTTCAAAAAGTTGTTATGTGTTGCTTTTCACATGTAGGTCCTGAAACCTATCAGAAAATTATTTCCTTGTGGGTGGAACAGAATTTGTTTTTTCACAAATGGAAAACCAAGTGTAGTACTATTTCGGGATTTATGATGTTCAAATGAACTAAAATGCCATCTCAATCATATTTCAAGTTTCCATACATAAGCTTAGGTCTTTGGCTGATCTCCATGTTCCTTTTCATTCATCCATTTGTCCATCCCTACATCAGTAACAGTGCCTTTGTTAGTATAACTTTATAATTTATCTTGTTATCAGGCATGAAAATAGCCAACACCACCACCCTCTTGGTCCGATTTGTTATTCTTCCAAATTGCTTTGGCTTTTATTTTACATATAAACTTTAAGATATATTTGTTAGGCTACATTTAAAAATCCCTATAGGAATGTTAAGAATTGTTATATGTGTGTGTACATACATATATATGATATATATTTGATATACATGGTATATATATTTAATATTGATAAATATTGTGTGATATTGATATTTATATATATACTTAACAAATTTATTTGTTTGAGACAGGTTCTTGCTCTGTCACCCAGGCTGGAGTGCAGTGGCACAATCATGGCCTACTGCAGCCTTGGCCTCTTGGTCTCAAGTTATCCTCTCACCTCCCCAGTAGCTGGGAACACAGGTGCACACTACCACACCCAGCTAATTTTTGTATTTTTTTGTAGAGTTGGGGTACTGCCATGTTACCCAGGCTGGTCTCAAACTCCTGGGCTCAGGTGATCCACCCACCTTGGCCTCTCAAAGGGCTGGGATTACAGGCGTGAGCCACTACAGCCAGCCAAAAATTACTGTCTTACATGTGCATCAAATATGCTGAAAGGTAATGCTATAGTAGTTCCGAAATTGTTGGATTAGGGAGCTCTACTAATGGAAAAACAAATTTAGATGAGTTTGCTATGAGATCTGGAAATGCAGAAGGCGTATTTGGACCAGTTAAAAACCCCTGGAGTTATTCAAAACAATATAGAGAAAAGAGGAAGCAGAATCTCCACTTTGAGAATGAAGATTCAGACTGGCTGATAACTGGAGGAAGCTCAGGTGGGAGTGCAGTTGCCATATCGGCATTCACATGCTATGCGGCTTTAGGATCAGATACTGGAGGGCTGACCAGAAATCCTGCTGCCTACTGTGGGCTTGTTGGTTTCAAACCAAACTATGGCTTAGTTTCCCATCATGGTCTCATTTCCCTGGAGGATTTGATGGAAGTGCAAGGAATCTTAACCAGATGTGTGGATGATGCAGCAATTGTCTTGGGTGTACTGGCTGAACATGACCCTACGGATTCTACCACAGCACAGGATCCTGTTAAACCATTCATGATTCCCAGTTTGACAAATGTGAGCAAACTATGTATAGGTATTCCAGAGGAATATCTTGTACTGGAATTATCAAGTGAAGTACAGTCTCTTTGGTCCAAAGCTGCTGACCTCTTTGAGTCTGAGGGGGCCAAAGCAATTGAAGTATCCTTTTCTCACATTACTTATTCAATTGTCTGCTACCATCTATTGTGCACATCAGAAGCAGCATCGAGTATAGCAAGATCTGATGGGCTACAATATGGTCACAGATGTGACACTGATGTATCTACTGAAGCCATGTATGCTGCAACCAGACGAGAAGGGTTCAATGATTTTGTAAGAGGAAGAATTCTCTCAGGAAATGTTTTCTTGTTAAAATAAAAATATGAAAATTATTTCATCAAAGCACAGAAAGTGAGATGCCTCATTGCTAATGATTTTGTGAATGCTTTTAACTCTGGAGTATGCTAACTCCCACCACCTTGAGTAAGGCAGTACCATACCTGGAATTCATCAAAGAAGACCACAGAACAGGAAGTGCCCAGGATGATATTTTTACACAGGCTGTAAACATGGCAGGACTGTCAGCAGTGAGTAACCCTGTTGCACTCTCAAACCAAGCGTTGCCCACAGGGCTGCCGTTTACTGGACATGCATTTTGTGACTAGCAGCTTCTTACAGTAGCCAGATGGCTTGAAAAACAAGTAAAGTTTCCTGTTATTCAACTTCAAGAACTTATGGATGATTGTTCATCAATCCTTGAAAATGAAAAGTTAGTCTCTGTCTCTCTAACACAGTAGAGATAAATATATCATGCAAAATTTTTAAAAATTATTGCCTTTATACTATCAAGTTTATTTCCTATGAATATTGCATAAAATTCTGTTTATTCAAGTCCTTTCTTGTTCTTCAATGATCACATAATTGCCATACATTAATAATTTTTATTGAATATACAACATGCTAAAATTTATGGGATGGATATAAGGCAAAGCTTAGAGGGAAATTTATAGTTTTAAATACCTATATCAGAAAAGAAGAAAGCTATCAGATTAATATTCTATGGTTACATCTTAAAAAAACTAGAAACAGGGCCAGGCGCAGTGACTCACACCTGTAATCCTAGCACTTTGGGAGGCTGAGGTGGGTGGATCACGAGGTCAGGAGATCGAGACCATCCTGGCCAACATGGTGAAACCCTGTCTCTACTAAAAATACAAAAATTAGCCGGGCGTGGTGGCATGTGCCTGTATAGTCCCAGCTACTCAGGAGGCTGAGGCAGGAGAATTGCTTGAACCCAGGAGGCAGAGGTTGCAGTGAGCCAAGACAGCGTCACTGCACTCCAGTCTGGGCGACAGAGCAAGATTCCATCTCAAAAAAACAAACAAATAAACAAAAACCTAGAAACAGAAGAGTAAATTAAACCCAAAGGAAGCAGAATTTCTCTCTTTTTTAATTAAAATTTTTTTTTATTGTTGAGACAGGGTATCATTTTTTTACTCAGGCTAAAAGTGCAGTGGCATGATCTTGGCTTGCTGCAGTCTTGACCTCACCAAGTTCAGATGATCTTCCCAAATCAGCCTCCCAAGGAGCTGGGACGACATGAAGGAGTCATCACGTCTGGATAATTTTTGTATTTTTTTCCTAGATGGGGTTTCACCATGTTGCCCAGGCTGGTCTCGAACTCCCATGCTCAAGCGATCCACCTGCCTCAGGCTCTCAAAGTGCTGGGATTATAGGCATGAGCCACCACATCTGTCCTTATTTTCATGTTTTAGAGATTGTGTCTCATTCTGTCACCCCAATTGGAGTGTAGCAGTGTGATCACAGCTTACTGCACCCTTGAATTTCTGGACTTAAGTGATCCTCCTGCCTCAGCCTCCTGAGTAGCAGGGACTACAGGCACATACCAACAAGTGAGGCTAGCTTAAAAAAATTTCTTTTGTCTTTAAAGACAGAGTCTCACTATGTTGCTCAAGCTGGTCTCAAACTCCTGGCCTCAAGTGATCATCCTCTTTCAGCCTCTGCCAAGTGCTGAGATGACAGGCATGGGGCATCATGCCTGCCACAGAATGTTTTATAAAATATAAAAGAGGTTGAGTATGATGGCTCACACCTGTAATCCCAGCACTTTGGGAGGTTGGGGTAGGAGGATGGCTTGAAGCCGGAGGTTTGAGACCAGCCTGGGCAACAAAGCAAGACCCCGTCTCTACAAAAAATAATTTTAAAAAGTGAGCTGGGCCTGGTGGTGTACACCTGTGGTCCCAGCTACTTAAGAGGCTGAGTAGGGGGATGGCTTAAGCCCATTTCAAGGCTTCAGTGAACCATGATCAATCATGGCACTGCACTTCAGCCTGGTGACTGAATAAGATCCTGTCTCTTAAAAAAAATACAGTACTACAAAAAATAAATAGGTAGGGCACAGTGGCTCACGTCTTTAATCCCAGCACTTTGGGAGGCCGAGGTGGGCGGATCACCCGAGGTCGGGAGTTCATGACCAGCCTGACCAACATGCAGAAACCCCATCTCTACTAAAAATACAAAATAAGCCGGGTGTGGTGGTGCATGCCTGTAATCCCAGCTACTCGGGAGGCTGAGGCAGGAAGATCGCTTGAATCTGGGAGGCGGAGGTTGTGGTGAGCCGAGATAGTGCCACTGTACTCCAGCCTGGGCAACAAGGGCGAAACTCCGTCTCAAAAAAAAAAAAAAAAAAAAAAAAAAAATATATATATATATATATATATATATATATACACACACATAAAATATCAAAGACTAGAATGGAAAACAAGAAAATAGAAAGCAGAAAAAGTATAAAGAAAATCAATGATATCAAAAGTTTGTTCTTTGAAAAGATCAACAAATATGACAAATAGTTAGACTGGCCAATAAAATAGGAGAGAAGACATAAATTAACAAAATCAAGGATGAAAGCGGATATAGCCATTAAAAAGAATGAAATCATGTCCGGTGCAGCAACATTTAGCAACATGGATACAGCTGGAGGCCATTATTCTAAAGCAAATTAACATGGGAACAGAAAATCAAATATCATATACTCTCATTTGTAAGTGGGAGCTAAACACTGGGTACTCATGGACGTAAAAATGGCAATAATAGACATTGGGAAGTACTAGAGGGACAAGGGTTGAAAAACAGTTAGGTACTATGTTCACCACCTGGGTGACAGGATCAGTCATACCCTAAACCTCAGCATCATGAGATATACACATGTAACAAACCTGCATATGCATCCCCTGAATCTAAAAATAAAGTTGAAACCATTAAAGAATAAATAAAAAGTTTATGTAATATTAAAAAAAAAGAATGAAAGGGGACATCACTATTGACCCTATAGGAATCGAAAGGATTACTCTAAGGAATAACTTGAACAACTTTCTACTAACAAATTTGTTCCTAGAAAGAAACAAATTATCAAACTGACTCAGAGAGATATATAAAATCTGAATAAACCTATAACAAGAAATTGAAGTAATAATTACAAATATCACAAAGAAAAGTCCAAGTACAAATGGTCTCACTTTTGAATTTTATCAACTATTTAAAGAAGAAAATGTTACCTACCACTCATTCACAAACTGTTTCAGAAAACAAGAGGGACCACTTCTAAACTTCTATAGCTATCTTAATAGTAAAGCCAAATAAAGATTGACAAACTACAATACAATATTCCTCATAAACAGAGAGGCAAACTGAAGTAAGCAACAAATAAAAAGGACTATAAATAGTGAGTAAATAGGATTTACCTCAGGTATGGAAAGTTGGTTTAACATTTGAAAATCAATTAGTAAAATACATAATATTAATAGAATAAATGACAAAAGCACCAATGACACTGATAATGATCGCATCAATAGATGGAGAAAAAGCATTTGGCAAACTACAATGCACATTTATGATTAAAAACTCTCAAACTAGAAACAGAACTTCTTCAACTGGATAAAAGGCATCTACAAAAACACTACAGCTAAAATCACATATAATGGTGAAGACTGACCATTATCTTTCTCCCTGAAATCAGGAATAATGCAAGAATGTCTGCTCTTTCTTGCCACTTTTATTTAATATTGTACTGGAGGCACAATAAACAGAAAAGAAAGAAAGAAGAAATCAAAGGCATCTGATTAAAAAAAAAAGTAACTGTACTCATTCACAGATGATATAACCCTACAGTAGAAAATCCAAAGGAATATACAATAAAACAAATAGAACTAGCAAACAATAAGTAAATAAACTAGAAACAACACAAATGTCCATTCTATTTAGCACTTTGCATTTTTCTTCCATCTCTGATTCATAGAGATTTCTGATATCAGGAGATATTTGTCTTGATGCTAATCTTGCTTTTTTGTTTTATAGTTTTATCATCAATGTTAATGTATCAGAATAAAGGAAGCAGTGGATCCAAAAATTTCCTATGGCATTTTGACTGCAAATCCTTCATCTATAATTTTTCTTATATTCCTAGTCAATCTGTTCTTGTATTCTTTATTTTCTTTTTATTAAAGCATCACCTATTAATTCATTTCAACTAACAACCCATTAAAGAACATTTTTCATATATTATCCTTTGTTTCAAATATGAAATACATATTTGAATTACTTACCAATACTATGAAACTGCCATCGCTGATGAATTCTTTCTGGAAGAAGTTGTAAAATTTTCTAAAAATCAATATAAAGAGAAAAAAAGAAAAGAATAAAACCAAGTAATGAGTTCACATCCTGCAAAATGTGAAAAATTAAAGGGCTCACTAAGTATAACAAATACAAAATAGGCCGGGCACGGTGGCTCACACCTGTAATCCTAGCGCTTTGGGAAGCTGAGGTGGGTGGATCACCTGAGGTCAGGAGTTCGAGACCAGCCTGGCCAACATGGTGAAACCCTGTCTCTACTAAAAATACAAAAATTAGCCAAGTGTGGTGGCAGGCGCTTGTAATCCCAGCTACTCAGGAGGCTGAGGCAGGAGAATCGCTTGAACCCAAGAGGCAGAGGTTACCGTGAGCCGAGATCACGCCACTGCCCTCCAGCCTGGTCAATAAGAGCAAAACTCCGTCTCGAAACAAAACAAAACAAAACAAACAAACAAACAAAAAACTACAAAATAGTCCCTGAGCTAATTTGATAGTATTGACATTATTTTAGCACTGGCATGTTGATCACTATTTGAAAGCCTCAAAAAACAACAAGCAATACTAACCAGTACTTAGAACAAGAAATTAACAAAATACATCTTTTACAATAATATAGAAGGTATATGTTTTCCTAATGATTAAATGCTAATTCTAATATATTTAAAATGCTTATTTACTATTTCTAGATTTTCTTTTTTTTCCCCCTTTAGAGACAGAGTCTTGCTATGTTGCACAGGCTGGAGTGCACTGGCTATTCAGAAGCATGATCATAGTGCATCACAGCCTTAACTCCCAGACTCAAGCAATCCTCCTGCCTCAGTCTCCCAACAAGGTGGGAATACAGGCACACACCACTATGTCTAGCAATTCCTAGAATTTCTATATTGTGGATATCACTGATGAGTTTCAATTCTTTCAGATATTAATATTTGTGACATTTTCTCTTTCTTCTAATGGTTCTTTCTCCTATCTTGATAATCCTAGAGAAAGTATTTTGATTTCATGAGAACCCCATCAAATATTTATACTGAGTTAATCATGTGAAACTAGAGGTACTTAGATGCTATGATGGATATAGGTATGAGAGCAAATTTTTTTTTTAAGAGGTGGGGGTTTCACCCTTTCACCCTGGCTGGAGTGCAGTGGTGTAATCATAACTCACCACAGCCACAAACTCAAGGGTTCAAGTGATCCACTCGTCTCAGCCTCCCAAATAGGACTACAAGTGTGTGCCACCATGCCCAGCTAAATTTTTTTTACTATTTTTGTGGAGATGGAGTATTACTATGTTGTCCAGGCTGCGCCCAAGCTTCAGGCCTCAAGCAATCCTCCTGCCTTGGCCTTCAAAAGTGCTGGGATTACAAGCATGAGCCACTGCACCCGGACAGAGAGCAGGATTTAAAATTTTAGGAGCCCTGTAGTTAAGCTAACATATATAGGTTTCCATTAATTGGTAATAAAATCTTTACACAAATATGTTCAAAATTCTGCCTTTTATTTCCCTTAATATTATACCTGTTTGGATTATTCTCGATCAAGAGCTACCTTACTGCTAAACAGTGCTCTCAATACTCATCCACTTGCTGAATGACATTTTTGTGTGTTTGCTGTTATTGCTGTTCTTACTATTATTTAGAACTCCATTAAATGAATGCTAATAAGGGCCAAACACTAGGCACTTTATTATATATGTATATTAATTAATATACCTTGCATTAATCCTTGCAATCATTCCAAAAGGAGGGTTTATCTCATTCAACAAATGAAGAAATGGGTTAAGTAGTGCACTTAGGTTACAAAGCTAGAAAGTGAAAGAACAGAGGTTCCAAATTCAATACGCCTATTTCTAAAACCTCTGCCTTGATAATATACTGCTCAAATGATGACATGCATATTTTATATTTCCTTGTCTTCTCGTTGATATCATCTTCTTTAGTAAACCCCATATGAAAGGATGATAAAGAAATTTTAAAGTTCTACACAGATAAATGCTGGTCCCACATGAGACACATAAACTCTTTTACCTTTGTCCTCCCTATGTCTCCCACAGCTGGCCAACAACTGCATAATTATATTTATTTTTGTATAGAAAGAGATAAACTTATAGAAAAGTTGAAAAGACAAATTTGTAAACTATTCAAAAGCATTTCTAAATTACAACTAATAATTATACTTTAGATTTAGCCCCTTATATTTTTATATGGTAAATAAAAGATTAAAGAGATTACATGTGCCCTAAACTGCACAGAATATAAAACCTCTACCATATTATTAGTAACAACACATAATGATGCTTTTTATTCCAGAAGAAGGAAATCATTTTATTTCTGATTTCTTTTTCATCATCAGTTTCTAAAGGTAGAGGCCCCCTACTATAAGTAGAACGTCAGCACAAAAATCAAATGATTTTTTCAAAAGATGAAAACCTGGTATCTCAGATCTTTTTTCTAATAAAATTTAGTGATCCATTAAAGACAAACATTTCTATGTAAAGAATAAAAAATAATCAATATATATTACATATAGAAAAATAGTTATTTTTACATATAAGGAATACTCCAAAAGGGCTTCTATTAACTAATCAATCATCTCAGTTTCCTGAATCTAAGGCAAGCGTAAACATTTGAAGGAATACTTTCCAAGAATCATTAGCTTGCTTTCTCTGTGGATATTTTTATTCTTTCTCAAAGCAACTACGTTTCAATATTCCCCTTGTGAACAGTTCATGCAAACACTTCAGGAAGTAATATAATCAAATTCCTCAGGGGTCACGACTAATGAAAATTAACTGCAGAACAGATACTAACATCAGCGTTACTACTGTTTGGAACTCTTAAAAAAAATTCTTTTTTTCCCCCCTTAACTAAATCAACAGCTAAGAGACATATAAATGAGGTTGTTCAAATTCTAAATTACATCAAAATACTAAAGAGTGAATTATTATTATTATTATTATTATTATTTTTGAGACAGGGTCTCACTCTCTTGCCCAAGAGTGCAGTGGCACAATCACGGCTCACTATAGTTTCGACCTCCTGGGTTCAAGGGATCCTCCCACCTCAGCCTCCTGAGTCACTAGCACTACAAGCGCCTGCCACCACCATGCCTTGGCTAACTTTTTTGATTTTTAATAGAGACTAGGTCTTGCAGTGTTGCCCAGGCTGGTTTCTAACTCCTGAGCTCAAATGAACCTCCCACCTCAGCCTCCGAAAGTGCAGGGATTACTTTGAACCACCACATACAGCCAAGAGTGAATTATCTTTAATTAGCACCAGACAGAATAGCTCAATCTTCAGAAACTGATTTCCAAATTATTTTCTATGCATATTCCTGGCTTTCTACAGGTCTCGAAATTCTCAGTGAAGATCAGAATACTCCTATGACTGTTTATCTGTTTACTTTGAAAGACAATAAAGAGCAAGGAGTTATTTTAAAAGGGGAGTAAAAGGGTCTTAATTTTTAAGTGTGCTAAAAATTAAAAAAAAAAACTAGCAGAGCATCAAAATTTTGTTCATTTACCTATGAGCTATGTTTCCTGACTTTTATTTATAAAGACTTGCCCCATTTCCAATCTAATGTAAAATGACAATTTTTAAAATATTTAAGACTATTTTAAACAAGTTTGCAATGAAAAGCAGTGAACCAAGAAACAATAAATCCCTTAGGCACATAAAAGTTACAGGAATATACCTTCTTAGGTAAGAATGTTTTGGAGTTAAAACAAAATCAAATTTTCCATTTCAGTAAACCTTCGACAAATTAAAATCTTCATTGTTTGCAAACACACTGAATATCATACCAATTTTGTGGTGTCAAATGTATAAAAACATAATTATATCTGTACCAAAAAGTAATACATTGTACCTCAAAAAGTATAGGATTCAGTCAGGCATATTTAAAAAATTTAGATTTAGTTCTTAGAAAGGCTGGCAAATTCAGAGTGTTTCATTACATGTTTTATAATTTAAATATATTCCTTTGTATGTTCCAAAAATTATTTTTGAAAAAGGGAAAAGTTAGGTTCAGAAGCACTTACCTCAAAAATAAAAAGTATAGCATCCAATTCCTCTCTTTGAGACTTGTGACCTAAAACATTTTTATAAGAAAACATTTAAAACATATCATTTTGTCCTCATAATGAACTTAAAATATTTCAAGAATGAAGGTTTTTTTTTTCCCAGCAATTATTTAGTAAAATGTTTAAAGCATATTCCATTCATTGTGTAGACAATATCACAGTCACTCTCTTTACTCTTTTGAGTACTGTAATTAAATTTAGGTTCCACATATTTATGTCTAGAAACAAATCATGATATATTACAAAGAACTTCAAATAAGCTCTGAAAATGAAAATATGAAAATGACTGCTCAAATGTGACATATGCTCCTAGGGCAGAACCAAAGAAGGCACAATGAGGGAACAAATCAACCTGACCAGTGAAAAAGCAAATCTTCAAGCCATTGTAAAGTAATAAGGATAGTAATACTAACCCATCAGTTGTCTTTAAAATACAGGTCACTAGACCTATGATAGTAGTGTGAGAGGGAAAGCAAAAAGCTGTCCGACAAAAATAAGTGAAACAATATGTCCAACAGCCTTTAAGTTATGTTTATGACAATTATTAGAAATATTAACATACGCCAAGATATATGTTAGCATCTTACCTTTCTGTTTAAGACTAGCTTCAATAGTCACAAAATTTTCAAAGAACACATAGTATATATGTGAAAAATGTTGGTCGAAAAACTGTTTAAGATCAATAGATTCTGCATTCTCTGAAAAATAAAAAAAAATTACTGATTATTTACATGTATGTTAAATCAAGTTTAGCAAATATTCAGCGACAAGTTTCCTTCAAAGTCAAAGAACTGCTCCTAAAATTCTATTCTATTAAAATATTTACAATATATATTTCTATGTCTATATCCTCGTTCTTAAAACTTTAGTCTTTGCCGATTTTAGTTTTAATTTTAAAAACTGATCAAGAAAACAATAGCTCAGAAAAACTTATTCAAAATCATTAATCATACCAAAAAAAGAAGTTAAGTTCTATTTTCAATTCACAGCTACAGCTTTCCTAACTTCTCCCCAAGACAGTTGAAAATCAGAATAATAATTTATGATGTCTGAAGGCCAGGTATGGTGGCTCACGCCTGTAATCCCAACTTTGGGAGGCCAAGGTGGGCAGATACCTGAGGTCAGGAGTTCGAAACCAGCCTGGCCAACACAGTGAAACCTCATCTCTACTAAAAATACAAAAATCAGCTGGGTGTGGTGGCGTGCACCTGTAATCCCAGCTACTTGGGAGGCTGAGGCACGAGAATCACTTGAACCCAGGAGGTGGAGGCTACAGTGAGCCAAGATTGCGCCACTGCACTCTAGCCTGGGAAGACAGAGTGAGACTCCACCTTGGGGAAAAAAAAAAAAAAGAAGAATTTATAATGTCTGAAATATATTTATTCTGTAAATAGGTACCTAACAATAGGCTTTGTAAATAGGTACTTAGGGATTAAAAAGCTCAAACACAGACAGTACTGCTCTAAAGAAACTGTCAGTAAGAGCAGGGCATGCAAAATTAAATGAATAACTATATGAACAGTAGAAGTGTTAGTACTAAAAGTGAGATGTCAAAGTATATGGCAGTTTAGAAACACAAGAGTACTTTCAAAGCTCAATAAAGCACAAAGGTGGGGAAAGAAAA
This sequence comes from Homo sapiens, assembly GCF_000001405.40. Lineage (NCBI taxonomy): Eukaryota > Metazoa > Chordata > Mammalia > Primates > Hominidae > Homo > Homo sapiens. Next base: position 35,776,672 of record NC_000014.9, read on the forward strand.
AAGGCCTGACAGAGTACATAATATCTGAAAAGACTTTTAAGGACAGGAAGAACACTAGACATAAAGTGGTGGAGTTGAATGGAAAGGGCATTCAAGGCATAAAAAATACATGGAGCAAGAAAAACGTGAGGTATGCATGTATACACATGTAACAAACCTGCACGTTGTGCACGTGTACCCTAGAACTTAGAGTATAATAAAAATTTTTTTTAAATTTACTATTTACTATGAAGCTTTAAAAAAAAAAAGTCAAAGTGGCCTGGTTCTCTCATAATCTCTGAGATCCAGATTGGAGAACTGTAGTTTCTGGGTCCCTCTTGGAAGAGATTAGCAAATGCATAATCAGCAATCTGTCTCAATCAGTGCTGTCTCCTAGAAATATAATGCAAGCCACAAATATTAGCTACATATGTGATTTTAAATTTCCTTGTAATCACATTTTAAGAAATAAAATGACACGGGGAAATTAATTGTAATAATATATTTTGTTAACAAAATATATTTAAGATACCATTTTTAAGTGCTACCAATAAGAACCTATTAACGAAAAACAAAAGAAAAGAAAAACGTGAGGTATGATAGTATCCAGAAAAATAATCCATTTTGGCTAAAGCTTAGAGCATTTTAATAAAAATAAACAAGTAGACTTGAGATATGCTTGCATGTACTTATGCATATGTATATGTATTTATGCATAGAAGATACCAAACAACTAGGCAGCGTTACCTCTAGGGAGCATGACTAGTTTTATTGTTGCTTAGCTCATTTTCAGTGTAAGTGAGAATGCTGGTGAAAAAGAGTGGAGAAATTCTACTTTATGTACTTCCTACTATTCCAAATTGTTTACAAAAAGCACATTACTTCTCTTACAATACAAAATAGAATTTTTTGTTTCTGTTTTATTTTTTTGAGATGGTGTCTTGCTCTGTGGCCCAGGCTGTAGTGTAGTGGTACAATCTCGGCTCCCTGCAACCTCCACCTCCAGGGTTCAAGCGATTCTCCTGCCTCAGACTCCCGAGTAGCTGGGATTACAGGTGCCCACTATCACACCTGGCTAATTTTTATATTTTCAGTAGAGATGGGGTCTCACTATGTTGGCCAGCCTGACCTCAAGTGATCCGCCCGCCTCAGTCTCCCAAAGTGCTGGGATTACAGGTGTGAGCCACTGTGTCCAGCCTCAAAACATAATTTTAAAAGGCAACTGAAAAAATAAAAGATTTTTGAAAGGAAACAAAGAAACCATTGTAAATAAACTCAAGTTAAAGGTAAACATCAATTAATTTCTTAGAATGCACTAAGGCTCAACATAAGATTTCAAAATAAAGTACAGTAACAACATATAGATAGCACTTTAAACTCTTTCATGTATTATCATATCCTACGAATATTCATTACAATTTTGGGGGGGAGACAGGGTCTCACTCTATCACCCAGGCTAGAGTGCTGTGGCATGATTACAACTCACTGCAGCCTCAACCTCTTGAGTTCAAGCAATCCTCCCACCTCAGCCTCCAAAAGTACCTGGGACCCAGGTCTCCCCACCACACCTAGCTAATTTTTGTAGAGATGGGGTCTTGTTATGTTGCCCAGGCTGTTCTCAAACTACTGGGCTGAAGCAATCCTCCTACCTTGGTCTCAAAGTGTTGAGATTACAGGCGATAGCCACAACACCTGGCATAGTAACTTTTTAGTGATGTCTTATCTATGTGATTTTCCAAGACTGTTTTTTGTTCTGCCATTCCAAAAGGAAAGGGATATATGCCTTTCCTCTCTATTCCCTTGGATTCTGTACATTTCTCTTTTATGGAAAGAACAATGTTTCAAATGTCTTATTGTCTTTCTTCCAGGACTAGTCTAGCATCTTTAGAATAGAAACTGTGTCTACCTCAGGATTTCTAAAAATTGGCACAATGCTGAGCAAACAATATGTACTCAAATGTGTTTTATTACTAACAAAATTAATTATTTTTACTTCATTATATTCAGTTCATACAATATGGAAATTTTTACCTTGGAAAAGACTGCATAACCTACTGACAGGCAAAATAGAACTGCCTCCTCTTGACTGGAATTAGAATACCCAGATTTCACTCCTGTCTGTAACACTTACTACCTATGTGACTTTTCACAGAACTAGACAAAATAATAATGTGTAACACAAAGCGAATGTTTTCTAAACAATGCACACTATTCTCAGCACTCCACAGAAACTAATTCCTATAATCTACATAGCAATACTATGAAATTAGTACCATTATTATCTCCATTTTACAGGTGAGAAAATTTAGGTACAGAGAGTCTAAGAAACTTAGCTCATAAGAAGTAGAGTCAGGATTTAAACAACAGGTAACCCTAGATCTATTCAGCCTCCAATGTAATACATCTGTAAAAAAAGAATACTAAATATTTATCTATTATCTGCCTATAAGAATAATAGTCATCAAATACTAGTTAAATATAGTTTATCAAATATCAAAATAAAAGCACATACAACTGAAATAAAGAGGAAAGGTGTTCTAGTTTTCCCACAGAGTAGTTTAAAGAATTATGAAATTAGAATAAAACAGGCTTGGGCTGGGCAAGGTGGTTGACATCTGTAATCCCAGTACTTTAGGAGGCTGAAGTGGGAGGGTTGTTTGAGGCCAGGAGTTTGAGATCAGCCTGGGCAACACATTGAGATTCCATTTCTACAAAACTAAAAAATCAGCCAAGCATGGTGGCATGTGCCTCTAGTCCCAGCAACTCTGGAGACTAAGGTGAGGGAATCCCTTGAGCCTAGGAATTTAAGTTAAGTTGCAGTGTGCTATGATTGAGCCAATGCACTCCAGTCTAGGCAACAAAGCGAGACCTTGTCACTAAATAATAATAATAATAATAATGAAATAATAATAAAGAAATAATAAATAATAATAAAGAAATAGGCTGCTACAATTACCTCTAAATTTCCTAAAATTAATGTTTCAAAGACACAATGTTCGAGGAAAAAAAAGAAAATGAGAACAATAACAAAGCAAACCAAAAAAACACAACAAAAGCAAACATGAATCAACTCAAGATTTTGCGACATATTAGGAGCCAAAGTATTCTCTCTCAATTTCCTTCCCATAAGGCATGCTAACAAAGTCTGGAAATTATTTACTTTCTAACGCTAATAAAAATGATCAAAATTAGGCTGGGCGCAGTGGCTCACGCCTATAATCCCAGCACTTTGGGAGGCTGAGGTGGGCGGATCATGAGGTTAAGAGATTGAGACCATCCTGGCCAACATGGTGAAACCCTGTCTCTACTAGCTGGGCGTGGTGGTGGGCGCCTGTAGTCCCAGCTACCAGGGAGGCTGAAGCAGCATAATCGCTTGAACCCAGGAGGTGGAGGTTGCAGTGAGTCAAGATCGCATCACTGCACTCCAGCCTGGGTAACAGAGCTAGACTGTCTCAAAAAAAAAAAAATTATTGCTAGAGAAGAAGGACATTTTATAATAGTTAAAGGGTTAATCTTTTAAGAAGATATAACAATTGTGAACATATATGCACTTAACAACAGAACTCCCAACCCCCAAAGCAGAAACTGAACAGAACTGAATTGAAGGAATATACACACAATTCAACAATGGTAATTTAAGAGTCAACACTCTACTTTCAATAATGAATAGAACTAGACAGAAGGGAAAATAGAAGACCTAAACAATACTATAATGCAGCCAGATCTAACAGACATCTATCGAATGCCCATCTAACAACAAAAGAATACAGTCTTTTCAAATGCACATGGTATACTATCCAAAATAGACCATATGTAAGGCCATAAAATAAACTTCAGTAATTTAAAAGGACTGAAGACAAAGTATGTTATCTGGCCACAGTGGAATGAAATTAGAAATCAATAACATAAGGAAATTAAGAAAACTCACAAATATGTGGAAATTTAGCAATACACAACTAAATAACCAATTGGTCAAAGAAAAATCACAGGAGAAGTTAGAAAATCTTTGAGATGAATGTAAATGAAAATACAACATACCAAAACTTATGGCATCCAGCTAATCCAGTGCTGACAGAAAAATCTATAGCTTTAAATTGCTATATGAGAAAGAAATCTGAAAATCGAACCATAATGTTCCACCTTAGGAAGTAAGACCATTGGCTGGGTGCGTTGGTTCACGCCTGTAATCCCAACCCTTTGGAAGGCCGAGGCAGGAGTCTCAATTGAGCCCAGCAGTTTACAACCAGCCCGGGCAACTTAGTGAGACTCCATTTCTACAAAGAAATTAAAAATAGCCAGGTGTGGTCATACATATATACGAAAATAAAGAGCAAACTAATCCTAAAGCACAAAGAAGGAAATAAAGATTAGAAAGGACATAAAAGAAATAGAGACCCCCCAAAAAAAATCATTAAACAAAAATTGGTTCTTTGAAACACTCAAAAAACTTGACAAACTGTCAGCTAGACTGTCCAAACTGAAAAAGACATAAGATTCAAATCACTAATCTGGACTGGAATATAATACATTACTACTAACCCTACAGAAATAAAAATTATAAGAGGATACTATGAGCAACTGTATGCTAGCAAATTACACAGCCTATATGAAATGAACAAATTACTAGAAAGTCACAAACCACCAAAACTGACTCAAGAAGAAATAGAAATTCTGAAACAACCTACAATGAATGAGAAGATTGAATTAGTGGGGGAAAAAAAACTACTTCAAAGAAAAGCTTGGACTCAAATGGCTTATGGGTGAATCCTACCAACTCTTCCAAAAAATAGAGTATATTTCCCACTCATTCTATGAGGCCAATATTCTCATATGAAAATCAGACAAAAACATTACAAGAAAAATACAGACCAATATCCTTTATGAATATGAATGTAAAAATCCTCAACAAAATACTAGAAAACTGAATCTATCTATCTATCTATCTATCTATCTATCTACACACACACATACACACACACTCACTATGACTAAGTGACATTCATCCCAGAAGGCAAGGTTGGTTCAACATATAAAAATCAATCACTGTAATACCTTATGTTAACATAAAGGTCAAAACTCACATGATAGTTTCAATAGACACAGAAAAAACATCTGACAAAACCCAATATAATTTCATCCTAAAGATACTCAAAAAGCTAGGAAAAGAAAAGTATTTCTTAACCTGATAACAGGTATCTATGAAACGGTCACAACTAACAACACACTTAGTGAAAAAAGACTGAAAGCTTTACCCCTAAAAGCATGAACAAGACATGGATGTCTTTTTGTTACTTTTATTTAATATTATACTGTAAATTCTAGCCAAGACAATTATGCATGAAAAAGAAATAAAAGCCACACACATTGTAAAGTCCAAAGCATTACTATCTCTACTCATAAATGACATGATCTTGGATATCGAAAATCCTAAGGAATCCACCAAAAAATCCTATCTGACTGACAAACAAGCTCAACTAGGTTGCAGAATACAAGATTAATAAGAAAAATCAACTGTATTTCTATACACTGGCAATGAACAATCTAAAAGTGAAATTAAGCAAACAATTCCATTTACAATAGTTTGAAATAGAATAAAATACTTAAATTTAACAAAAGAAGTACAAGACTTGTACACTGGAAACTACAAAACATTACTGAAAAAAATTAAAGACTAAAACAAATGGAGACATTCTGTGTTCATGAGTAAGACTGAATGCTGTTAAGATAGCAACAGCCCCCAAATATACCTAAAGATTCAATGTACTCTTTTTTTTCTTCTATTTTTTCTTTTTTTTGAGACAGAGTATCACTCTGTTGCCCAGGCAGGAGTGCAGTGGCTCAATCTCGATCTCGGCTCATTGCAACCTCCGCCTCTCAGGTTCAAGAGATTCTCCTGCCTCAGCATCCAGAGTAGCTGTGATTACATGCATGTGCCACCACACCCAGCTAATTTTTGTATTTTTAGTAGAGACGAGGTTGGCCAGGCTGGTCTTGAACTCCTAACCTAAGGTGATCCACCCGCCATGGCCTCCCAAAGTGCTGGGATTACAGACATGAGCCACCACACCCAGCCTCAATGTACTCTTTACCAAAATCCTAACATAGTTTTTTGCAAAAACTGACAAGCTAATCCTAAAATTCAAAAGAAAATGCAAGTGACCCAGAATAGTCAAAACAGTATTTTTTTTTTTTAAATGGAGTCTCGCTGTTACCTAGGCTGGAATGCAGTGGTGCAGTCACAGTTCACTGCAGCCTCAACCTCCCAGACTCAAGCAATCCTCCCACCTCAGCCTCCTGAGTCACTGGGACTACAAGTTTATGCCATTACACCTGGCTCATTTTTTAAATTTTTTGTAGAGACAGGCATTGCCACATGTTGCCCAGGCTGGTCTCAAACTCCCGGACTCAAGTGATCCTCTCACCTCTACTCCCAAAGTCCTGAGATTACAGGCATGAGCCACCAAGAACAATGCTGGAGAACTGACATTGTCTCATTTCAAAACTTACTACAAAGCTACACTAATCAACAGAGTGTAGTACCGGGATAAGGATAGACATATAGATGAATGGAACAATTGAGAGTTCAGAAATAAATCCTTACACTGATGATCAACTGATCATCGACAAGGGTACCAAACAACTCAAGGAGGAAAAGGAGGGAAAAAAAAAGTATTTTTAACAAATGGTTGACTTTTTTTTCCTCATTGAGTTGTTTGGTACCCTTCAAAAGTCTTTTCAACACACAGTTGAAAAGAATGAAGACTATACTTGAAAAATTAACTCAAAATGGATCAAAAACCAAAAACCTAAATGTAAAAACTAAAATTATAAAACTCAGAAGAAAACATGACCTTGAATCAGTCAATTCTTTCTTAGATATGACACTAAATGCACAAGCAATAAAAGAAAAAATAAATTTGACTTCATCAAAATTCAAAACCTTTTTGCTTCAGAGGACACTATCAAGAAAATGAGAAAATAACCTACAGAATGCAAGAAAATATTTGCAAATTATATACCTGATTTTAAAACATTAGTCTCCAGAATATAGAAAGAATTCTTATAATTCAATTGTAAAACAAAAATTTTTAATGGTCAAAGGATTTGAATATATATTTCTCCTAAGAAGATATACAAATAGCCAGTAAGCTCATGAAAAAACGTTTAACATCATTAGCCATCAGGGAAATGCAAAGCAAAACCACAATGAGATACTACTTCTAACCCACTATGATAGCTATAATCAGAAAGACAGACAATACCAAGTGTTGGCAATATGGGAAAATTTGAATCTTTGTACACTGCTGGTGGGAATATAAATGATGAAGCCACTCTGGAAAACAGTGTGGCAGGTCCCTAAAAAGTTTAATATAGAGTTATCATATGGCCCAGCAATTCCATTCCTAGAACATTACATACCCAAGAATTGAAAACATAAGATCAGGCTGGGCAACATGGCAAAAGTGTCTCATCTCTATCAAAAAAAAAAAGAAAAAGAAAGAAAATGTATGCCCACACAAATGTTTATAATGTTATTATTCATAATGGTCAAACAGTGGAAATAACCCAAATGTCCATCAATTGATGAATGGATAGACAAAATATGGTATAATCCATACAATGAATATTATCTAGCCGTAAAAAGCACGAAATAGTATTATAAGCTACAATGTGATGGACTTTGAAAAGATTATGCTAAGTGAAAGAAGCCAGACACAAAAGGCCATATATTTATTATTCTATTTATATGAAACATGCAGAAGAGTCAACCACAGAGATGGAAAGTATCTAATGGCTGGCAGGGGCAGGAAGTAAGGAGAAATGGGGAGTGATTGCTAAAAGGTATGAGTTTCCGTTTCTTTTCCTTTTTTGCTGATCTATTCCTTTTAGCTCATCTAATATTCAACCCCTTGACATCCTAATTTGTGAGATCTGCCAGACCCTACCTGGCTAACTGAATCTGAGAGCTATACCTTCTTGGCCAGGCTGAAAAGAATTAACCTAAAAAGAAGCTGAAGAGCTCATGGAGATCAGACTGAGAAAGGCAAATTTTTTTTTCCTAAGTCTAGATATTACAAACTGTTATATCATCAAGTTACTGATATTTATTGCAAGCAAAGCATTACCTTCACATTTATGCAGTTGAAGACTAGCTAGTTACTAGTATACCATTATTACAGAATACAAAATAATGTTATTTTTTAATTGAGTAGTCCGATGATAGGCGAGTAATCAAAATACAGTACTACTGGTCATGCATGGTGGTTCACATCCATAATCTCAACACTTTGGGAGGCTGAAGTGGGAGGATAGCTTGAGGCCAGGGGTTTGAAATTAGCCTGCCAATATAGCCAGACCCTATCTCTACAAGCAAATAAATAAATAAAAATGAAACAGTACTGCCAGTATTCTGTATCTAATTGTACATGTCCAAAACAGATAATTTCTTGATTCATTAAATCATTTCCCTAACACTCAAAGACATTATTTTGGATACTGAAAATAATTAAACATATGGTATCTGGAAATTTAAAATCTAAAGTGGCTAAAACAAATATAGGCAGACATTTTATAAACATTAAGTTTTTGCACAATGCAAATACTTTAAATTATAAAATGTGTTTAATAAAAATAATTACCCGTTCTTGCTTATATCTTGTTCCTTGAAATCTGAAAATGATGGATCTGATCTGATCTCTATCTGATCTGATCTTCACAGATAGCTTGAGAACCATTTGAATAAATAGATACAGTGCTTTGCAAATACTTTAAATTATAAAGAAGTAAAAAGAGGTTTTATATACTGGAAAATGCATTACACTGAATAAGGAAAATCCTATTATACTGGGAAGAGAAAATATACTTTGAAACAACAGAGGATAAAGGCAGAGGAAGTTAATTCTAAATGCACAGTATAGCTCGTGTTCTCAAACTGTCTGTGAAGGACCAGTTTTTTTGTTTTGGTTTTTAAATTCCAATTTGTCACAGACCAGTGCTTTACGACAAATGTATTACTAGAAAATAAGGTGAAAAGCACCAGGATTGGTCTACACCCCATTTCATAAGACAAGTCCACTAATCACATGCTTGGATATCACAGTACTGTCAAGCTGAGATGACCTTCTCAACACACTCAATTTCCATAATTAAGCTGTTGCAGAACTGTAATAACAGTCAGTAAACTAGTACCAGTTTGTGGACTACATTTTGAGTAGCAGTGGTTTTGACTATGGGAAGAAGGAATGGGCCAGGCACAGTGGCTTATGCCTGATACCAGCACTTTGGGAGGCTGAGGTGGGTGGATCACTTGTGCTTGCTCAAGAGTTCGAAACCATCTCTACAAAAAAATACAAAAAATTAGCTGGGCGTGGTAGTGCACACCTATGGTTCCAGCTACTCAGGAGGCTGAGCTGGGAGAATTGCTTGAGCCTGGGAGGCAGAGGTTGCAGTGAGCCGAGATTGTGCCACTGCACTCCAACCTGGGTGACAGAGTGAGACCTTGTCTCAAAAAGAAAAAAAAACATAAGAGAAGGAATGATACAGAGTTTCAGTGTGTAGGCTGAACAGCCTTGATAGTGGTGCTGGAGGTAAGAAATATGTTCCTGTTATAAATTCACCAGTAAAACAGGGTTTTAAAAAGTAGAGTGATACAGTCAGGGAAGTGGCATCATCTCCACTTCTGAAATCTTCATTAAAATCTGGTTACCAGCCAGGCGCGGTAGCTCAGGCCTGTAATCCCAGTATTTTGGGAGGCTGAGGCGGGCGGATCACGAGGTCACGAGGTCAGAAGATCGAGACCATCCCGGCTAACCCCGTCTCCATTAAAAAATACAAAAAATTAGCCGGGCGTGCTGGCAGGCGCCTGTAGTCCCAGCTACTCGGGAGGCTGAGGCAGGAGAATGGCGTGAACCCGGGAGGCAGAGGTTGCAGTGAGCCGGGATCACACCACTGCATTCCAGCACTCCGTCTCAAAAAAAAACAAAAAACAAAAAACTGGTTACCAAATCCATAAAGTATCTCTCCACAGTATCTCTCACAAACACTAGTTCTTTTCTATTTACCTTGCTATTAAATCGAAATTTTAAGGTCGAGGCCTAATATCTTTATTTTTAAAAGCTAGAAGGACCACTGCCTTCCACTTGCCTGCATTCATGTCTGTGCTCTTATCCTAACTGCTTTTCCTTCATGTCTTTTTTCAAAAAAAATCATATCAGACGAGTAATGTGCCAACATCATAAAAAGGTTTGTGGGACGTACATCTCATATATGAGTGTGAAAACCCAATCATCATGCTTATGAACTACAAAAGGCTCTCTTCCTTCACTTCTATCTATTGAAATTTTAATCATCATCTTCCAAGGCACAGATCAAATGTCCCTGCCCCATGAAGCCTTCTCTGAGCCACTCATTTAGATATGACTCTTCTCTCTTATACTCATAACATGTTTCATATTTGACACATGATTCTCTTTTACTATACCATTAACTCCTTTACTCCTTTAGTTACCCAAAATTTAGCAAAGCACTGTATCTATTTATTCAAATGGTTCTCACACTATCTGTGAAGATCAGATAGAGATCAGATCAGCTCCATCATTTTCAGATTTCAAAGAACAAGATATAAGCAAGAACGGGTAATTATTTTTATTAAACACATTTTATAAGAAATGGCATATTTACAGTAAGTGGCTTAGCCCTAAGAACAATTGATGGAAAAGGGAAGACGACTGGGAACCTTGAAGCTAACAATCTAAAAGAATTCACATTAAAACAACAAATTTTTGGTAACACAAACACACCTCTTATCCTAGTTATTCTATTTTAGGTTTGGGTGGAGAAGGAAAGAGTAATTGTTGCTAGGTGAATTCCTTGCATTTTTTGAAATAAATACCAACAAGAAATTTTATTTCCTTTCATTCATTTAATTCTCCTTTGTTTTCTAACACATAGCTTAAATAATTTTCTAATTTACCCATTTCTTTTTTTTTTGAGACAGGGTCTTGCTGCAGCTTCGACCTCTGGGCTCGTAATTCTCTCACCTCAGTCACCCAAGTAACTGGGACAACAGGTACATGTCACCACACCCAGCTAATTAAAAAAAAAAAAAAGTTGTAGAGATGGGGGTCTCACTATGTCGCCCAGGCTGGTCTCAAACTCCTGGGCTCAAGCAATCCTCCTGCCTTGGCCTCCCAAAGTGCTGGAATTGCAGTTGTAAGCCACTGCACCCAGACCCTAATTTACCCATTTCTAATAAAGACTGAGACAGAAGAACAGAATCTAAACCACATCAAGATCATTCAGGGATTTCTACTCAGTTTTTTATTTTATTTAATTTTTTTGAGATGGAGTCTCACACTGTTGCCCAGGCTGGAGTGCAGTGGTGTGATCTCAGCTCACTGCAACTTCTGCCTCCTGGATTCAAGCGATTCTCCTGCCTCAGCCTCCCGGGTAGCTGGGATTACAGGCACCCGCCACCATGCCCAGCTCATTTTTTGTATTTTTAGTAGAAACGGGATTTCATCATGTTGGCCAGCCTGGTCTCAAACTCCTGACCTCGTGATTTACCCACCTCGGCCTCCCAAAGTGCTAGGATTACAAGCTTCAGCCACTGCACCTGGTACTCAGTTTGTTTTTTTAAGAACAAATTCTACTTCTTAACATTAAGCAAGTCACAACATCCCTGATTCAATTTTATTTCCTTAAGGTTCCTATGAAAAGTCAAATGATGCTTGAATTTTTTCCATAAACTGTGGTTCAAATTCATTTTTTCATTCATATTTGAGGTGTTATTATTTTAATTTTATATACAGGTAAACTGAAGATCAAAAGTTTTAAATAAATAATATAGCTGAAGCCAGGCACAGTGGCTCATGCCTGTAATCCCAGTGCTTTAGGAGACTAAGGCAGGAGGATCACATGAGGCCAGGAGTTCAAGACCAGCTTCAGCAACATAGTGAGGGGTGGAGAAGCTACCCAATTCACAAATTCTTTGCTCAATTAAACTCTGTTAAACATAATTTGTCTAAAGTTTTTAACAAGGAAGATTATCTTATACCCTCTGCCATAATGTCATAAATATTTTTCAGTTAAAGTCCTGTTTTATATTTTTGTTTGTTTTTCTCTATTACATTATGGACCTTAGTTTATGAACCAAATTTCTTTGCACCAATACTTAAGACAACCCAAGGAATGCTGACTTTAATGTCTTTTCTATCATTGTCCATTGCTTGCTCATGAGTTGTTCACAAAACAGCAATTTTGCTCCCCTCAAACCTAGTATATTCATTCATGAACTAAATAATATTTACTGAACACTGATTATATGCCAGGCGCCATGCTAAGTCTAGGAATATGAACATGAAAAGATACACATCTGCCCTCAGGAAGGCAAGCAAATAAATAAATATGTTGTAATAAAAAAATCAAACTACTAGAGGGAAAGATGCTCAGTGTACAAAAAACTCCTATACCTACATGATAGGGAAGACTTCATAGAGGCTATCTATTGATTCTGCCCTGAGATTTTAAAGAAGACTAGAAGCTTTCAGATATAAGGGTGATGGGAAGGCAGTCTAGTATAAATATCATTAGCTACGGCACAGGTATCACAGACTATACATGTAAAGGATCTAGAATGCACCCTCCTTATAAGAATCTAATGCCTGATTGGTGGTGGCTCAGGCCTATAATCCCAGCACTTTGGGAGGCCGAGGTGGGTGGATCACTTGAGGTCAGGAGTTCAAGACCACCCTGGGCAACACGGTGAAATCCCATTTCTACTAAAAATACAAAATAGTCAGGGGTGGTGGCACACGCCTGTTGCCCCAGCTACTAGGGAGGCTGAGGCAGGAGAATCACTTGAACCTGGAAGGTGTAAGTTGCAGTGAGCCGAGATCGTGCCACTGCACTGCAGCCTGGGTGACAGAGCAAGACCCTGTCTCAAAAAAAAAATCAAATGCCTGAAGATCTTCTGAGGTGGAACAGTTTCATCCCGAAACCATTCCTCACCCCCACTGTCTGTAGAAAAACTGTCTTCTACGAAACTGGTCCCTGGTGTCAAAAAGTTTGGGGACCACTGATATAAAGAGTTAGAAGAAAAGAGATCTGGAGGACAGAACACCAGAAAATATCAACATTAAAGGTAGGATTTGGTTACATAAGAAAACTTTGGTCAACCACAAAACACCAGGGCTTGAATCACAGGAGCATAAGTGAAGCCACAAATTCCATTTCACAGCAGCTCTGGGCCCATGAAGTAGTCACCACGAGCAAAGCTCACCCTCCTGAGTTGAAAAAAATTTATAGACAAGAAGTCAGAATTGGCCGGGTGCAATGGTTCATGCCTGTAATCCCAGCACTTTGGGAGGCCAAGGAGGTGGATCTCTTGAAGCCGGGAGTTTGAGACCAGTCTAGCCAACATGGTGAAACCCCATCTCTACTAAAAATACAAAAATTAGCCAGGCATGGTGGCATGCACCTGTGGTCCCAGTTACTCCAAAGGCTGAGGCATGAGAATAGCTTGAACCCTGGAGGCAGTGGTTGCAGTGAGCCGAGATCTCACCACTGCACTCCAGCCTGGACGACAGAGTGAGACTCGTCTCAAAAAATAAACAAAAAACAAAAAAAAAGAAGTTAGAATTGAAGTTAAACTGTGGCAGACATGTTCAAAGAATTGTGGGGATCTTTGGGCAACAATGATATTGGAATGGTGGTAATATGAGGAAATAGTACCATAGTGTTAGAAACCTTGGAACAGGCCAAGCGCGGTAGCTCAGGCCTGTAATCCCAGCACTTTGAGAGGCCAAGGCGGGCGGATCACTTGAGGTCAGGAGTTTGTGACCAGCCTGGCCAACATGGTGAAACCCCATCTCTACTAAAAATACAAAAATTAGCCAGGTGTGCTAGCGGGTGCCTGTAATCCCAGCTACTCAGGAGGCTGAGGCGGGGGAATTGCTTGAACCGGGGAGGTGGAGACTGCAGTGAGCCTAGATCGCGCCACTGCACTCCAGCCTGGGTGACAAGAAGAGACTGTCTAAAAAAAAAAAAAAAAAAAGAAACCTTGGAACAAGTATAAATAATGATTGTTCAGCAGAGAAATTCAAGTCCCCTCTCCAAAGGGCCAATTTTATTATTACGTAAAAATCAGGTCATGTACATTTTCATATTAAACTTTTTGTTAAACTTTTGTAACAGAAGTCTGCAAAAGGGTAATCGCTTAAATGGAATAGTAGCGTAGTTATTTAAGTATATCAAATACAGTGAACATGAGAAGTTAAAAGAGCAATTTCATTATCTATTAAAAGTCCTTAAAATGGTAGCAACAGATGAAGCAGTCTTAAGATGATAAACCAGGTACTGAAGTCCTTGATAAACTTAATGAAGTGACCCAGGAGGTTGAGAAATAAGAGCAGCGACAAAGTTTGAAAGATGGTGTGCTCCAGCAGCATGCACCCCAAAACAAGAAGAATTTTCAGATGGGTGCTGAAGTATAATAGCAGCAACAGAGGCATAACAGTAGCAATATTACAATAGTAGGAAGGCTGACTTCTTCAGGCATGGGAGAATCCATCACTTATTAGAGCACGGATACAAGGAGATCTGCATCTTCAGAGGAGAATTAGAATTCAGATAAGGGCATATGCAACATATGTCTTTCACCTTAACTTAACGTGCAAAGTATTTACATTAAAAAGGTATAATCCCAGCACTTTGGGAGGCCAAGGCAGGTGGATCACCTTAATTCAGAAGTTCGAGACCAGCCTGGCCAACATGGCAAAACTCCGTCTCTACCAAAAATACAAAAAAATTAGCCGGGCATTGGTGGCAGGCGCCTGTAATCCCAGCAACTCGGGAGGCTGAGGCAGGAGAATTGCTTGAACCTGGGAGGCGGAGGTTGCAGTGAACTGAGATCGCGCTATTGCACCCTAGCCTGGGAGACAAGAGCGAAACTCTGTCTCAAAAAAAAAAAAGTATGGGCTGGGCACGGTGGCTCACACCTGTAATCCCAACACTTTGGGAGGCTGAGGTGGGCGGATCACGAGGTCAGGAGATCGAGACCATCCTGGCTAACATGGTGAAACCCCGTCTTTACTAAAAATACAAAAAATTAGCTCGGCGTGGTGGCGGGCGCCTGTAGTCCCAGCTACTCAGGAGGCTGAGGCAGAAGAATGGCGTGAACCCAGGAGGTGGAGCTTGCAGTGAGCCGAGATCTGCCACTGCACTCCAGCCTGGCCGACAGAGCGAGACTCTGTCTCAAAAAAAAAAAAAAAAAAAAAAAAAAAGCATGCATTTGCAACACTGTCACCTAAAAATTATTTATATAATAGACATCTTGAAGAATGTTATTACACTGCTTTGTTTTTTTATATAATTCAACTACTTCAACACTTAGCTGAAAAGGGAGGCTAGGATCAGATAACAGATTGCCTTAAATATTGGCCAAGGATTTTGTACTGTATCACATAGGCAAAGGAAAGCCATAGAGGGTTTTAGAGCAGTTAGTGACATGCTCTTTTGGTTTTTTTGAGACAGAGTCTTGCTCTGCTGCTCAGACTGGAGTGCAGTGGCACGATTTCAGCTCACTGGAACCTCTTCTTCCTGGGTTCAAGAGATTCTCCTGCCTCAGCCTCCTAGGTAGCTGGGATTACAGGCGCCTGCCACCACGCCCAGCTAATTTTTGTATTTTCAGTAGAGACGTGGTTTCACCATGTTGGCCAGGCTGGTCTCGAACTCCTGACCTCAAGCGATCCACCCGCCTCAGCCTCTCAAAGTGTTGGGATTATAGGCATGAACCACCATGCCAGCTAGTGACAAGCTCTTAATGTGCTTTAGAAAGATTGCTACAGGACCTGGCTGGGCATGGTGGCTCATGCCTGTAATCCTAGCACTTTGGGAGGCCAGGGCGGGTGGACTGTTTGAGGCCCAGAGTTCAAAACCAGCCTGGCCAACGTGGCGAAACCCCATCTCTATTAAAAATACCAAAACTAGCCGGGTATGGCGGTGCATGCCTGTAATCCCAGCTACTCAGGAGGCTGAGACATAAGAATTGCTTGAACCCGGCAAGTAGAGGTTGCAGTGAGCTCGTGCCACTGCACTCCAGCCTGGGCGACAGAGTGAGACCCTGTCTCAAAAAAAAAAAAAAAAAGAAAGAAAGAGAAAGAAAGAAAGAGAAAGAAAGAAAGAAAGAAAGAAAGATAGATTGTGACAAGGCCATGTAAGAGATTCAAGAGGGGAAAAAAAAAAAAAAAAGACCTGCATAGGGAGATCAACTAGTAAGCTGCTGCAAAAGTTCAAGCAAGAAACAATAAAAATTTAAACTAAAGAAATGATGGTAAGAACCGAGAAAAAAGGAACAGGTTCAAATATTATTATAAAGCCAGAAAAGAGCAGTAGTGGGCTAGGGAGATGTGAGGTTGCCCCATAGACATTTCAAACTCCAGCTGCAGTCCCAACATAAATTTATCTTTTTCTACCACATTGTTAAAGATGAAAGTTTCTTGTCTTAGTAACCTATGACAAGAGGATGGTGATGCCATTTATTAAAGTAGACGTATTCATCACCTATTCTGCTATTCTCTCCAAAGTCTACTTTTTTTTTTTTTTTTGAGACGGAATTTCACTCTTGTTGTCCAGGCTGGAGTGCAATGGCACAATCTCGGC
Source organism: Homo sapiens (assembly GCF_000001405.40). Classification (NCBI taxonomy): domain Eukaryota; kingdom Metazoa; phylum Chordata; class Mammalia; order Primates; family Hominidae; genus Homo; species Homo sapiens. The sequence continues at coordinate 35,793,310 of NC_000014.9, forward strand.
TCACGACAACCTCCGCCTCCCAGGTTCAAGCAATTCTCCCACCTCAGCCTCCCGTGTAGCTGGGATTACAGGCATGCACCACCATGCCCGACTAATTTTGTATTTTTAGTAGAGACAGGGTTTCTCCATGTTGAGGCTGGTCTCGAACTCCTGACCTCAGCTGATCCACCCACCTCGGCCTCCCAAAGTGCTGGGATTACAGGCGTGAGCCACCGCGCCTGGCTCTCCAAGGTCTATTTCTATAATGTGTACCTTCAGTGAGAAGAGACATTAGATACACACACAAACACACACACACACACACAGTGAATTTAGAATTAAAAAAATGTTTTAACCAAACACAACAACAACAAAGGGATGCTTTCTTTTCTAAGATACTGAAAGCTTGTAACCCAACACATTTCTCTTTCCACCTTAGGTACCAGGAAATCTAAGAACCAAATTCAATGCCTTATGGCTGTAATCAGCTCATCTCTGAAAACTGATGTTTCCTTTAAGTGATGGCTATTCAGTTGTTGCTTGTTTTATCATTAATTGTTCTATTCCACATTTTATTCAATCCTATAAGCCACGTAAAATCCTTTAGATGCAATAAAATCCTTAATAAACAAAATGTTAATATAAAGATGATTACAATATTTGAAAAAGCTTGTTCTGTTAAGGTCAATCAGTAACACTTTATGTCAATAATCTGCAAAGTAAATCAATTCTTCATAAATATATAAAGTAGTTCAATGAGGTCAAGTTCATTTTTCAAATCAGACAGATTCAAATTAAAGAACATACATTACATTATATATAAATTAAAGAATTTAAAAGCATCTAATGTCATGTATACAGGATTACTAACACTGTATATCAAACTCTAAAAATAATCAAGTTTGGCTGCGCACAGTGGCTCATGCCTGTAATCCCAGCACTTTGGGAGGTCGAGGCGGTCAGATAACTTGAGCCCAGGAGTTTAAGACCAGTCAGGGCAACATAGGGAAACCCCCATCTCTATATAAATTTATTTTATATATATCTATATATATGCACACACACACGCATATACAGTTAGTTGGCTTACTTTTATAGGCAGGTTACAGTTCACACATTCTTAGATTTTCAGCCAAATCTGTTAATCCATACTATTTTTTTTGTTTTCTTTTTGTTTTTTTGTTTTGAGATGGAGTCTCCCTCCGTTGCCCAGGCTGGAGTGCAGTGGCGCAGTCTCGGCTCACTGCAAGCTCCGCCTCCTGGGTTCACGCCATTCTCCTGCCTCAGCCTCCCGAGTAGCTGGGACTACAGGCGCCCGCCACGGCGCCCGGCTAATTTTTTTGTATTTTTAGTAGAGACGGGGTTTCACCGTGTTAGCCAGGATGGTCTCATCTCCTGACCTCGTGATCCGCCCACCTCGGCCTCCCAAAGTGCTGGGATTAAGGCGTGAGCCACTGTGACCGGCCAATCCATACTCTTTTTAAGTCATTTATTTAATAAAATATACAATCTGTATTTATGTATTGCCATTTATACCTACTGAATACTTTGTAAGTAAAGATATTTTACTCAGAAAGATATTTCTTTGTGAACCCATAAATACATTCAGATTACAGAAAGACATTTTTTACTAATCAATTTATGATAACAAATTCCTTCTCTAAATATAAAAAAGTAAAAAATGGGGACCAAGTTGCTTGGTATAAAGCCAACTTTCAGTCTCATTCATTTAAGAGAACCTCTTATTATCAGCAACTGATGTCCAATGTCTTGAAAACTGTTGCTTCTCGTGTGTGTTATTTTAATTGTTTCAGCATGTATGGACATCAGGTGAGGAGAGTGATTTCTGAAAGATGGCAAACAAACAAGGTGTGTCCTATGACCACTCCAGCTTACTGACTTAGGAGAGCTTCTAAGTCGTAGTGAGGAGAAAGCAAATCCAGGTGGACCCAGCAAACTCCATGAATTAAGAAAGTGAAGCCAAGCACCCAGGAAGACCAAGGCAATCAGAGTTCACACGACACAGCACCAAGAAGGAGACAGCTACACACAGTGAGAATCCAGGAGACTAGAGAGGGTCCCCTTTAAGTATGATGATAGTATACTTATGAGGAAACTACCCAAGACAGAAGAAAGAACCATGCTGAAGTATTGGAGGGAACAGTACCAGGTGCTCACACAGAGCTGGGAAGAGTGCTTGTTCCCAAAAGCTGGACTATAAAAATAAAATCTCATAATTTGTGGGGCCTTGGGTCGAATACTCAGGAAGGTATTGCCTTATACTAGACAATAATTAACCCTAAATGGACCCACCCAACAAATCATAAAAGCAAGACCCAAAATAATAAAACTGTTTTCAAATAACTTGATTGTATCCCGGAAAAAAGCTCAAGAATTTATAGGTGGCCACACACGGTGGCTCACACCTGTAATCCCAGCACTTTGGGAGGCCAAGGTGGGCAGATCACTTGAGACCAGGAGCTTGAGGCCAGCCTGGGCAACATAGCAAAACCCCATTTCTCTACCAAAAAAAAAAAAAAAAAAATTAGCTGGGTGTGGTGGCATGCACCTGTAGTTCCCAGCTACTCGGGAAGCTGAGGTAGGAGGATTGCTTGAGCCCAGGAGGTTGTGACAGACTGAGACCCTGCCCCCAAAAACAGAACGAAACAAAAAAAGAATTTACAGATATAGGAAAATATCCAAAATATAAGAAAGTAAAATTCAGAATATCAGATAGCCAAAAGTTACCAGGCACACAAAGAATCAGGAAAACAACCCAGGATAAGAAAAGAGGATGATCAATTGAAATTCTAGAACTGAAAGAGATGTCACAATTAGCAGAGAAGTATATCATTTTAGCTGTATTCCATATGTTCAAAAAGTTAAGAAGACACATAGATGATATAAAACAAGACCCAAGATGAACTAGATAAAAACTACAGTTTCTGAGATTAAAAAATAAACTAGATAGAATGGCAGATTACATGTAGCAGAAGAAAAGATTAGTGAACTTGAAGACATAGCAATAGAAACTATCCAAGATGAAACACGCAGAGGAAAAAAATCAGTAAACTATGAGACCTTCCAATATACTAATAATACTTCTTACTAATCTAATATTAATATTCCCTAATACGGTAGTAAATGGAGTTCTAAACGTAAGGCGGGGAGAAAGAAGGGAAAATAATGACCAAAATTTTTCCAAGTTTGATGAAAACTATAAACCCACAAATCCAAGAAGCTCAATTAATCTTAAGCCAAGAAATATGAAAAATAACTAACCAAGGCATATGATAATCAGACTCCTCAACACCAGTGATGAAGAGGTCTTAAAAGCACCCAGAAAAGAAAATGACATTTTCCATAAAAAGTAAGATACAGATAATAACAGACTTCTTATCAGAAACAATACAAACAAGAATACAGTAGAGTAAAATCTTCAAAGAACAAAGGAAAAAAAAAGCCATCAACCTAGAATTCTAAACAGAACAAAAGTATCCTTTTTTTTTTGAGATGGAGTCTCGCTCTGTTGCCTAGGCTGGAGTGCAGTGGCACGATCTCGGATCTTGGCTCACTGCAACCTCTGCCTCCTGGGTTCAAGCAATTCTCCTGCCTCAGCCACCTGAGTAGCTGGGACTACAGGCGCGTGCCACCACACCGGGTTAATTTTTTGTATCTTTAGTAGAGACAGGGTTTCACCGTGTTAGCCAGGATGGTCTCGATCTCCTGACCTCGTGATCCGCCCACCTCAGCCTCCCGAAAGTATCTTTAAAAAAGAAGCCAAAGCCAGGCGCAGTGGCTCACGCCTGTAATCCCAGCACTCTGGGAGGCCGAGGCAGGCAGATCACAAGGCCAAGAGATCAAAACCATCCTGGCCAAAATGGTGAAACCCCATCTCTACTAAAAATACAAAAAATTAGCTGGGCGTGGTGGTGCGTGCCTGTAGTCCCAGCTACTAGGGGGCTGAAGCAGGAGAATCACTTGAACCTGAGAGGTGGAGGTTGCAGTGAGCTCAGATCATGCCACTGCACTCCAGCCTGGTGACAGAGCGAGACTCCGTCTCAAAAAAAAAAAAAAAAAGATGCCAAAGTAAAGACTTTTTCAGACAAACAAAAGCATAAAGAATCCATCACATACAGAGGAAGAGGAATAAAGAAAGGTTGGTTAATGCATATAAACATACAGCTAGTTAGAAGGAATAAGTTCTGTCATTTGATAACATGGTAGGGTGACAATAGTTAACAATATATTGTGTATCTCAAAGTAGCTAGAAGAGGCCGGGTGCAGTGGCTCACGCCTGTAATCCCAGCACTTTGAGAGGCCAAGGAGGGCGGATCACCTGAGGTCTGGAGTTCGAGACCAGCCTTACCAACACGGAGAAGCCCCGTGTCTACTTAAAATACAAAATTAGCCGGGAGTGGTGGCACCTGCCTGTAATCCCAGCTACTCAGGAGGCTGAGGCAGGAGAATTGCTTGAACCCGGGATACGGAGGTTGCAGTGAGCCGAGATCCTACCATTGCACTCTGGCCTGGGAAACGAGCAAAATTACATCTCAAAAAAAAAAAAAAATAGCTAAAAGAGACTTTTTTTTTCTTTTTTTGGAGACAGGGTCTTGCTCTGTTGTCCAGGCTAGAGTGCACTGACATGATCACAGCTCACTGCAGCCTCGACCTCCTGGGCTCAAGCAATCCTCCTGCCTCAGCCTCTCAAGTAGCTGGGATCACAGGCGGCTGCCACCACATCTGCATAATTTTTGTGCTTTTTGTAGAGGTGGGGTTTTGCCTTGTTGCCTAGGATGGTCTTGAACTCCTGGGCTCAATTAATCCACCAGCCTCAGCCTCCCAAAATGCTGGGATTACAGGTGCGAGCTAACACGCTCGGCTTTTTTTTTTTTTTCCCTAAAACCCGGTCTTGGACTGTCGCCCAGGCTAGTGTGCAGGGGCATGAACACGGCTGACTGTAGGCAGCCTCAATCTCCTGGGCTCAAGCAATCTCATCATCTCAGCTTCCTGAAACACTGGGACCACAGGTGCATGCCACAACACCTGGCTAATTTTTTAAATTTTCTGTAGAGACAGGGTCTTGCATTGTTGCCCAGGCTGGTCTCAAACTCCTGGGCTCAAGCAATTCTCCTGCCTTGATCTCCCAAAGTGCTGGAATTCCAGGCATGACCCGCCATGCCCAGCCTGTAAGAGAAGACTTGAAATGTTCCCAGCACAAATAAATAATAAATGTTCAAGGTGACGAATATCCTAAATACCTTGATTATCAAAATGTCACATGTATCCCATAAATATGTACAAATTATGTATCCAAAAACATTTTTTTAAGAATCCATTACCAGCAGATCATCATCACAGAAAAAAATGTTAAAGGCAGTCCTTCATGCAGAAACAAAATTATACTGAATAGAAATATCGGCTGGGCACAGTGGCTCATGCCTGTAATCCCAGCATTTTGGGAGGCCCAGGCACACGATCACTTGGGGCCAGGAGTTCGAAACCAGTCTGGCCAACAAGGCAAAACCCATCTCTACTAAAAATACTAAAAAAAGAAATTAGCCAGGCGTAGTGGTACATGCCTGTAATCCCAGCTATTTTGCAGACTGAGGCAAAAGAATCGCTTGAACCAAGGAGGTGGAAGTAGTAGTGAGCCAAGATTGCACCACTGCACTCCAGCCTGGGCAACACAGCTGTCTGTGTCAAAAAAAAAAAAAAAAAAGTACACAAAGAAATGAAGAGCACTGTAAATGGTACTACATGGGTATGAGACTTTTTATTACTTAAAAATCTTTAAAAGATCACTACTTGTTTAAACAAAATAATATAGTGTATGGCTGATAACATGATAAGTAAAATATATGACAACAAAAGCATAAAGGTTGGGTGAAGAAATGGAAGTAAATTCTTACAAGGTTCTTATACTACATGGGAAGTGGTATAGTATCACTTAAAGGTGTACACTCTGGCAAGTTAAAGATGTATACTATAGGCTGGGCACAGTGGCTCACCCATGTAATCCCAACACTTCAGGAGGCTGAGGCAGGTGGATCACCTGAGGTCAGAAGTTCGAGACCAGCCTGGCCAACATGGGGAAACCCTGTCTCTACTAAAAATACAAAAATAAGCTGGGCGTGGCAATGCGTGCCTGTAATCCCAGCTACTTGGGAAGCTGAGGCAGGAGAATCGCTCTAACCTGAGAGGCGGAGGTTGCAGTGAGCCAAGATCGTACCACTGCACTCCAGCCTGGGCAACAGAGCGAGACTCGGTCCCAGAAAAAAAAAAAAAGAAAAAAGGTATATACTATAAATCATAAAGCAGTCACTGAAATAATAAATCGAGGGAAAATAATCATAAAATTTACTCAACTAATTCAAAAGAAGGGAGAAAAAAGGGTACTAAGGAACAGACAGGCCAAACAGAAAACAAATAGAAAGATGACAAACTCAAACCTAACCATATCAACAATCATGTTAAATGTAACTATCCAAACATCTCAATTAAAAGGCATAGATAATTAGGTTAGATAAAAAAGACCCAACCATATGCTGCCAACAATATAAACCCACTTCACATATAAAAACACAAGTAGATTTAAAAGATGGGAATATATATATATCCTGCTAACACTAATCAAATGAAAAGTGGCAATGGCTATATTAATATCAAAGTAGATTCCAAAGCAAAGACTATTACCAGGGAGAAAGATATCATTTCAAAATGATAAAGAAGTCAATTCATCAAAAAGAAATAATCCTAAAGGTTTAGGCAGCTAATGACAGAGCTTCAAAACATATGAAGTAAATACTGATAGAAGTTCAAAAGAAAACAGACAAAACCCACAATTACAGTCAGAAACTTCAGCCCTCTTCTCTCAGTACTTGATGAAAACAGCTAGACAGAAATTCAGTAAGGACAGAGAAGACTTGAACAACACTAACAAGCAACTCGTCCTAATTGACATTTTTCGAACACCTAACCTACCAAGAGCAGAATATATATTCCTTTCAAGTGCATACAAGAAATTTATCAAGTTAAAATGTCTCTGGACCATCAAACAAATTTCATTAGCTTTTAAATAATTCAGGTTATAAAAAATAGTGTTTTCTAACTACAATGGAATTGAATTAGAAATCAACAACCAAAAGGTATCTGAATAATCCATAAATATGTGAAGCTAAAGAACAGACTTGTAAATAACCCATGGATTAAAAAAAATCAAAAGGAAAGTTGAAAGTATTTTGGAACTAAATGAAAATGAAAATACAAAATATTCTAAGTTGTGAGATGCTAGTTAGGGGAAAATTTTTTATCACCAAATGCCTACAGTAGAAAGAAGAACAGTTTCAAATCAATAATCACAGCTTCCCTTTATGAAACAACAAAAAGAGCAAATTAAACTAAACTAAGTAGAAGAAAGAAAGTAACAAAGACTGCCAGGCATGGTAGCTCACACCTGTAATCCCAGCACTTTGGGAGGCCCAGGCTGGTGGATCACTTGAGGTCAGGAGTTTGAGACCAGCCTGGCCAACAAGGTAACAACCTGTCTCTACTAAAAATACAAAAATTAGCCAGGCGGGGTGGCGCATGCCTGTAGTCCCAGCTACTCGGGAGGCTGAGGCAGAAGAACAGCTTGAACCTGGGAGGCGGAGGTTGCAGTGAGGCAAGATTGCGCCATTGCACTCCAGCCTGGGCGACGAGCGAAACTCTGTCTCCTGCGTCCCGCCTCCAAAAATAAAAAAGAAAATAGCAAAGACCAAAGCAGACATCAATTAAAAAAAAAAAAAAAACCACACACACACGGAAAAATCAATAAAACCAAAAGATAGTTCTTTTAGAAGATCAATAAAAGCGATAAGACTCTAGTCAGGCTGATCAGGAAAAGAAAGACAAATTATCAGACAAGAAACGAGAAGGATAACATTACCATGGGTCCTGCTATATATATATACACAGACACACACACACACACACACACACACACACACACACACATTTGAGATAGAGTCTCGCTCTGTTGCCCTGGCTGGAGTACAGTGGCATAATCTTGGCTCACTGCAACCTCTGCCTCCTGGGTTCAGGTGATTCTCCTGCCTCAGCCTCCCTAGTAGCTGGGACTACAAGCATGCGCCACAAGGTCCAGCTACTTTTGTATTTTTAGTTCACACAGGGTTTCAGTATGTTGGTCAGGCTGGTCTCGAACTCCTGACCTCTAGTGATCCACCCGCCTTGGCCTCCCAAAGTGCTGGGATTATAAGCATGAGCCACCATGCCTGGACATGAATCCTATAATATTAAAAGGATAATAAGAGAGTATAATCAACAATTTATACCTATAAATTTGACAACTTAGATGAAATCTTCTGTTTATACCAACAGAAACAGAAAAAGCATTCAATAAATCCAACATCCATTCCTGATAGAAACCCTCAGCCAACCAGGAATAGAATGAAACTCTCTAAATCTGATAAAGGGCATCTACAAAAAACCTACAGTTAGGATCATATTATACAGTGAAAAAAATCAATCGATTGCTTTACCCCTAAGATCAAGAACAAGACAAGACTGCCCACTCTCATTACTTCTAATCTATGTCACATTGGAGGTTCTAGTCACTTCAGTAAGGCAAGAAAAAGAAATAAAGGGCATCCAGATTAGAAAGGAAGAAGTAAAACTGTATTTGCAGACTGATTCTCTATGAAAAATATCCAAAAGAATCTACAAAAAACTAACAGAACTGGCTGGGTGCTGTGGCTCACACCTGTAATCCCAGGACTTTGGGAGGCCAAGGCAGGTGGCTCACGAGGTCAGGAGTTCGAGACCAGCCTTATCAACATGGTGAAACCCCGTCTCTACTACAAACACAAAAATCAGCCAGGCTCAGTGGTGTGTGCCTGTAATCCCAGCCACTCAGTAGGCTGAGGCAGGAGAATTGCTTGAACCTGGGAGGCGGAGGTTGCAGTGAGCTGAGATCATGCCACTGCACTCCAGCCTGGGCAACAGAGTGAGACTCTGTCTCAAAAAAATAAATAAATAACAGAACTAAGTCAGTTCAGCAGGTTTGTAGGACATAAGCTCACTATACATAAATCAGTGGTATTTCCTGATATGAGATCCAATCAGAAATAGATATAAAGGTAACATTTACAAAAGATCAAAGTAGAAAGTATTTAGGTATAAGTCTGACAAAAGATGTATAAGACCTGCACACTGAACTACAAAACACTGCTGAGAGAAATTAAAGAAGTCCTAAGTAGGTGGAGAAACGCCTTGTTCATGAATCAGTGTATTCAATATCGTCAATTTTCCCAAATTGATCTATAGATTCAACATAATCCCAACCAAAATCCCAATAGGTTTTTTGGTGGTGGTGGGTTTTTTTTTTTTTTAAGAAACTGACCTTTAAAAAAAAAAATACAGTGTCACTGTGTCACCCAGGCTGGAGTGCAGTGGTGCAATCATGGCTCATTGCAACCTCGACCTCCCAGGCCCAGGTGATCCTCTCACCTCAGCCTCCCAGGTGACTGGGATCCCAGGCACACACTACCATGCCCAGCTATTTCTTTTTTTTCTCTTTTTTGGAGAGATGGGGTTTCAGCATGTTGTCCAAGCTGGTCTCAAACTCCTGGGCTCAAGCAATCTGCCCACCTGAGCCTCCCAAAGTGCTGGGATTACAGGTGTGAGCCACCACACCAAGCTCAACTAATCTTTAGACTCATATGGAAATGTAAAGGACCTGGCATTTGGGAAAAAAAGAAACTTTGAAAAGGAAGAACAAAGTAGGAGGGACAACACTACTTGATTTCAAGATTTATTATAAAGTTACAGTAATCAAACACTGCGGTACTGGCACCAACAAAGATAAACAGATCACTGGAACAAAATAAGAGTCCAGAAATAGGCCCACACATATTTCTGGAAAACTAAATTTTGGCAAAAGTACAAAGGCAATTCAGTAAAGATAGCCTTTTTCAACAAACAGAGCTGGAACAACTGGATATTCACATGCAAAAACGTAAACTTCTAGCCACCTCATACCATAGTTAAAACTCAGATGAATCATAGAGGAAAATAGATCCTAAAACTGTAAAACTTCTAGAAAAAAGCATAGAAGAAAATCTTTGTGATCATGGGTTAGGCAAAGATTTTAGATACAAAATAAAAAAAATAAATTAAAAATTGATATATAGACAATAAAAATTAACCATTTCTGCTTCTTCAAAGAAACAACTTCTTCTTCAAAGAAAACTTTAAGAGAACGAAGAGACAGCCCAAAGACTGGGGAAAAAAAAATCTTTGCAAATCATGTGTCTCATACAGTATCTGTATCTAGAATATATAAAGAACTTTTTTTTTTTTTTTTGAGACAGTCTCACTCTGTTACCCAGGCTAGGGTGCAGTTGCACAATCTTGGCTCACTGCAAACCTCCACCTCCCAGGTTCAAGCAATTCTCCCATCTCAGCCTCCTGAATAGCTGGGATTACAGTCATGTGCTATCACACCTGGTTATTTTTAGTAGAGATGGGGTTTCACCATCTTGGCCAGGCTGGTCTCGAACTCCTGACCTCAAGTGAGCCACCTGCCTCAGCCTTCCAAAGTGCTGAGATTACAGGCATGAGCCACTGCACCTGGCCTAAAGAACTTTCAAAACTGAATTAAGAAAGCAAAAAAATTAAAAGACATGTAAAAGATTTAAACACAAACTCATCAAAGAAGTTATACAATGGTCTTGGGAGGCCGAGGTGGGTGGATCACCTGAGGTCAGGAGTTCAAGACCAGCCTGGCCAACATGGCGAAACCCCATCTCTATTTAAGTACAAAAATTAGCCAGGCATGGTGACACCCACCTGTAATCCCAGCTACTTGGGAGGCTGAGGCAGGAGAATCACTTGAACTGGGGAGGTGGACGTTGCAGTGAGCCAAGATCAAGCCACTGCACTCTAGCCTGGGCGACAGAGCGAGACTCCATCTCAAAAACAAACAAAAAATTGTGAATAACGGCTGGGCGCGGTGGCTCACACCTGTAATCCCAGCACTTTGGAAGGCTGAGGCTTGAGGATCACGAGGTCAGGAGTTCAAGACCAGCCTGGCCAACATGGTGAAACCCTGTCTCTACTAAAAATACAAAAATTAGCTGGGCCTGATGGTGCACACTTGTAATCCCAGCTACTTAGGAGGCTGAGGCAGGAGACTTGCTTGAACCCGGGAGGCAGAGATTGCAGTGAGCCGAGATCGTGCCATGGCACTCCAGCCTGGGTGACAGAGTGAGACTCCATCTCAAAAATAAATAAATAAATAAATAAATAAATAAATAAATAAATAAATAGTGAGTAACTATTCAGAAATAAAAAGAGATTAACAGTTAGGTACAGTGGCTCACACCTGTAATCCCAGAATACTTTGGGAGGCTGAGATGGGAGGATTGCTTGAGTCCAGGAGCTTGCAACCAGCCTGGGCAACATGAGACCCCATCTCTACAAAAAAAAATTTTTTTTAATTGGCCATACACGGTGGTGCATGTCCCAGCTACTAGGGAGGTAGAGGAAGGAGGATCGCTGGACCCTGAAAGGTCAAGGCTGCAATGAGCCACGTTTGCAACACGGTACTCCAGCCAGAGTGACAGAAGACCCTGTCACAAGAAAAAAAAGCAATGAACTATTAACATACCAGGATACAGATTAATTTCAAAATAATGAGGCTGAGAAAAAGAAACCAAGGCCAGGTGTGGTGGCTCACGCCTGTAATCCCAGCACTTTGGGAGGCTGAGGCAGGCGGATCACGAGGTCGCGAGTTCAAGACCAGCCTGACCAACATGGTGAAACCCCATCTCTATTAGGAATACAAAAAAAAAAGGCGGGGCGCCGTGGCTCATGCCTGTAATCCCAGCACTTTAGGAGGCTGAGGCGGGGGGACTGCCTGAGCTCAGGAGTTCGAAACCAGCCTGGGCAACACAGTGAAACCCTGTCTCTACTAAAATACAAAAGAAAAAAAAAAAAGAAAAAATTAGCCAGGCTTGGTGGCGTGCGCCTGTAATCCCAGCTACTCAAGAGGCTGAGGCAGGGGGATTGCTTGAACCCGGGAGGCGGAGGTTGCAGTGAGCCGAGATCGCGCCACTGCATTCCAGCCTGGGTGACAGAGTGAGACTCCGTGTCAAAAAAAAAAAAAAAAGAAATCAAACATAAAATGACCGTACTGCATAATTCCATTTTTATGCTGTATAATCCCATTTATATAAAACTCTAGATAATGCAAACTAATCTAGGGTGACAGCAGATTAGTGGTTGCTCAGGAAAGGTGGGAGGGTACAACTGAGGTGGGAGAAAGAGATTACAAAGGGGCATGAGAAAACTTTGGGAGGTTATACATACATACATATATATATTTTTTCTTTTTCTTTTTTTTTTTTTTTTCCTGAAACGGAGTCTCGCTCTGTTGCCCAGGCTGGAGTGCAGTAGCGTGATCTCGACTCACCACAACCTCTGCCTCCCAGGTTCACGCGATTCTCCTGCCTCAGCCTCCTGAGTAGCTGGGACTACAGGTGCACGCCACCATGCCTGGCTAATTTTTGTATTTTCAGTAGAGTAGAGACCCGGTTTCACTCTGTTGGCCAGGCTGGTCTTGAATTCCTGACCTCGTGATCCGCCCACCTCGGCCTCCCCAAGTCCTGGGATTACAGGCATGAGCTACCGCACCCAGCTGATTATACATATATTATCCTGATTGTCACTGTCTATATTTGTTATCTTGATTGGATATTTTAAATATTTGTTATGATGGTTTCAGGAGATATACATATGTAAAAATTATTCAATTATGTACTTTAAATATGTGCAGTTTATTGTGTGCCAATTATACCTCAATAAAGCTGTCAGAATTATTTAACAATAAATATTTTTAGCTAAATAAGCACTTTTTATTTTTATATCAAGAGGACTGAACTGTTAGCTGTAAAGTAGAACAAAACTAACACTAAGTCAATACCCACTATATGCCAAGCATTATGTTAGCCAATTTACATGTGCTAATTTATAATATCATTACCATTAGTTGTAAAATGGGGGGGAGGGGGTAGGTAGAAAGGATAACAGCTTTAGAAATCAGACAAGGCTTTTTTTTCTGTTTTAAGAAAACCCTGACTTCTAGTTTTTACAAATCAATTATGCAACAGTATCAATAAACATACCAGATTTAAATCTAAATCTTCAGAGTCAAGTTCTATAAATTTAACTTGGATTGTCCTACAGTGGGAACACATGCCAGGAAAAAAGTTTACAGCGGATGTTTAAATTATGATTATGTTCTCATACATATAGATGCACTGAATCCTCCCATAAGTACCCTGAGTGAATGGCAGTTCTGTTTGGTCCCATATGAACTATGAACTATGGGACCAAACAAAAATCAAAAGCCTGTGTAACTGGCAATGCCCAATTACTCTGCAAACTAGTTTCCTCATTGTGTTTACCTTATTTAAAGCCCGCACCTACTTCCAGAAAGGATTTTCCATCTGCAAAATCAAATACCTGATTGGCAGACCTCTAAAAGACACTAGTTTTTGTCATTCTACTTTCTCTCATTCATTTTCTTAGAAATTACATTAACTGTATTTCAAACAAAATAACGACAACAATAAAAGACTTGTTTTTGTTTTGTTTTGTTTTCAAACCAAGCAAGCTAAGTCCTACAAAATGCCTTATATGTGTGACCTCTCTCTTAATTTACCTTTTAATTTTCCATGTCTGCCAGATGGAAAAAAACTCTATGCCAAAAAAGTATATATAAATAATTCCTTAACCAGTCTATAAATAAAGTATGGCCTTTAATTTAGGAAATCTCGATACTTTATTGGAACTCAACTTTATAGCTGTGTCATTACCTAACCTACAGCTTATCCCAAGTAGGTGTCAAGCTCCATTAAGTGTTCAATTTCAAACTGCCATTACCTGTGAATCCCTCGCCTGCATTCACACATTAACTTACTGTGTCCTATTCTCGGCTAAATCTTTATTTCAATGGCTTAACTCTCAAGAAGAATGAAAACAAAAAGATCACAATCTCCACTATATTTAGAAGCTTTACATTTTCTTGAAAACTGAGCTTTTTATAGCGCTAAACTGGATTAACTGCTTTCTTACTACTCCACTGGAATAAATACAATTTACTTGTGACAAAGATTAGCTGTCATAAATGTAGAAAGAGTAAAAAAACAAACTAGAGACACAAAATCTGGGTTCCAATTCTGACTCAGCCTCCTGGTAGCTGGCTGACTACTCGATGTTCCCAAACTTCAGCTTTTTTGTTGGTAAAAAATGGAGAATAATATCATCTACCTATAGAGTTATTGCAAGGATTATCATAATTTACGTGAAATCACTGTAAACAGTAAAGCATCATAGAAATGTTGGGTAATATTGGTGGTATCCTGGTGGTATGAGTAAACAATAGACTAGAGAAACATGTACCTCAAATAAGGGACTTACTTTTTTCACTAAATAAACATCACTTTCCAAAACAAATACGCATCAGGAGGACAGCTCGAGATAAACTCTGAACTAGGATTCAGGCATCTGGATGAATGCATCTTCTTCAGCCAGTTCCACCATTAACTCTAAGTATCAACACAGGCGAAATAATTTTCCTTTTCATCTCAAATGTCTTCATCTAAAAAATCCAACTACTGGACCAGATGTTCCATAAGTATTATTACAGCCTTTATCAGCCTACCAAATGACTAAGTATTCAAAAGAGTCGATTAACATTATATTCAAAACTTAGAGCACTGTTTGGTCTACCAGCAAAACAGAACTTAAGGGCAGACGATAAAAAAAATATTTTTAATTAAAAATAGAATTATATACAATTCTCGAGAAGCAAAGGATGAGTTAAACTACCTATAATAGTTCTCCCTCTAAATGACTAGTGATGAACAAGGTGCATTAACAAAAGGGCGGGGCTCCTTCCCACAGCTTTTTGGGAACCGCCCACTTCCCAAAGAGGTGTAACTGCTACCTCCTTGTCTTCATCTGCCAAGAAACTTGAAAGATTAAGGTTTATATTGTCTGAGAGAGGATTTTATTTTTCTTTTTACTTGGGTGGGGTTGGCAGTAGTCATCTGGCAAACATATCCTATAAACACCATTATCCACAACGCCAGGTCTCCCCACAAAGTCTTAAAGATCTAAGTTTTTAGAGTAATACCAATTTTAAAAAATAAGTTCAGACTATTAACTCAAAATTAGATTACTGTGTTAACAGTAATCAGTGCTGCCAACTGCCAAGTTTTCGCTTCTCCGAATTATTCACCCTCCCGCGTCTCCGCAGAGGCTACGATTTGCCCTCTCCTGCACCGCGCCAGGTCCCGAGAGAGAGTCCGCAGGGGCTCCCAGGAGAGGGAAGGCCGGGCAACCCAGGCCTCGGCGCTGCCACCCCTCGCTCCTCACCGATGACGATGCGCAGGTGCTTGAGGCGAGTCAGTGCGTCCTTCTTGGTGTCTAGCACCTTCTGGGTGGACTTCTTCACGTCCCCGTGCGGCTTCTTGGAGAACATCCTGTCGCTGCCACTGCCACTGCCACTGCCACAGCCGGCTCCCAGCCGGGTCCCGGCGGCAGAAAGTGGAGGGAGTGGACGGGGAGGAGACTAGCCAGAGAGGCTCATTAGCTCCCCAGCCTTGCGGGCCAGGGCAGAGCCGACTCCTTCCCGATCCAGGCCAGGGCCGCCACCTCCACCCGCCTCGCGCCGCGGCTCCAAGGCACCTTCGGCCCCAGCTCCAATATGGCGGATCCCTCTCCCGGCCCTGCACGGAGCGAGGCAGACCCGGGCTGGCCGCCTGCCGCCGCCGCTCGTCTCCAGCGGCCGCCGCTCGCCGCCACAGGCCGGGGCCCCGGACCCAGAGCCACGAAGGTGGAGCTCTCGGCGGCAGGAGCACAACTCTCTCCCTGAGGCCCCCTTAAGGTTGAAGCTTCTTTAGCAGCTTACACCCTGCAGAGGCCGAAACGGAGACGAGTGTGGTAGTGATGGGGTTTCACGACTCTGCCGTCGGTGGCGAACGGTGTCCGTGGCAACCGCCTTCTGACGTCAAGAGTTCTTGACGTCATGCCAGCATGAGATCACCCGTGGCACTCCCCGCCTTGGTTTCCTGTGTAAGCAGCCAAAGGAGAATCTCAAGAAAGGCAAGGAAGGTAGTTACTGCGTGCTCCATTGTAAGCCAAATGATAGTAATAAGCAAAGAGAAGTAATCTTTATTAAATATGTCCATGATTTATCTTTGAAAATGTGCATAAGTTGTTGTGGCCACCAGATCCTCTAGCAGAAAGATAAACGAAGTTACAGTTGGGCAATTTATTCTGTCCTAAATCTATTACTAATAATATTTCCTGCACTATGTATGTGATTTCTTTCATATTTTTTCTATTTGCAATATCCCTGTTTTTTGCTGCAAACAACTTGACAACAGAAAGGCTTAAGCAGAGGTATCTAGGTTTTTTAAATAAAAGTAATCTTGCTTTCCTTTTCTATTGTGCTTTTAAAAATCTTTTCCCCATCTGCACCCCACATAAAGATGAATATATTGTCAGTTTTTCCTCTGCAAAGAAGAATTCAAGGTTCTTATTACATTGATGGAGTCATCTGAAGAATCTGCAATAGCTGAAAAAAATCCGTGAAATTCTGAATGACATAAATTGAAATTTTTATTGGAACCCTTTTTTTTTTTTTCCTTTTTCCTTTTCTTTCCAGACAGGGTCTCTGTGTCCCAGGCAGAAGTGCAGTGGTGTGATCTCAGCTCACTGAAGCCTCGAACTCCCAGGCTCAGGTGATGCTCCCACCTCAGCCTACCGAGTAGCTGGGACCACAGGTGCGCGCCACCACATCCAGCTAATTTTTGTGTTTTTTGTAGAGACGGGGTTTCGCCATTTTGCCCAAACTGGTCTAAAACTCCTAGACTCAAGTGATCCGCCCGCCTCAGCCTACCAAACTGCTGGGATTACAGGCGTGAGGCCACTGCGCCTGGCCAGGAACATTTCCTCCACAAAATAATTTGATAAAGAGTGAGTTTGCTTGTTTGAACTGTTTCCTTCTATGTTCTCACCCATAGCAATAGACTTGTCCAATGAAATATGTGATTAACATAGAAAAATAACAAAATCAGCAAAGAAGAGAGATGTAAGACATTTGCCAAAATTATGTTAAAATATAGTGCTTTGCTTAATGGTAGTTTGTTTCAACAACAATCCTATATTTTTTAAAGTACAAAAAATTTATTCAGTTTCTACATGTAGGGTTTGTTTGTATCATCAAACTTACAAGCCATACATGTTTTGAGGAAGCTTATAACATAATAGAAAAATAAGGGGATTGTTCAAGAGATTTTAGTTCTAGTTCCTCTCAGCATCAGTTTTCTTATTAATAAAATCAAAATAAGGTCTGTCCCTCACAGTTTCGTGAAATTTAGGCAATAATACAATGTTTTCAAGCATGATCTTTAGAATTACATAGACCTAAATTAGACATTCTGTTTTTCACTTGCAAGGACTTACTTGCTCTCGGGCCCTTGGCATGTAGTTCAGTCTCAGCCTGATTTTCCTCATTTGTAAACTACATCAGTGATTGTGATAATTAGGTGAGAAAAGTATTGAAAGTTACATCTATAATGACACATCTCATAACATTCCTTTCCTTCATAGAATTTAAATACAGTAATTTGTGTAACTGTTTACAGATTCTCTCTTTCATGAGACTGTAAACTCCCTGAGGACAGAGACTGTATAGATTGTCTAAAGTTGTATCCCAGTCTTCTTGCAAAGTGCTCTTTGCAAGATAGGCTCAATAAATCTGTGTCGAATAGAAGAACGAATGTCACTGTCCCTTCCTTTCTCTTGCGCAAGTACTCAGTAAATGTTTGGCAAATGAGTGACATAATTTTAGAGAATAAAAATGTAACATATCGTTAAAAATAATTATATGGCTGGTATACCTGAGAAAAAATGAAAACACCATTGCAAAACAAACTAGTATAATGTAATTTACATATGGCACACCCATCCCACTGCCTGGTTTTTCTCTTCCCATTGATTTAAATATTAAAATTCTTTGAAAGATAAGTCTTCCCCACAGCAGACATAATTATCATGGAAATAAAACCCAGAAATATACCTTTGAAATATTGCTTG
The DNA here is from genome assembly GCF_000001405.40 of Homo sapiens. NCBI lineage: Eukaryota > Metazoa > Chordata > Mammalia > Primates > Hominidae > Homo > Homo sapiens. Next base: position 35,811,457 of record NC_000014.9, read on the forward strand.
TGAGGGCCAGGCACGGTGGCTCATGCCTGTAATCCCAGCACTTTGGGAGGCCGAGGCAGGCGGATCACAAGGTTAGGAGAGTTCAAGACCAGCCTGACCAACATGGTGAAACCCCGTCTCTACTAAAAATACAAAAAAATTAGCCAGGCGTGGTGGGGCACGCCTGTAATCCCAGCCACTCAGGAGACTGAGGCAGGAGAATTGCTTAAACCCAGGAGGCGGAGGTTGCAGTAAGCCAAGATTGCACCACTGAACTCCAGCCTGGTTGACAGAGTGAGACTCTGTCTCAAAAAAAAAAAAAAAAAAAAAAAAAAAAAAAAATATATATATATATATATATATATATATATTGCTTGTGAGAACTAGATTTTTTTTCTTTTAGTGACTGGGTCTTGCTCTGTCATCCAGGCTGGAATGCAGTGGTGCAGTCACAGCTCACTTTAGCCTTAACTTCCTGGACTCAAGCAATCCTCTCACCTCAGCCTCCCATGCAGTTGGTAACACAGGCAGGTGCCAAAAAGCCCAGCTAATTAAAAAAAAATTTAGTAGATGGCCAGGCGTGGTGGCTCACTCCTGTAATCCCAGCACTTTGGGAGGCCGAGGCAGGTGGATTACCTGAGGCCAGGATTTCAAGACCAGCCTGACCAATATGGAGAAACCCCTTCTCTATTAAAAATACAAAATTAGCCAGGAGTGGTGGCGCGTGCCCATAACCCCAGCTACTCGGGAGTCTGAGGCAGGAGAATCACTTGAACCTGGGAGGCGGAGGTTGCGGTGAACTGAGATCGTGCCATTGCACTCCAGCCTGGGCAACAAGAGCGAAACTCCATCTCACAAAAAAAAAAAAAAAAAAAAAAAAAAAAAATTTAGTAGAGACAAGGTCTCACTATTTTGCCCAGGCTGGTCTTTAACTCCTGGCCTCAAGGGATCCCCCTACCTCAGCCTCCCAAAGTGTTGGGGTTACAGATTACAGGCATGAACCACCACACCTGGCCTACACACAAATGTTTATAGCAATTTTATTCCTAACTCCAAAAACTAGAAGCAACCAAGATATCTTTCAGTAGTTAAATGAATAAACATACTGTGGTACATCCATACAATGGAATATTATTCAGCAATAAAAAGAAATGAGTTCTTGAGCCACAAAAAGACATGTATGACACTTAAATGCATATTGCTAAGTGAAAGAAGCCAGTCTGAAAATGCTACATACTGTATGATTCTAGTTATATGACATTCTGGAAAAGGCAATATTATAGCAATAGTAAAAAGATCAGTGGTTGCAAGAGGATTGAGGGGAGGGAGAAGAAGATTGAATAGGTGAAGGATGGGATATTTTTTAGGGTGGTGAAACTATTCTTTTTTTTTTTTTTTTTTTTTTTTTTTTTTTTTTTTTGAGACAGAGTCTCACTCTGTCACCCAGGCTGGAGTACAGTGGTGCAAACTTGGCTCACTGCAACCTCCGCCTCCTGGGGGCTCAACACCACACTCAGCTAATTTGTTTGACTTTTAGTAAAGATGGGATTTCACCATGTTGCCCAGGCTGGTCTTGAACTTCTGGGCTCAAGCGATCCGCCTGCCTTGGCCTTCTAAAGTGCTGGGATTACAGGTGTAAGCCACTGTGCCCCACCCCCACCCATATACTTCAAATCATCTCTAGATTCTTTAAAATACCTAATGCAATGTAAATGCTATGTAAATAGTTGGTATTCTGTATTGTTTAGGGAATAATGACAAGAAAAAAAAAGTCTGTGTGTGTTCAGTACAGATGTAACCATCCATTTTTTTCTGATTCCTAGTTGGTGGAATCCACAGATGCAGCACTCATGGATACAGAGGGCCAACTGCACACATATGTTTACTAGCACATCTATATACACATACCTATAAATATTTCTGTACATAACCATCTGTATCTGTATTAAGCTAAACATGAATTAATACCTATGTGGTGCCTCAACTCTAATCCATTACTAGATGAATCATTCTACCCTTCTCCCTTTACTTATTATAAACTCCCACTCCAACAATAAGATACTTGGTTCCCACCATATACCAAACATTTACTTATTTTATTGCAGTATACATGTATAACAGTATCAGAATTGTTAACCTACTTTCCCATGAGAAACAACTTTATTAACTAGAGTACCGTGCATATGTACATTTTCTTTTGTCTTTAGTCTTACAGATTCCACTCATTCCCAAATAAGTACCTTTTTCTACACCTTCTTTAGTGAGGTTGTTTCATACTTATAATACAGTTTGATTATTTTGTCACATTTTGTGTTCCAGTGGGATCCTCTGATTTCTTTTAATGTGCATACGTTAAGGTTCATTCTACATGCTATAAAATAGTTCTATGAGTATTGGCAAATGCATAGGGTCATGTATCCACAATTACAGTATCATATAGAATAGTTTCTGGCTGGGTGTGGTGGCTCATGCCTGTAATGCCAGCACTTTGGGAGGCCAAGACAGGCAGATCACTTGAGGTCAGGAGTTCAAGACCAGCCTGCCCAACATGGTGAAAACCAGCTACTCAGGAGGCTGAGGCAGGAGAATTGCTTGAACTTGGGAGGTGGAGGTTGCAGTGAGACGAGATCACGCCACTGCACTCCAGCCTGGGTGGCAGAGTGAGACTCCATCTCACTCAAAAAAAATCTATTTTTTATTTAAATTAAAAAAAATTTCCCTTAGACTACTCAGCAGAAAAAAAAATCTATTATTTTTTCTATCACAAAAAATATTTGGTGAGAAAAGTGTTATAGCTTATTTTTTTTTTTTGCAAATTTGCTTATAGTTTGGCTTAATTAAAGACAGCTGGATTCTTATATACACTATTCTCTTTTGGTTGAAGTATATGAAGGTAATCTGGCTTCATATGTATATGTAATTGGTAAAAAGAGTGTTTTAATATGTTTTTTAGATAATTGTTGACACTACAATAAAAGTCAACAAGTGGTAGTTTTTAAAATTTCAACTTTTATTTTAGATTCAGGGGGTACACGTGCAGGTTTGTTACATGGGTACAGTGCATGATGCTGAGGTTTAGGGTACAATTGAATCCATCACACAGGGAGTGAGCATAGTACCCAATAGTTTTTCAACCCTTTCTCTGCTCCCTGCTGCCCCCTTCTGGTAGTCTCCAGTGTCTGGCATAAAGATTATGTCCTTGTGTACCCAACGTCAAGCCCCCAACAAGAGGTAGTTTCTTAAAGATGAGTTGCAGTAAGGAATATGAAAGCCTATCAGTAAGAATTTTGTACTCCTTATATTAAAATCTTGTACTTTGAATAGATCTTTCACCTATACATAATTTTGTAACATTATGCATTCATCAAAATAATTGTTTGCTGACTTATACAGAGCTTTAAAATGCTAACACATTTCATTAAATAACATAAAAAAAAACCTCACATACATCAGAAAGCCTTTAAGTATTGGAAAGTTTTCATACTCACAATGGTTGGTAAAAGTTTTTCAAATTTCTTTTTTTTTTCAGAGACGGAGTCTTGCTCTGTCACCCAGGCTGGAGTGCAGTGGCACGATCTCAGCTCACTGCAAGCTCCACCTCCCAGGTTCACACCATTCTCCTGCTCCAGCCTCCCGAGTAGCTGGGACTACAGGCGCCTGCCACCACGACTGGCTAATTTTTTTTTTTTTGTATTTTTTTTAGTAGAGACGGGATTTCACTGTGTTAGCCAGGGTGGTCTCGATCTCCTGACCTTGTGATCTGCCCGCCTCGGCCTCCCAAAGTGCTGGGATTACAGGCGTGAGCCACCGCGCCCGGCCTCAAATTTCTAATTTTTACTTAGAAGCTTAAATTTTATCCTTGGCAACAAATAATGTCAATTGTTCTTCTAAAAATGACAGGCGCACTCTATTTATTTTTGCAAATATTTCAAATACCCATGTCTGAATTATTGTAGTTTGTTTATCACTTCTTTCATGTAAAAATGCCATTTTCTGAATAAAGTTGCTAGGTCAGTTCACAACTCAATTGCAGAAAATTTTTTTTATAAAGACCACCATTGTACTTTAGTATGCAGCATTAGTCCTTGCCCCTTATAAAGTTCTAAACATTAAGTACACATAGTTTTTGTATTTTCTGTGACAAAATGAGCATATAAAGAGCAACTGCTTCATCAAGGACAGTCTTAAGTGAAACTGGTTTTTCATTTTTACTGTGTGTGATAGTGAAGAATACAATGAATATCAGTACAGTTTGGTATCACTACCTTCATGCTAAGGGACCAGCTATTTCACCCATCATTGCTTTTGCACATCAGTTCCAATGTCAATATGTTTTGTAATATCTTTCTATGCACAATTCCTGGCTCACTGCAGCCTCAACCTCCCAGACTCAAGTGAATCTCCCACCTCAGCCTGCTTAGTAGCTGGTACTATGGGCATGCACTATCATACCTGGCTAATTTTTGTATTTTTTGTAGCGATGGGGTCTCACCATGCTGCCTAGGCTGGTCTTGAGCTCCTGGGTACTCAAGCCATCCACCTGCCTTGGCCTCCCGAAGTGCTGGCTACAGGTGTGAGCTGCCTGACCATATCTTTCTACTGTAATTTCATTGATCATGATTTATGGTGTTCAGTTATCTTTTGACATTTAATTTTTAAAGAAAGCAAGTAACATTCACAGACAAGTGAAGAAGCATTAAATGAAATATGATTTATTATGAACAGAGAGCTGAAAATCATACACAGTGAGCATAGAACTCAAGCAAAATATGTTAAGGAGATTTGTTGAAGCAATGACTGCTGATATTATTTAGTAGCATAAGGAAATGACTCAAATATGGAGACAAGTAAACTATATTTTAATCTTCTCTCTCATGCCCCAAATTTAATTTACTATCAAGTTTTGTCAGTCTTACCTCCCAAATATCTCAAATTTGTCTATTTTGTTTCCCCCACACAGCCTCTACCTGTCTAAACTGTCAGAATATTTTAACACAGTATCTGATTGATATTGAGATAAAGTATCATTTTCTACTAAGCAACCAGTGATCTTTTTATAAGAGCTAATCTCAAATCAATGTAATTTTATCACTAATCTCATCTTCTCTTCTCCTCTTACCAACTTCCCAGTAATAGCCACTGTATTTAGGATTTTAAAAAATCTAATTTCCTTACCATAATTTATCAAGCCTTTGCTTACCTCACCAAACACACCTTGTGTCTCTTTCATTCTTGAACATTAGTAACCATCCACAGTGGTCTCTTTATTCCTCAAACATGAATATGCCAAGTTTTTTTCTAGTTCAGGACCTTAACATACACTATTCTCTCAGCTTATAATGTCCCTCCTCTCATTCCGATCTGGGCTAACTCCTACTCATCTCTCAGGTCTTAGCTGAAATATTACTACTTTAGAGAGGTCTTACCTGCCGTCCACTCCCAATCTCAATTGGGTCTCTGTATTATACTCTCCTAACACCATCAGAGAGCATACCTCAGTTTGTCAAGCTGCTTAATATTTATCTCTCTACTTTTCCCTAAGTTCTATGAAGTCATAAGCTGTGTCTCATTTATTCACCAATGAATCTATTGAATCCAGAACAGTACTTCAGGTTAAATACAAATTATAGGAGGCTGTTGTTTTGGACTAAGTTCCTGCACTAGGCCCCCACAGATCAGACTGAAAGTCAAAATGGAGTCACCTGTGATAAAGTTTCACCTCACCAAACCTAAACTAGGTTGTTATCTTACCTTCCAAGAATTAAGAGAGAGATATGAGGGGGTCTTCAAAAAGTTCATGAAAAATGTGTATTATAAACAAACAAAAAAAACTGGCTGAGTGCAGTGGCTCACACCTATAGTCCCAACACTTTGGGAGGCCGAGGCAGGTGGATGGCTTGAGCCCAGGAGTCAAGACCAGCCTGGGCAACAGGGTGAGACATGTTGCCCATGGCTAATACAAAAATTAGCCAGGCATGGTGGCACGTGCCGGTAGTCCCAGCTACTCAGGAGGCTGAGGCGGGAAGATTGCTTGAGCTCGGAAGGCAGAGGTTGCAGTGAGCTGTGATCACACCACTGCACTCCAACCTAGGCGACAGAGGGAGAACTTGTCTCAACAAACAAAACAAAACAAAAATTCCAAAACTATAGATGTCAATTTTTTTTCAACAAAATAAGCTTATATTAACTTGTTATAACATGTCTGGACAGAATCCAATTTGAGGCACTGAGAAGAATAAAACATCAGTTTGTAAAGAGCCCCTATCAGAGCAATGTGAATTCTGCTTAAGTTGAAGCAAGAACAAACACCAAATTTATGATGAAGCTTGGATGGAAGGATAGTGAAATCACTGATGCTTTACAAGAAGTTTATGGGGATGATGCTCCAAATGAATCAGCAGTTTACAAATAGATAACTTATTTTAAGAAGGGACAAGATGATGTTGAAGATGAAGCCCACAGCTAGACCATCCACATCAATTTGGGAGGAAAAAGTTAATCTTGGTCATGCCCTGATTGAAGAGGACTGATGATTAACAGCACAAACAATAGCCAACACCATAAACATTTCAATTGGTTCAGCTTACAAATTTTTGAGACAGAGCCTTGCTCTGTCACCCAGGCTGGAGTGTGGTGGTGTGATCTTGGCTCACTACAACCTCTGCCTCTAAGGTTCAAGCAATTCTCATGCCTCCACCTCCCAAGTAGCTGGGACCACAGGCATGCGCCACCACGCTCAGCTACTTTTTGTATTTTTAGTAGAGACGGCATTTCACCATGTTGACCAGGCCGGTCTTAAACTCCTTGGCTCAAGTGATCTGCCCCCCTCAGCCTCCCAAAGTACTGGTTTTACAGGCGTGAGCCACTGAGCCTGGGGGATTGTTTCATTCTTAAGCAATTGGAATCACATTTTCACGTAGTTGGAATAATTATAAGTTGGTCTCATCTAGTTCTCAGTGTAGGTCCTAAAGCCCCTTTAGTTCGAATGATGAGAATATTTATCCTGATTCGATACTAGCTATTAGTAGCAGCTCTGGTGTCCTATCTTTGTTTTTCCAACTCCTAGCATTTGGCCTGAGTCAATCAGTAGACAAAGTTTACGGATTGTATAGCTGATGTCTCTGCCCCACCATGTGGTGGAGCCTGGAATTAAATTTGCTTTATTTCAGAAGCTGGATCTGCTGATTAAAAACAAACACAAGGAATATAATGAGGGTAAATCAGAGTAAAACCTGGAATTCTAACTGCTTCCTTATACCTACTTTATTCCAAACAAAGATGAAATTAAAAATTTTATAAATTTATATTTTAATATTTCCTTCCTGCCCCCCAGGATACAGTTCTCGAATACACTCCTCCCACTTTGGAGACACTGACCTAGAGAAATTCTCACACATATGCCTGAAGAAAAGGTGCATACAACAATGTTCATGCTGGGCACGGTGGCTCACCCCTGTAATCCCAGCACTTTGGGAGGCTGAGGTGGGCGGATCACCTGAGATCAGGAGTTCGAGACCAGCCTGACCAACATGGTGAAACCCTATTTCTACTAAAACCACAAAATTAGCCGGGCATGGTGGGGGGCGCCTGTAATCCCAGCCACTCCGGAGGCGGAGGCAGGAGAATTGCTTAAACCTGGGAGTCGGAGGTTGCAGTGAGCCAAGATGGTGCCATTGCACTCTAGCCTGGGCAACAAGAGGAAAACTCTGTCCAAAAAAAAGCAAACAAACAAACAAACAAACAAACAAATGCAATGTTCACGGAGGCAACTTTTTTTTTTTTTTTTTTAAAGACAGGGGCTTACTCTGTCTGTCACCCAGGCTGGAGTGAAGTGGCACAATCACAGCTCACTGAAGCCTGGACCTCCCAGGCTCAAGCCATCCTCCTACCTCAACCTCCCAAGTAGTTGGGACTACAGGCACGCACCACCACGCCCAGCTAATTTTTGTATTTTTTGTTGAGACGGGGTTTCGCCATGTTGCCCAGGCTGGTCTCCAACTCCCAATCTCAAGCGATCCGCCTGCCTCAGCCTGCCAAAGTGCTGGCACTACAGGCGTAAGCCACTGTGCTGGGTCTGAGACAAATGTTTTTAATAGTGAAAAAATTGGGAGCAGCCTCCCTGTCCATTAATAGGTAAATGGGTAAACTGTAATATTCATTCAATAGAATATATTTACTAAATGGAACATGTTATGGCAGGTAAAAATAACTGGATGAGAGCTACCTGAATCACAATGGGTAAATCTCAAAAACGTCACTAAGGAGAAAGTCAAGTTGTAGCATACGTAATGCATGAGACCACTTAAAAATATGAGCATTTTGAGACCGTGCTGGGTTGCCGCCGCCGCTGCAGCCATCGTGCCAGCCCCTCGGGTCTCCGCGAGGCCGGCTGACGGTCCAGAGTGGGAGACAAGCCAATTTGGGAGCAGATAGGATCCAGCTTCATTCCACATTACTACCAGTTATTTGATAACGATAGACCCCAACTAGGCGCAATTTACATTGACGCATCATGCCTTACGTGGGAAGGACAACAGTTCCAGGGGAAAGCTGCCATTGTGGAGAAGTTGTCTAGCCTTCGGTTCCAGAAAATCCAGCACAGCATCACCGCGCAGGACCATCAGCTCACGCCGCATAGCTGCATCATCAGCATGGTTGTGGGCCAGCTTAAGGCGGATGAAGACCGCCATCATGGGGTTCCACCAGATGTTCCTATTAAAGAACATCAACAATACTTGGGTTTGCACCAATGACATGTTCAGGCTCGCCCTGCACAACTTTGGCTGACCTCTCAGCAGGCACTCATGCTGTTTCTTGCTCCCTCCTCTCCCCAGTGCTATTCCCACTCCTCCAGATGCTCCAAATATCATGCACAAATGAGCAGGGCCGTGGCGGGAGTGGGTGCAGTGCGCTGCTGCCGCCGAGGTGTTGTGCATGATGTTTGGACGCTAGACTAGTTGCATCTGACGGGAGAAGTTTGTATTGTACCAGCGCATGCCTTGGAAAGACTTAAGTAATGCAAAAGATTGTCCTTTTTTTTCTTTTAATCTACTGACAAGTTGCTCTAGCAACCCAAAGAAGTGAAGAGAAAGAAGCTGCCTCACCGCCCAGACATTGATTTGTTCAGATGTTTCAATGCCTCATGATACAATAAAACCACAACATCTTCCTAAAATAAAAAATAATAAAAATAAATAATTAAAATAAAAATATGAGCACTTTAAACAGGCCAAACAATACTATATATTATTTTTGGATACATATACAAAAATAGTATGTATAGATGCATGGGTAACCAAAGCACATGGTAACCAAAAACAGGATACTAGTTACTCTGGAAAGGGAAGGAGAGAATTAGGATTGAGAAGCATCGGAAGCAAATGTAAAATGCTAACATTTGACAGAGCTGAGAGGTAGGTACTGTGTTACATATGCAATGTTCTGAATACCTTTCTCTGTGTTTAAATATTTATGACTTAAAATATTACACAAAACAGAATAGAAAAAAAGTATACCCCAAAGAAGATAGGGGAGGAAAACTAGAAGCAAAATGCCAAAATTACTATATGTCTACTTTGTACCAGAGCAAACCCAGCAGGAGACGGAGTGCTATGGGATTATCTACCAAGAATTATGATAGGCATGTTATTGGAGAGAATGACACTGAGCCAGGAGCTAAATTCTTCAAAACGTGAGAGGGAGTGACCCTGGGTTATATAGATGACACCCACATATATACTGTGTGGTATATCCTGATGACAAACTGGCAGATTTTAGGGAAGAGGGAAGCAGGAGCCTCTGGATGGAAGAAGGAGAACGAGGAGCATACCTACTCCATGACAAGGCTCAGGAGGAGGAGGAGGGTACAAAGGAAGCAAGGTCCTAAGGGAGAGCCATATTTCCTTTAGAACAAGAATGTTGAGGGAACAGTTCAGGGAAGAGAATGAAGATATAGGAGATTTTGATGATGACTAGCTATGAGTTTCAGAGCTCTACAAATATGTAAATATGAATGGATTAATAAAAAGTGAGACTTAAAATATATCTAATGTTTATATAGGCCCTATGCAAAATGTAAAGTGCTACATAAATGTAAGGCATCCTGGACCTCCCAACTGCATAATAATAATATAATAATAATAATCATTATTACCCTTTTAACTGCCTTGATTAAGGAAACTTCATTCTGCTTCCATGACTTTATTTTGTATTTTCTAAATCAACAAAATTATTTTTTAGCCTTATTAACTTTTCCCTATTATGGTTCTTCTCACATTCCCTACGCATCTTTTCTAAAATCTGTTTGAGAGGAGGTGAGAGAAACTCTTGCCTTAGGCAAAATACTCTCATGCAACTCTAATTGCATAATCTCCTATTATTCTGTCTGCCTTAAAATTAAACTTAATGATGACAGGAATTTTAGAGCTGGAAGAGAATTTAAAGTTAACACACTGCAAACTTCTTATTTTACAACGGATCAGAGATTATGTGGTTTGCCAAATTTTATCAGTTGGTTACTAGGAGAACAAGGCTAGAACCCATGCCTCCTCCTTTCCACCTTTCCTGTTTTTCCTGGAACAGCAGAAACAGAAAGCAACCACTAGAGGCGCACTGTATGCCAGTGGTTGCACACAGATTTTTATGTCAGACTACCCAAGTTCAAATCTTAGATCTGTTACGTAGTAGCTATGTGACTTTGGCCAAGTACTCTAACTGCTCTGTGCCTCGGTTTTTTCATCTATAAAATGGAGGGCATAATAGTATCGACTTCATAGGATTGTTATGAGGATTCAGTGAATTAATGTACTTAAAGCACATAACACACTTGGCACATTGAGTGACCAGAAATCTAATTGTTACGATTTAGCACACACTCTGATAGCTGCTGATATTTAGAGGCCAGGGATTTTACCCACAGCTGTTTTTGTTTGATCTGAAGTTTAAAGAACACAAACAAAACAAAACAAAAAACATCACTTGAGATAATGTTTATAGTTCTAGATATTTCACATAGAGATCCAAATTTCCGGTTTCTCTTTGAAATCAGAAGGTCTGACATCGGTAGGCCAAAATTCTCAGGTAGTAACAATTGGCTGGGGCCAAATGCAGCTGCCCCCTTTAATCCGTACCACTCATGTAAAGCTTACATCTTTTAACTTGACCTGCCTGACTACTGCATGCCTTTGCACTTGCATTTCAGCTTAAGACAACCTCTGCTCTCAAGGAACTCATAATCCAATAGGTGAGACGCATTTGCTAAACAGTTTACAATATATTGTCATAGGAACAAGTATAAACTTGCAAATTTCAAAATACAGCAGTCAACTGAAGGAACAGGAGTGCCCTGAATGGTAGAGGTGCTGACGGTGATATGTGTTGTCTAAAAAGTGGCTTTGAAAAAGAAAAGGAGAGGAACAGGGTTGTAAAGGAAATAGAATGTGCAAAGACACTGAAATGGGAAACAGCTTGTGTGTTTAGAAACTGTAAGGAGTTCAATTTTGGACAATACTGTAAAATGAGAAAGGGAGAAGTAGGCTGACACTAAATATAATACACATCCCTTATTTTGTATTTTACTCTGTAAGAGATAGGTAGCACTTAAAAGGTTTTCTGTCATTAAATTACAAATCTAGGTTGGGTACAGTGGCTCACATCTGGGAATCTCAGTGCTTTTGGGAGGCTTAGGTGGACAGATTGCTTGAGACTAGAGTTCGAGACCAGCCTGGGCTAGACCCTGTCACTAAAAAAAAACGAAAATATTAGCTGGGCATGGTGGCATGTGCCTGTGGTCTCAGGTGTTTGGAAGGCTGAGGCGAGATGATCGCTTGTGCCCAGAAGTTTGAGGTTGCTATTGCACTCCAGCTTGGGCGATAGAACGAGATCTTGTCTCTAAATAGATAGATAATTAAATAAAATTGCAAATTTAACTGCATATTTTTGGACCTTGTCTTTGAGAATGCAATGCTATACAATCCACAATATTCTATGAACTTTTTTTTTTTTCTCTTTGAGACAGGAGACAGGGTCTCACTCTGTCACCCAGGCTGGAGTGCAGTGGTGCAATGTCGGCTCACTGCAATCTTGACCTCTCAAGTTCAAGCAATTCTCTCACCTCAGCCTCTGGAGATTGGGTTTCACCATATTGGCCAGGCTGGTCTTGAACTCCTGACCTCAAGTGATCCACTCGCCTCGGCCTCCTAAAGTGTGGGGACTACAGGCGTTAGCCACCCTGCCGGCCTGTACTATCTTTCAATAGCAAATTGCCACTTCAAGAAGAAGAAACCCTGTCGTTATAAGGGGTAAAATATAGTTTTAAGATTGGTCTGCAAATGAAGTTTCCTTATCCGTAAAATGGGAATAACAATGGCACCTAACTCAGGGCTATTAAATTGAGAATTAAACTCACTAAACCCATGTAAAGGGCTTACCAAGATACCTGATACAGAGGATAAATGGTCACTTAATGAGTTATGATACCTATTGAGGCTTCCTTGTCTATGTACCCTTTATTTATTTATTTATTTATTTATTTATTTTTATTGATCATTCTTGGGTGTTTCTCGCAGAGGGGGATTTGGCAGGGTCATAGGACAATAGTGGAGGGAAGGTCAGCAGATAAACAAGTGAACAAAGGTCTCTGGTTTTCCTAGGCAGAGGACCCTGCGGCCTTCCGCAGTGTTTGTGTCCCTGGGTACCTGAGATTAGGGAGTGGTGATGACTCTTAACGAGCATGCTGCCTTCAAGCATCTGTTTAACAAAGCACATCTTGCACCGACCTTAATCCATTTAACCCTGAGTGGACACAGCACATGTTTCAGAGAGCACAGGGTTGGGGGTAAGGTCACAGATCAACAGGATCCCAAGGCAGAAGAAGTTTTCTTAGTACAGAACAAAATGACAAGTCTCCCATGTCTACTTCTTTCTACACAGACACGGCAACCATCCGATTTCTCAATCTTTTCCCCACCTTTCCCGCCTTTCTATTCCACAAAGCCGCCATTGTCATCCTGGCCCGTTCTCAATGAGCTGTTGGGCACACCTCCCAGACGGGGTGGTGGCCGGGCAGAGGGGCTCCTCACTTCCCAGTAGGGGCGGCCGGGCAGAGGCGCCCCTCACCTCCCGGGCGGGGCGGCTGGCCGGGCAGGGGGCTGACCCCCAACCTCCCTCCCAGAAGGGGCGGCTGGCCGGGCGGGGCGCTGACCCCCCCACCTCCCTCCCGGAAGGGGCGGCTGGCCGGGCGGGGCGCTGACCCCCCCACCTCCCTCCCGTCCGGGAGGCTGGCCTGGCGGGGGCTGACCCCCACCTCCCTCCCGGACGGGGTGGCTGCCGGGCGGAGACGCTCTTCACTTCCCAGACGGGGTGGCTGCCGGACGGAGGGGCTCCTCACTTCTCAGACGGGGCGGCTGCCGGGCGGAGGGGCTCCTCACTTCTCAGACGGGGCGGTTGCCGGGCAGAGGGTCTCCTCACTTCTCAGACGGGGTGGCCGGGCAGAGACGCTCCTCACCTCCCAGACGGGGTCGCGGCTGGGCAGAGGCGCTCCTCACATCCCAGACGGGGCGGCGGGGCAGAGGTGCTCCCCACATCCCAGACGATGGGCTGCCAGGCAGAGACGCTCCTCACTTCCTAGATGGGATGGCGGCCGGGCAGAGACGCTCCTCACTTTCCAGACTGGGCAGCCAGGTAGAGGGGCTCCTCACATCCCAGACGATGGGCGGCCAGGCAGAGACGCTCCTCACTTCCCAGACGGGGTGGCGGCCGGGCAGAGGCTGCAATCTCGGCTCTTTGGGAGGCCAAGGCAGGCGGCTGGGAGGTGGTTGTAGCGAGCCGAGATCACGCCACTGCACTCCAGCCTGGGCACCATTGAGCACTGAGTGAACGAGACTCCGTCTGCAATCCCGGCACCTCGGGAGGTCGGGGCTGGCGGATCATTCGCGGTTAGGAGCTGGAGACCAGCCCGGCCAACACAGCGAAACCGTCTCCACCAAAAAAATACGAAAACCAGTCAGGCGTGGCGGCACGCGCCTGCAATCGCAGGCACTCGGCAGGCTGAGGCAGGAGAATCAGGCAGGGAGGTTGCAGTGAGCCGAGATGGCAGCAGTACAGTCCAGCTTCGGCTCGGCATCAGTGGGAGACCGTGGAAAGAGAGGGAGAGGGAGACCGTGGAGAGGGCGAGGGCGAGGGCGAGGGCGAGGGAGAGGGAGAGGGAGCTATGTACCCTTTTTTTGAGAAAGTACATCTGGTTAAGTATGTATTTTTCATTGAAAACTAAAGTTAAATCAGGACTGATGGCATTTTCCGACTGCATTTGGTAAAAAATAAATGCCAAAAATATTAGATTGAAAATGCCAAGATAAAACTTCCTTACCTTCTGTATTGTAAAAGTTTCAAGAATAATTTAAAGATTTTTGCACAACACAGAAAGTGCAAGTTATCGTCTATAGTTAATAATTAAATAAAACAGTTTATTAATGGTAGGTAATAAAGGTGCTTAGTAAAACAGATGGTTCTCCAGTTCCCCAGGCTCAATGAGCAGGCAAAGATCCTTTTAGGCAAAAGACATTTTCACATCTAACAGTAACATCTCTGATGGTCAGGCAGGTCAAACAATCACTTGGCGGGAAATAGATAAATACAGACTAAATTCGCACAATCTGTTTCTGTTTAGTTTATAAACTGCGATCCAGAGTGTCAGCTTTCGTGCCTTGTGGGACTTGAAGTCCAGAAGGAAGAAGTGATCAGGGCTGCCGAGGGATGGAAGCGTGCAGCCCCTGCAGGTCTGAGACCTACGAACTACAACTCCCGGCAAGCATCGGAAGGCCGCGTCGTAATTGCGGGCAACCAATCGTACCAGAGCAGGGCAAGCCCCCGCCCTCTGGCTCGGTGGAAGGCCTCCGCCAATGGCAGAGCTCCCATCGCAGAGCCTGCGGGTTAGGTTGTGAGGCCCGGGCCGGGGGCGGGGAGGAGCCAAGGGGGCGAGCAAGCTCGGTGGCTGGGTGGGTTGGGGCGTTCCGCGCGCCCTTCATTGAAGCGGCGGTGGCCGGGCTGGGCGCCGGTAGTGGAAAGCGACGGCGCGGCTGGAAAATGCCAGTCCATTCCCGAGGGGATAAGAAGGAGACCAACCATCACGATGAGATGGAGGTGGACTACGCCGAAAATGAGGGGAGCAGCTCCGAGGACGAGGACACTGAGAGCTCGTCGGTCTCCGAGGATGGAGATAGCTCAGGTGCGCGACCCACTGCTGGGACCCTGAGTCCCCGCGCCCAGCGCGCGACAGGCCGCTCTCCGCACGCCAGGCGGCTGCGTCCTGCTGGGAAAGCGGGGCGGGGACAGAGGGAAGGGGCGGAGACTGGCTCTGGGCCCTGGGCTGCACCCTGACCGGTCGCTGGGCGCTGTCTGGCTCCTGATGGGTCCCGGCGGCGGGGCGGGGCGGGCCTGGGCTTGTCCAGCTCCCAAACGCGGCGTGGTCCTGCCCCCGGTGGTGCTCTGGAGCGACCAGCCCAGGCGGACAACTTCCCGCAGCAGACAAACTGGAAATGCCTCCTCTCCCCAGCCCACCGACCTCTTTCCCTATTTTCACCTTTGCAACCCTCACTTCTCAGCGCAAGTGAGTTGCCGGGACAGAGGGTCGGCTTAGTAATTAACCTCAGTTTGCAAGTCAACTTGCCGGTCAGCACTTTTACATCAGTGTCTTTTCGGGGGCTAACTTGAGAGCGGTCCCGTTCAGTAGCTCCCTGAAGTTTGCAAGACTGAGAGGAAGGGACCAACATTCGGGCTCATTTTGGATCTTCATATGCTTATAAATTGGCTGAGTTTTGGCAGCGTTGAAAATTCTCCAAGTCTTTTCTTCCCTTCAGTTTTTTCTAACTTTGGGCTGTTTTAAATTATTTTGGGTGGGGGAGGAGGGCAGATTAACACTACAAATAAATTTTGCAAACTTTTAGGAATGGTTATTCTAAAGTGAAATGGAATTTGTGATTACCGGGATTATTTTCTTTCGATTCAAATGATGGAGATGAGACTGACTTCTTTGTCTTGGCCTGATTTTGGTCATGTAAAGGAAGCATTGATGATAGGTTGATGACAGCCTAGTATCACCCAGATGCCCTCTTTTCATGTTTCCCTTGCAAAGCAAATCTCCATGGAAGGATATAATTTCAATCAGTAAATCAGCCATCCAAAAATATTTATGAGTGACTTCTTTGTGCAGCACTGGACAGTACTCAATATGAGGGATAAATAGTTATTATCTGGGCTCACTTAAAAAGCTATCATAAGTCACCACTTGATTAAATTGCCAAATGAATGCTTAACTAAATGTTGCTGTAGGAATTCAGAGGCAGAGGAAATCGTTTCAATATTGGGTGGTCACAAAGCCTAGCTGAAGAAGGTGGGATTACCTTAATTATCTTGAAGAATGAGTAGAATTTGGTTTGGGGTGGTGGGTATCCCTGCAGGGAGAGGGATGTAAGAAAAAGTACAAGGGCCAGAGTTTGGGGCTTATTCAAAAGAGCGTGAAAACCTTGGGAGAAGGAGTTGAGCTCGGAAAAGAACAGGAAAGTATAGATGTGAGTGATTTCAAAGAAAGCACAAAACAGGATTGATGAATGCAAGTTTAGGATTGAAGGTAAGAGAAAAACCAAGATACAAGGAGAGTGGCGGTAGCATCAACAGAAATAGAAAAGTGAAAGATTTGAGATGAAGGTGAAAGAAAAGAGTATTTCAGACATGTTGCTTTTTTTTTTCTTTTCTCTCTTTGAGATGGAGTCTCGCTCTGTTGCCCAGGCTGGAGTGTAATGGCGTGATCTTGGCTCACTGCAACCTCCGCCTCCTGGGTTCAAGCAATTCTCCTGCCTTAGCCTCCCGAGTAGCTGTGATTATAGGCGGGTGCCACCACACCAAGCTAATTTTTTGTATTTTTAGTAGAGACAGGGTTTCTCCATGTTGTCCAGGCTGGTCTCGAACTCCTGACCTCGTGATCCACCCACTTCAACCTCCCAATGTGCTGGGATTACAGGCATGAGCTACCATTCCCAGCCTTTTTTTTTTTTTTTTTTTGAGAAGGAGTTTTGCTCTTGGCACCCAGGCTGGAGTGCAATGGCATCATCTTGGCTCACTGCAACCTCCACCTCCAGGGTACAAGCAATTCTCCTGCCTCAGCCTCCCGAGTAGCTGGGATTACAGGCATGCGCCGCCACGCTCAGATAATTTTTGTGTTTCACCATGTTGGCCAGGATGGTCTTGAACTCCTGACCTCAGGTGATCTGCCTGCCTCGGCCTCCCCAAGTGTTAGGATTATAGGTGTGAGCCACCGTGCCTGGCCGACGTGTTGCTTTTGGAGTGATGGCAGTATGCTTAAGATTGCCCAACTGACAAATGGAAATGTGACATTGGAACCTGCCCGATATGGGAAGGGGAGAATAATTTGTAAGTCATCTGCCTTGCCATGAAAGTAGGTGAGATTTCAAAAGCGGGGAATATAGAGAAAGGAGACTGTATGGGAATATATTTCTTTTTTTTTTTTCTTTTTTTTGAGACAGTCTTGCTCTGTCACCCAGGCTGGAGTGCAGTGGCACGATCTTGGCTCGCTGCAACCTCTGCCTCCTGGATTAGATTCTCCAGCCTCAGCCTCCTGAGTAGCTGGGATTACAGGCATCCTCCAACACACCCGGCTAATTTTTGTGTTTTTAGTAGAGATGGGGTTTTGCCACGTTGGCCAGGCTGGTCTTGAACTCCTGACTTCAAGTGATCCACCCGACTCTGCCTCCCAAAGTGCTGGGATTACAGGCGGGAGCCACTGCACCTGGCCTGTTGGTGAATATGTTTCTTAGATCTATAAAGTATTTTGTCTTCAGATGTTCTTGCATTTATGATAGGAGCAAGGATCTCATAAAATTCTATTTGTTAAAATTCTCCCCCTATAATTTTTATGTTGACTCTTGTGATTTTTAACTTTTAAAAATTCCATCCCAAAAAATAATGAACAACTTAATTTTTGAAGAATGTGATAATAATTTGAACTACAAGTCAAAATTTTAAGTGCAAAGAAATTGTTTAAATAAATTTTGCAGTTTGCTTCTGTTAAAGCATCTCTGTTCTACCATATGTCTTTCATGTTAAACTTTCACAGTGTTTTCTTCTCAAATGTTGGTGCTGAGCAAATTCTAAGGCTACGGAAAAGCCTCTACTATCCAGAGAACTTGGATAGTGAGTCATCTTGAGGGACCAAGTTTTGAGTAGCCAAGAAGTAAGCAATCAAAAGCCAGAAGTATTTTTAATCTGTTTTAGAAAATGAGAAAAAAATGAGTCAGCCTTCCATGTTATATAAAAATAATTGAACATGATTTAACTCTTTCTCATAGTTTGACTTTTATTTGATGAAGATCAAGATGCAGATCATTTTGTGCTTCAGTTATTTTGATGAATGAATATATGTGATATGAACATAGAAAATGTGGACTATAGGACAGACCTGGTAATTAACAGTTGCTTTCCTTAAAAAGTTTGTATTTTCCTCCTCATTTGCCTCTTTCTCACTGATAGTAATATGGGTAGACGGAATAAGGGAACGTAGGAATGGCAGACCAGGAGAGCCTGTGGTAAACATAATAAGATTAGTTTTCCTTTTTCTTTTTCTTTTTTTTTCCTTTTTTTGAGATGGAGTTTCGCTCTTGTTGCCCAGGCTAGAGTGCAATGGCACGATCTTGGCTCACCACAACCTCCACCTCCTGGGTTCAAGCGATTCTCCTGCCTCAACCTCCCAGGTAGCTGGGATTACAGGCATGTGCCACCACGCCCAGCTAATTTTGTATTTTTAGTAGAGATGGGTTTTCTCCATGTTGGTCAGGCTGGTCTCGAACTCCTGACCTCAGGTGATCCGCCTGCCTCAGCCTCCCAAAGTGCTGGGATTACAGGAGTGAGCCACCATGCCTGGCCTTTCTTTCACTTTTTATTTTTGAGACAGGATCTCTGTTGCCCAGGCTGGCGCAATCTTGGCTCACTGCAACCTCTGCCTATCAAGTTCAAACGATCCTCCCACTTCGGTCTCTCGAGCAGTTGGGACTACAGGCATCCACCACTATGTCTGGCTAATTTTTGTATTTTTATTAGAGATGGGGTTTCACCATGTTGCCCAGGCTGGTCTTGAACGCTTGAGCTCGAGCAATCCTCCAGCCTCAGCCTCCCAAAGTGCTGGGATTACAGGCATGAGCCACCACACCCGGCCACTTTTCTTTTTTTATGTGACAGGCAAATCAGCCATGTGAGCAGTTCTGAAAGAAGAATCCCAAAAATGTTTTTGAGCAATGTTAGCCTTTAAAGGACACAGTCATTTTGGTGCTACATTCTGGTGAGTTGGTGGAAAACAAACCAAATGTGGGCTAATTACTTTATAGTTATAGCTTATAGTCAGTCCTTTAAAGTGATTTAAAAATGAATAAAAGTAAGAGGGTCTAGAGACCAGTATAGTTTTATATACTCATCTGTATTTTAGATTAAATCTATAGTGGATTTTTTTTTTTTTTTTTTTTAGACTAGGTCACTCTGTCACCCAGGGTGGAGTGCAGTGTCACAATCATGGCTTACTGCAGCCTCCAACTCCTGGGCTCAGGCGATCCTCCTGCCTCAGCCTCCTGGTAGGTGAGACTACAGGCTCATGGTACCGTGCCCAGCTAATATTTTTATATTTTGTAGAGATGGGGTCTTCCTCTGTTGCCCAGGCTGATCTTGAAGTCCTGGGCTCAATCTGTCCTCCTGACTTGGCCTTCCAAACTGCTGGAATTAGAGGCATGAGCCACTACGCCCAGCAGAAATTATTATTTTTGATAAATCTTGTTTATTTTCTTTTAAGGCTTAATATAGGTCTTCTCTTCATATTACAGTTTTTCTTCCTATTTGAATTACGTTCAGATATATTTGAGATGTTCAGATAAATTTGAAAATTAAGTTTATCTTTTATATTTGCCTTTTTATTAACAGAAATGGATGATGAAGACTGTGAAAGAAGAAGAATGGAATGTTTGGATGAAATGTCCAATCTTGAAAAACAGTTTACCGATCTCAAAGATCAGTAAGTAGTGACTTTAGAAGGCCATTGTCACTGAATCTCAACCTTGTCACTTGTATACTAGCACAAGAGCAACTAGATTCAGTCTCAGCTGTTTTGTATTTTATGCGACAGACCAATTTGAAAGAGGCTTCAACTATTGTTTGTCTACTAAAGACCTCATTAACTAAACTGAGGGTTTGGAGGCAGGGTTTTTTTGTGGGCTTGAACCCAGGAGTTGGAGACCAGCCTGGGCAACATCGGAAGACCTGGTCTCCATAAAATATTTAAAAATTAGCTGGATGTGGTGGTACGTGCCTGTGGTCCCAGCTACTTGGGAGGTTAAGGCAGGTGGATCAATTGAGCCCAGGAGGTCAAGGCTGCAAGTGAGCTGTGCTCGTGCCATTGCACTGCAGCCTGGGCGACAGAGTAAGACACTGTCTTAAAAAAAAAAAAAATTAGTTCTGTCCTGCAGGATTATTGCCAAAAATAAACACTGAGTTGTATCATACTCTAAAGGTATTGGTGACAGCTGGCAAATTAGAGTATTTGTAAGTGGCCTTATAAATAGGAGTAACAGGGACCTCCTGCCCCATTTTTGAGTTCCTTGTTCATTGAGCAACTAATTTTGTTATGGCTTCTTCATTTGTAGTTGAGACAAACTTAGTATGTCAGGTCATAAAAACATTGGTTTTACCTTCATTAGTCTACTTCCTCTTTGCTCTTTTAAAAAATTAAGTAGGCTGGGCCGGGCACGGTGGCTTACGCCTGTAATCCCAGCATTTTGGGAGGCTGAGGCGGGTGGATCACGTGGTCAGGAGATCGAGACCATCCTGGCTAACACGGTGAAACCCCGTCTCTACTAAAAAATACAAAAAAAAAAAAAAAAAAAATTAGCCGGGCGCCTGTAGTCCCAGCTACTCGGGAGGCTGAGGCAGGAGAATGGCGTGAACCCAGGAGGCGGAGCTTGAAGTGAGCGAGATTGCGCCACTGCACTCCAGCCTGGGTGACGGAGCGAGACTCCGTCTCAAAAAAAAAAAAAAATTAAGTAGGCTGAATACAGTAATACTGACTCCTTTTCAGGAACGGTAGAGAGAAGCCAAGTAATTATTTATTTTGACAACTGGTAATGTCTATTCAAAATGATTTCTTTGTTTCTTTTAAACTCAGTGTTTAAATGACCTTTTCTCTTAGAATTGGTTTTATTGTTCTGTGGTTAAAACAAAAACAAACATTAATAGTGCCAAAAAGTAGTTATTTCAATTTTATTTTTTTGTATTGGGAATTGACCATTAAAGAGTGATAGATAGATACCTGTTTTGTGATTATGTGCATAAAGTCAAATAATGTAACTGAGTTCTCTGCTTGAGATCAAGGCAAAATATATTTGATAGATTATTAGAATATAAATGATATTGGGAACAAATAATGTATAGAAATGGCAAATTGTTAGCCTTTGTTGAGATTTTTAAATTAACATATTAATTTTTGCTTTGTTAAGACTTTATAAAGAACGATTAAGTCAGGTGGATGCAAAACTACAAGAAGTCATAGCTGGAAAAGCACCAGAATACTTGGAACCGCTGGCAACTTTACAGGAAAATATGCAAATTCGTACAAAGGTAGCAGGTAGGAAAGTGAAGAATCTTTTCCATATATAGAATGTAAACTCTTCAGTAGCTTTAAAAGGTGTTTATCAAGTAAGTGTTTTATGTTGATGGGATTACAAGCATATTTACATCGACCAGAATATTTTACTTTTAGTTAGCCCACAGTTACTGTATTTATTGAATACCTCTTGCTTTGCTCTGCTGCTGTAGGGGATTAAAAAAAAAAAAAGCCCTCAAGTTGTTTACAGTGTTGTTGAGAAGATAGTTCCACATTTGGTGAAACAACTGGAAACCATGATACTTTCATTAAGAGAGACTGTTACTATCACATTTTAATTCCCTATTAGATAAAGTTTAAGTGTTCTAGGCATTTTTTTAATACGTAAAAGTGATAGGATTTTTTTTAATTTATAAAAAATTTTAAAAATGTTTGATCAGGATATTATAGAACAGGAAACTTGCCTTGAACTAGATGATTTAATTTTTCCTTTTTACTTTGATAAGTTTGGTTACTCATTTGTGGCTACAAATAAACAAAGATGCACTATATTTGTATGGTTACATTTCAGTCTTATGTTTGTAAATAGGATCCAGCCTCAGTATCATGTCCTGGCACTCATAATCAAGGGATATATATATGATTTTTCATAGTCAAAAACTAAACTTTAATTAGTGGAGATGCTGGTTGTTTTTCTCTTATGTGGCACTAATTGACCCTTATGTACCTGTTAGATAATACCTAAGGCATTGTTGATAATAAGTTCTTTTTACTAAACCCTCCTTTAACCAAATTTTATTTTTGAGTGCTTAATATTATGTAGATGATATGATACTCTTCACTGCTATCTTTACATATTGACAACATACCCTTAGAAGTAAAAATATCCCTAATTTTCTTTGTTCTTTTAGATTACATGGATGATCAGGAAATATTACTTGAGTCGATTATTTACTTTTCTACTCTGGCCTCTTTTATATTTTGATTTTGCAGAGTAGTGTGTGTGAATGTGTTGCTGATGACGTAGTTCCAGATATCTGTCTCTTGCCTTTACTATACAAAGAGAGATAATTACATTTCTAGGGCCAACTATGGCATAAAGCTTAGAATACATATCCAGAGCTCTTTGCGTGCCGTTTTTGTAGTGACATATTTGCATGGCCATGTTACCTATTTTATACTATTGTCCTGTTAGGGTCTAAGTTAAACTATCTTGGGTATCCATCCTCTAGATAAAGTCCTGTCAGGAGCACTCCAGACATAATTGATTTTGTTATATCAGTTTATATACATTTACTCCTCGTGGATTCTTTGGATTGAAAATGATAGTTAAAAAAAAAGTGGTTTTGGTGGGGTATAGTATCTAGCTGTTACTCTGAGTATATGTGATTGATGACACCAGAGTTTATTATCTCCATTTCTATTTTGAGAAACTTGAGAGATTGTTTTTCACAGGAAAAGAGTTTTATTTTCATTTTGATTATTCTGTATCAAACATTTAGGAGTAATCTTTAGAAGAATAGATTAAGAACAAAAACTAGCAGTACAGTTTCTTTCTAGCTCTTATAATTTCTAATCTTTTTGGATATATATTTTAAGTGAGCCTTTTATTTTTAGTCTTTAAAGACAAAGTTAGACTCACTTTTCAATTTTTTCTTGATCCATCTTATTAAATACAGTGAGGACAGAATTCCTGTAGGGAAGTGATAATGGAACTTCTCATTGCTAACATAATCAGAGTAATTGTGTTTGGTTGCAGGAATCTATAGAGAGCTCTGCTTAGAATCTGTAAAGAACAAATATGAATGTGAAATTCAAGCTTCTCGCCAGCATTGTGAGGTACTGTCATTTTGCATAACTTTTAAGCTAATTTCATCTCTTCAAGCCTTTTCTGAGTGTAGTAGTTAAAAAAGTAAACTAAGTAAAACAATATTAAATAGTACTTTAGCTCATCATTTGTGTGTGATTAAAAAAAAAAAAGAATAGAGTTGCATTGGAAGCTGTATTGGAGATAGGACACAAAGAAAGGACCATAGAAAAAAACTGAGATAATTTTAGAAGTTTTGCAGCTGTTACTTTAAAAAGACTTTGCAACGATTATGTCACCTGGCATTACTGAAAATATTAGTATAATTAGTATAATGTGGATTAGATTTGCGAAATATACACTCAATGGTGCAGTTAGGATGTTGGGCTATAGAATTAGTTTCTGTCTGTCTAGACCTATTTCCACATCTTTGGGCAGAATTCTCTATTTATGGGAAAAAAAATAGGTATATTTTTCTGTATATTCTGTTTATTTTGCATTTAACCCATTTATGCTGAAGGTTGCAATTTTTTTGTGTGTGTGAAAAATCAGATCTTGGTGATGACCTTGAGCAGTAGGATATAAATAACTCCCACAAGCTTAACATTCCAGTAATGGAACACTAGGCATAAATGGGTTAAAATATTTATAGCATTTAAAAAACATAGTGCCCAGGCATGGTGGCTCACACCTGTAATCCCAAGAGTTTAGGAGGCTGAGGCGAGAGGATTTCTTGAGCTCAGGAAGTCAAGACCAGTCTGGGCAACATAGTGAGACCCCCCACCTCTACAAAAAATAGAAAAATTAGCTGGGCATGGTGGCAGGTGGCTGTAGTCCTAGCTACTCAGGAGGCTGAGGTGAGGGGATTGCTTGACCTTCGGAGGTTGAGGCTGCAGTGAGCTGTGATTGTGCCACTGTTCTGCAGCCTGGGTAACAGAGTGTCACCCTGTCTCAGAAATAGCAACTACAACAACAACAAACAAAAAAACCCCATAGTGCCCGTTTTGCAGATAACTTTTTATCAAATCTAGACAAGATTATAGATATACAGGTAGAAATAAGAGGACAAGTTCTATAACGATTCTTCTGTCACTTTAATGTGCCGTAAACTAAGAGTAGTTAGGTATAAAAATGATAGAGCTCATTGTTTCATTTTCATAATTACAACTGAGATTGATTATCTTTTTGGCGTTTACTAGCTGCTTGGATATTTTTTCCTAAGAAGTGCCTATTTGTATTTCTTGCCTTTGTGTTGGCTTTTAGTCTTTCCCTCATTGACTATATAAGTTCTTTATATATTCTGGCTATAAATGCTTTGCTGGTTGTATGCTTTGCAAATCTTTTTGCCCAGGTGGTACGATGTTTTCACTCTTTCTGATGACTTGCTGCAAAGAAGTTTTACATTTTAATGTAGTTGAATTTATTATCTTTTTATTTATGGGATGTGTTTTGTTTTCTTTTGTTTTGAGACAGGGTGTCACTCTGTCACCCAGGCTGGAGTGCAGTGGCATGATCATGGCTCACTGCAGCCTCTACTCCCCTGGCCTCAAGCCATCCTCCTGCCTCAGCCTCCTGAGTAGCTGGGACTACAGATGCATGCCATCACACCCAGCTAATTTTTAAAATTTTTTGTAGAGAAGCGGTTCCACTATGTTGCCCAGGCTGGTCTCAAACACCTGGGCTCAAGCAGTCCTCCTGCCTTGGCCTCCTGAAGTGTTGAGATTACAGGTGTGAGCCAAGGATGTGCTTTTTGTGTCTTCCTATTTTGAGGTAAAAAGATGTATTTTCCTTTAAAAGTTGAAATTTTGCTTTCAATATTTAGATTGCAAAACTACCTTTAATTAGTTTTTGTGTATGGTATAAAGTATGGTTCTAGGCTGGGTGTGGTGGCTCATGCCTGTAATCCCAGCACTTTAGGAGGCCGAGGCGGGCAGATCACCTGATGGCCATTTTCACGATATCGATTCTTCCTATCCATGAGCATGGAATGTTTTTCCATTTGTTTGTGTCCTCTCTTATTTCCTTGAGCAGTGGTTTGTAGTTCTCCTTGAAGAGGTCCTTCATATCCCTTGTAAGTTGTATTCCTAGGTATTTTAATCTCTTTGTAGCAATTGTAAATGGGAGTTCACTCATGATTTGGCTATCTGTTTGTCAGGAGTTCAAGACCAGCCTGACCAATATGATGAAACCCTGTTTCTACTAAAAATACAAAAATTAGCTGGGTGTGGTGGCATGCGCCTGTAATCCCAGGTACTTGGGAGTCTGAGACAGGAGAATTGCTTGAACCCAGGAGGCGGGGGTTGCAGTGAGCTGAGATCGTGCCATTGCACTCCAGCCTGGGCAACAAGAGCAAAACTCCGGCTCAAAAAAAAAAAGAAAAAGTATGGTTCTAATTTTATTTTTTTGTGTATATGGATAGGTAATGTCAACACTATTTATTACATACACCCTTGTTTCCCCAGAACTCAGCAATTTTCTCTCTTTTGTATATCAAATGCCCATATATGAGCTGGCCTGTTAATAACCTTTTTCATTTATTCCATATGTTTCATTTGTTCTGTTTGGCTATTTCTGCACCAGTATCATAGTATCTTTTTCTATTGCTTTTAGTCTAGTAAGTCTTGATAACTCTGTGACTTGATACTCTTACTTTGCTCTTTTTCTTCTTCTTTTTTTTGAGGCAAGTTCTTACTCAGTTGTCCAGGCTGGAGTGCAGTGGTGTGATCCTGGCTCACTGCATCCTCTGCCTCCCGAGTTCAAGCGATTCTCCTGCCTCAGCCTCCCAAGCAGCTGGGACTAGGCATGTGCCACCATGCCTGGGTAATTTTCTTTTTTGTATTTTTAGTAGAGACGAGGTTTCACCATGTTGGCCAAGCTGCTGTCGAACTCCTGACCTCAGGTGATCCGCCTGCCTTGACCTAAAATGCTGGGATTACAGGCTTGAGCCACCATGTCTGGCCCCAATTTTAATTTAAAAAAATTACTTTTTAAAAAAATTATACTTCAAGTTCTAGGATACGTGTGCAGAATGTGCAGGTTTGTTACATAGGTATACATGTGCCATGGTGGTTTGCTGCATCCATCAACCCATCATCTACATTAGGTATTTCTCCTAATGCTATTCCTCCCCTAGCCCTCCACCCTCCCACAGGCCTCGGTGTGTGATGTTCCCCTCCCCGTGTCCATGTGTTCTCATTGTTCAACTCCCACTTATGAGTGAGAACACGCGGTGTTTTGTTTTCTGTTTCTGTGTTAGTTTGCTGAGTATGATGGTTTCCAGCTTCATCCATGTCCCTGCAAAGGACATGAACTCATCCTTTTCTATGGCTGCATAGTATTCCATGGTGTATATGTGCCACATTTTCTTTATCCAGTCTTTCATTGATAGACATTTGGGTTGGTTCCAAGTCTTTGTTATTGTGAACAGTGCCACAATAAACATACATGTGCATGTGTCTTTATAGTAGAATGATTTATAATCCTTTGGGTGTATACCCAGTATTGGGATTCCTGGGTCAAGTGGTATTTCTGGTTCTAGATGCTTGAGGAATTGCCATACTGTCTTCTACAATGTTTGAACTAATTTATACTCCCACCAACAGTGTAAAAGCTTTCCTATTTCTCCACATCCTCTCCAGCATCTGTTGTTTCCTGACTTTTTAATGATCACCATTCTAACTGGCGTGAGATGGTATCTCATTGTGGTTTTGATTTGCATGTCTCTAATGACCAGTGATGATGAGCTTTTTTTCATATGTTTGTTGGCTGCATAAATGTCTTCTTTTGAGAAGTGTCTGTTCATATCCTTTGCCCACTTTTTGATGGGGTTGTTTTTTTCTTGTAAATTTGTTTAAGTTGCTTGTAGATTCTGGATATTAGCCCTTTGTCAGATGGATAGATTGCAAAAATTTTCTCCCATTCTGTAGGTTGCCTGTTCACTCTGATGATAGTTTCTTTTGCTCTGCAGAAGCTCTTTAGTTTAATTAGATCCCATTTGTCAATTTTGGCTTTTGTTGCCATTGCTTTTGGTGTTTTCATCATGAAGTCTTTGCCCATGCCTATGTCCTGAATGGTATTTCCTAGGTTTTCTTCTAGGGTTTTTATGGTTTTAGGTCTTATGTTTAAGTCTTTAATCCATCTTGAGTTAATTTTTGTATAAGGTATAAGGAAGGGGTCCAGTTTCAGTTTTCTGCATATGGCTAGCCTGTTTTCCCAACACCATTTATTAAATAGGGAATCCTTTCCCCAATGCTTGTTTTTGTCAGGTTTGTCGAAGATCAGATGGTTGTAGGTGTGTGGCATTATTTCTGAGGCCTCTATTCTGTTCCATTGGCCTATATGTCTGTTTTGGTACCAGTACCATGCTGTTCTGGTTACTGTAGGCTTGTAATATAGTTTGAAGTCAGGTAGGATGATGCTTCCAGCTTTGTTCTTTTTGCTTAGGATTGTCTTGGCTATATGGGCTCTTTTTTGGTTCCGTATGAAATTTAAAGTATTTTTTTCTAACTCTTTGAAGAAAGTCAATGGTAGCTTGATCAGAATAGCATTGAATCTTTAAATTACTTTGGACACAATGGCCATTTTCACGATACTGATTCTTCCTATCCATGAACATGGAATGTTTTTCCATTTGTTTGTGTCCTCTCTTATTTCCTTGAGCAGTGGTTTGTAGTTCTCCTTTAAGAGGTCCTTCACATCCCTTACAAGTTAGATTCCTAGGTATTTTATTCTCTTTGTAGCAATTGTGAATGGGAGTTCACTCATGATTTGGGTCTCTGTTTGTCTATTATTGGTGTATAGGAATGCTTGTGATTTTTGCACATTGATTTTGTATCCTGAGACTTTCCTGAAGTTGCTTATCAGCTTAAGGAGATTTTGGGCTGAGACGATGGGGTTATCTAAATATACAATCGTGTCATCTGCAAACAGACAATTTGACTTCCCCTCTTCCTATTTGAATACCCTTTATTTCTTTCTCTTGCCGGATTGCCCTGGCCAGAACTTCCAATACTATGTCGAATACGAGTGGTGAGAGAGGACATCCTTGTCTTGTGCCGGTTTTCAAAGGGATTGCTTCCAGCTTTTGCCCATTCAGTATGATATTTGCTGTGGGTTTGTCATAAATAGCTCTTATTATTTTGAGATACATTCCATCAATACCTAGTTCATTGAGAGTTTTTAGCATGAAGTGGTGTTGAATTTTATCGAAGACATTTTCTGCATCTATTGAGATAATCATGTGGTTTTTGTCATTGGTCCTGTTTATGTGATGGATTACGTTTATTGATTTGTGTATGTTGAACCAGCCTTGCTTCCCAGGTATGAAGCCGACTTGATTATGGTGGATAAGCTTTTTGATGTGCTGCTGGATTCGGTTTGCCAGTATTTTATTGAGGATTTTCATATCGATGTTTATCAGGGATATTGCCCTGAAATTTTCTTTTTTGTTGTGTCTCTGCCAAATTTTGGTATCAGGATGATACTGGCCTCATAAAATGAGTTAGGGAGGATTCCCTCTTTTTCTATTGTTTAGAATAGTTTCAGAAGGAATGCTACCAGCTCCTCTTTGTACCTCTAGTAGAATTCGGCTGTGAATCCATCTGGTCCTGGGCTTTTTTTGGTTGGTAGGCTATTAATTAGTGCATCAGTTTCAGAACTTGTTATTGGTCTATTCAGGGATTCGACTTCTTCTTGATTTAGTGTTGGGAAGGTGTGTGTGTTCCGGAATTTATCCATTTCTTCTAGATTTTCTAGTTTATTTGCATAGAGATGTTTATAGTATTCTCTGATGGTAGTTTGTATTTCTGTGGGATCAGTGGTGATATCCCCTTTATAATTTTTTGTTCTATTTGATCCTTCTCTCTTTTCTTCTTTATTAGTCTGGCTAGTGGTCTATCTAAAACCAGCTCCTGGATTCATTGATTTTTTTTGAAGGGTTTTTTTGAGTCTCTTTCTCCTTCAGTTCTGCTCCAATCTTTGTTATTTCTTGTCTTCTGCTAGTTTTTTGAATTTGTTTGCTCTTGCTTCTCTAGTTCTTTTAATTGTGATGTTAGGGTGTCGATTTTAGCTCTTACCCGTTTTCTCCTGTGGGCATTCAGTGCTATAATTTTCCCTCTAAACACTGCTTTAGCTGTGTCCCAGAGATTCTGGTATGTTGTGTCTTTGTTCTCACTGGTTTCAAATAACTTATTTATTTCTGCCTTAATTTAGTGATTTACCCAGTAGTCATTCAGGAGCCGGTTGTACAGTTTCCATGTAGTTGTGCAGTTTTGAGTGAGTTTCTTAATCCTGAGTTCTAATTTAGCTGCACTGTGGTCTGAGAGACTATTATGATTTCTGTTTGGCATTTGCTGAGGAGTGTTTTACTTCCAATTATGTGGTCAATTTTATTTTTTATTTATTTTTTTAAATTTTATGTTATTTTATTTTATTTTTTTTTGAGATGGAGTCTTGCTCTGTCCCCCAGGCGCAATCTCGGCTCACTGCAAGCTCTGCCTCCTGGGTTCACGCCATTCTCCTGCCTCAGCCTCCCGAGTAGCTGGGACTACAGGTGCCTGCCACCACGCCAGCTAATCTTTTGTATTTTTAGTAGAGATGGGGTTTCACTGTGTTAGCCAGGATGGTCTCGATCTCCTGACCTCGTGATCTGCCCGCCTTGGCCTCCCAAACTGCTGGGATTACAGGCGTAAGCCACCGTGCCTGGGCTATGTGGTCAATTTTATAATAAGTATGATGTAGTGCTGAGAAGAACATACATCCTGTTGATTTGGGGTGGAGAGTTCTGTAGATGTCTGTTAGGTCTCCTTGGTCCAGAGCTGAGTTCAAGTCCTGAATATCCTTGTTAATTTTCTGTCTCATTGATCTGTCTAATATTGACAGTGGGATGTTAAAGTCTCTCACTATTACTGTGTGGGAGTCTCTTTGTAGGTCTCTAAGAGCTTCCTTTATGAATCTGCATGCTCCTGTATTGGTTGCATATATATTTAGGATAGTTAGTTTCTCTGGTTGCATTGATCTGTTTACCATTATGTAATGCCCTTCTTTGTCTTTTTTGATCTTTGTTGGTTTAAAGTCTGTTTTATCAGAGACTAGGATTGCAATCTCTGCTTTTTTTTTTTTTTTTTTGCTTTCCATTTGCTTGGTAAATATTCCTCCATCCCTTTATTTTGAGCTTATGTGTTTCTTTGCACGTGAGATGCGTCTCCTGAATACAGCATGCTGATGGGTCTTGACTATCCAGTTTGCCTGTCTGTGTCTTTTAATTGGGGCATTTAGCCCGTTTACATTTAAGGTTAATATTGTTATGTGTGAATTTGATCCTGTCATTATGATGCTGTCTGGTTATTTTGCCTGTTAGTTGATGCAGTTTCTTCATAGCGTTGATGGTCTTTACAATTTGGTATGTTTTTGCAGTGGCTGGTACCAGTTTTTCCTTTTCATATTTAGTGCTTCCTTCAGGAGCTCTTGTAAGGCAGGCCTAGTGGTGACAAAATCTCTCAGCATATGCTTGTCCATAAAGGATTTTATTTCTCCTTTGCTTATGGAGCTTAGTTTGGCTGGGTATGAAATTCTGGGTTGAAAATTCTTTTCTTTAAGAATATTGAATATTGGCCTCCACTCTATTCTGGCCTTTAGGGTTTCTGCAGAGAGATCCGCTGTTAGTCTGATGGGCTTCCCTTTGTGGGTAATCTGACCTTTCTCTCTGGCTGCCCTTAACATTTTTTCCTTCATTTCAACATTGGTGAATCTGATGATTATGTGTCTTGGGGTTGCTCTTCTCGAGGAGTATCTCTGTGGTGTTCTCTGTATTTCCTGAATTTGAATTTTGGCCTATCTTGCCAGGTTGGGGAAGTGCTCCTGGATAATATCCTGAAGAGTTTTTTCCACCTTGGTTCCATTCTCCCTGTCACTTTCAGGTATGCCAGTCAAACGTAGGTTTGGTCTTTTCACATAGTCCCATATTCCTTGGAGGGTTTGTTTGTTGCTCTTAATTCTTTTCTCTCTAATCTTGTCTTCATATTTTATTTCATTAAGTTGATCTTCAATCTCTGATATCCTTTCTCCTCTTTATCAATTCAGCTGTTGATACTTGTGGATGCTTCATGAAGTTCTCATGCTGTGTTTTTCAGCTCCATCAGGACATTTATGTTCTTCCCTTAACTAGTTATTCCAGTTAGCAGTTCCTGTAGCCTTTTATCAAGGTTCTTAGCTTCCTTGCATTGGGTTAGAACATGCTCCTTTAGCTTGGACGAGTTAGTTATTACCCACCTACTGAAGCCTACTTCTGCCAATTCGTCAAGCTCATTCTCTGTCCAGTTTTGTTCCCTTGCTGGTGAGGAGTTGTGATCCTTTGGAGGAGAAGAGGCGTTCTGGTTTTTGGAATTTTCAGCCTTTTTGCACTGGTTTTTCCTCATCTTCATGGGTTTATCTACCTTTGGTCTTTGATGTTGGTGACCTTTGGATGGGGTTTCTCTGTGGAGGTCCTTTTTGTTGATGTTGATGCTATTCCTTTCTGTTCGTTAGTTTTCCTTGTTAACAGTCAGGCCCCTCTGCTGCAGGTCTGCTGGAGTTTGCTGGAGGTCCACTCTAAACCCTGTTTGCCTGGTTATCACCAGTGGAGGCTGCAAAACAGCAAAGATTGCTGCCTGTTCCTTCCTCTGGAAGCTTCGTCCCAGAGGGGCACCTGCCAGATGCCAGCTGGAGCTCTCCTGTATGAGGTGTCTGTCCACCCCGGCTGGGAGGTGTCTCCCAGTCTGGAGGCACAGGGGTCAGGGACCCACTTGAGGAGGCAGTCTGTCCCTTAGCAGAGCTTGAGCGCTGTGCTGGGGGAAGATCTGCTGCTCTCTTTAGAGCTGGCAGGCAGGAATATTTATGTTTGCTGAAGCTGCGCCCATAGCCACGCCTTCCCCCAGGTGCTCTGTCCTAGGGAGATGGGAGTTTTATCTATAAGCCCCTGACTGGGGCTGCTGCCTTTCTTTCAGAGATGCCCTGCCCAGAGAGGAGGAATCTAGAGAGGCAGTCTGGCTACAATGGCTTTGTGGCACTGCCGTGGGCTCTGCCCAGTTGCAACTTCCTGGTGGCTTTGTTTACACTGTGAGGGGAAAACTGCCTACTCAAGTCTCAGTAATGGTGGACGCCCCTCCCCTCACCAAGCTCAAGTGTCCCAGGTCAACTTCAGACTGCTGTGCTGGCAGTGAGAATTTCAAGCCATTGGATCTTAGCTTGCTGGGCTTCATGGGGTTGGCATCTGCTGAGCAAGACCACTTGGCTCCATGGCTTCAGCCTCTTTTCGAGGGAAGTAAATGGTTCTTTCTCGCTGGTGTTCCAGGTACCACTGGGGTATGAAAAAAAGCTCCTACAGCTAGCCCGGTGTCTGCCCAAAAGGCTGCTCAGTTTTGTGCTTGAAACCCAGGGCCCTGGTGACGTAGGAACCCGAGGGAATCTCCTGGTCTGTGGGTTGTGAAGACCATGGGGAAAGCGTAGTATCAGGGGCAGAATGCACCATTCCTCACGGCGTGGTCCCTCATGGCTCCCCTTGGCTAGGGGAGGGAGTTTCCCAACACCTTATGCTTCCCAGGTGAGGTGATGCCCTACCCTGCTTTGGCTCGCCCTCTGTGGGCTGTACCCACTGTTTAACCAGTCTCAGTGAGATGAACCGGGTACCCTAGTTGGAAATGCAGAAATCACCCGCCTTCTGCGTTGATCTTGCTGGGAGCTGCCGACCCGAGCTGTTCCTATTTGGCCATCTTGCCAGCCACTGCCAAAAAATTACTTTCATGTGGTGATGCGCGCCTGTAGTTCTAGCTGCTTGAGTTGCTGAGGTGGGAAGATTGCTGAGTCCAAGAGTTCAAGACCAGCCTGGGCAACATAGCAAGACCCCATCACTAAAAAAATTACTTTTTATTTTTTGCTGCTATATCAAAAATAATTTTGTATATTGATATCATATCCAGCCAGCCACCTTACATACCTCTCTTTTTTAATTAATTAATTTTTTTTAAACTTTAGAGACATGGTCTCACTGTATCGCCCAGGCTGGAGTGCAGTGGCCTGATTATAGCTCACTGCAGCCTTGAACTCCTCTGCTTAAATGATCCTCCCACCTCAGGCTCGTAAGTAGTTAGGACTATAGGCATATGCCACCACACCTGGCTAAATAAAAATTTTTTTTTGTAGAGATGGGATCTCACATATTGCCCAGGGTGGACCTCTGTTCTTAATTCTAATAATTTGCATGCAGATTTTCTTATTTTCCATGTAGATAATAATGTCATTTGTGAATAATAGCAGTTTGTTTCTTTTATTCTCATCTTCCTCTTATTTGTTTTACTTGTTTTAATGGCACTGATAGGACCTCCAATACAAAGTGAAATGGAAGCAGTGAAAGCAATCATCGTTGTTATATTCTTGCTCTTAAGGGAATGCTTCTAACATTTTTCCAACAAGTATGATATTTTCTTTTGAGTTTTGGTAAATGCTTTTTGTCAAGTTAAGGAAATTTCCTCTTCTTTTTTTCTCAGAATTTTTACCAATAGTTAAATTTTAAATGCTTTGTCTGCATCTATTGAATTAGTCGTGGTTTTATTCTCATGATCTATTGCTGTGGTGACTTAGGTTGTTAATGGATTTCCTAATGTTAAACTATTCTTGGATTCCAGGAATGATTCTTTTTCTTCTGTGTTTGCAAGTGAGATTTAATTGTCAATTCTCATACTGTCTTTTATTTGATTACAAGATTCATAAACTGAGTTAAGAATATTCTGTATTTTTCTCTTCCATAGAAGTATATATTTAAGAGTGCAGTAGTTCCGTGAGTGTTTTGTACATCTTGTCTTTGTGATATACACATACACACACACACATTTTTTAGAATTGGGGGGTTTTACTGGGTTGCCCAGGCTGGAGTGCAGTGGCTGTTCACCAGCGTGATCATAGTGCACTGCAGCCTTGAATTCCTGGCCTCAAGCAGTCCTCCCATCTCAACCTCCCGAGTAGCTGGGACTATGCCACTGCACCTGGCTATGATATGGATTTTTAATAGTGTCATACTCAATAAGTTGTAAGAAAGTAGATAGAACTCATTTTGGTGAATTATTTGAGAGTGAGTTTACAGCATGATGCACTTTTACCCCTGAGTCCTTTAATGTATATTAGAAACAAATGAGGAACATTCTTTTACATAACCAAAGTATAGTCATCAAAGTCAGGAAATGCGTTGGGTGCAGTGGCTCATGCCTGTAGTCCCAGCGCTTTGGGAGCCTGAGGTGGGAGGACTGCTTGAGCTCAGGAGTTTGAGACTAGCCTGGGTAACAAAGCAAGACTCTGTCAAAACAAAACAAAACAAAACAAAAACAAAAAAACTGGGCATGGTGGCACACACCTGTAGTCCCAGCTACTCGGGAGGCTGAGGCAGAGGATTGCTTGAGACCAGGATGTTGAGGCTGCAGTGAGCCATGATCGTGCCACCACACCCTAGCCTTGGTGACAGAGTGAGATCCTGTCTAAAAAAAAAAAAAAAGAAAAAAAAATCAGACCACATGTTGTCATTGTCACTGCATTTAGTTTTCATGTCTTTTTAGTCTCCTTCAGTGTGAAACAATTCTTTAGTCTTTTCTAAACTTTCATGATCTTTACATTTTTGAAAATTTCAGGCCAGTTATTTTGTAGAATGTTCCTCAGTTTTGAGTTGGTCTGCTATTTCTTCATGATTAGAATCAGGTTTTGCAACTGGCAGAAAAATCCCAGCAGTGATGCTGTGTTCTTCTCATTTAATTCTGTCAAGCAGTACACAGTTTTGATATGTACTATTATTGGTGATATCCACTTTGATCACTTGATTTAAGTGATGTCTTCCAGTTTCCCCAGGTAAACTTACTTTTTTCCCATTGTGATAAATATTTTGAGGAGAAGGACTTTGAAACTATGCAAATACGTTGTTCCTCATAACACATTCAATTAATTTATATAAATATGGACTCCTTTTTTAAACTCATTTTTTGGTCTACTTTATCTTTCCCTTACTGAGGGAAACATGTCAGAATTTCTGTGATGGTGGATTTGTTTATATTGCTGTTTTTTTAAAAAAAAACACAAAAAAATAAAACGCAGGGTCTCCCTTTGTTGCCTAGGCTGGAGTGCAGTGGCGTGATCATAGCTCACTGCAACATCTGCCTCCTGAGTTCAAGCGATCTTCCCACCTCAGCATCTCCAGTAGCTGGGACTGCAGCCATGTGTCACCAGCCTGGCTACTTTTTATATTTATTTTTTTGTAGAGATGGGGTTTTGCCATGTTGCTCTGGCTGGTCTCGAACTCCTGGGCTCAAGCGATCTGCCACCTTGGCCTCCCAAAGTCCTCAAATTACAGGCTGAAGCCACTGCACCTGGCCATCTCTTTGTATTTTTATTTCAGTTCTTTTTCTTCTTTCTTTTTTTAGAAACAGGGTCTCTGTCATCCAGGCTTGAGTGCAGTGGCATGACCTAGCTCACTGAAGCCACAAACTCGAGCTCAAATGATCCTGCACCTCAGTCTCCCAAGTACCTGGGACTATAGGTGTGTGCCACTGTGCCCAGCTAATTTTTAAAAATATTTTGTAGAGATAGAGTCTCACTTTGTTGCCCAGGCTGAGTTTCCTTCTTTATTTCCTAAAAAGTCCAACGTATCATTCTCTTCAAAATAGTAAAGTCATTCACCATTTGAGATTTGGAGGCCAAAGGTACTAATGATGAGGTGCAATACAGTTAGCTATAGGCACAATGTTGTATGGCAGATCTCTGGAACTTAATCATCTGGCATACTGAAACTTTATACCTGTTGAATAGCAACTCCCCATTTCCCCCTCCGCCACACCTGGCAACCACCATTGTATTCTCTGCTTCTGTGTGTCTGACTAGTTTATATACCTCACACAAGTGGTATCATCCACTATTTTCCTCCGTGACTGGCTTATCTCACTTAGCATGATGTCAATATGCTGCTGATAATGATAGGATTTCCTTCTATTCTAAGGCTGAATAATATTCTATTGTATGTATTGACTACATTTTCTTTTCCCCATTCATCTGTCTGTGGGTATTTAGGTTGTTTCCACATCTTTGCTGTTATAAATGGTGCTGCAATGAATGTGGGAGTACAAATATTTCTTTGAGATCCCGATTTCAATTCTTTAGGTTTAATACCCAGAAGTGGGATTGCTGGATCATATGATATTTTTTTCAGGATGCTCCAGACTGTTTTCTTTTTAAAAAAGCAATTAATTTTAAATTGACAAATGTTAAAATTGTATATACTTAAGGTGTATAGCATGATGTTTTGATATATGTATATGTTGTGGAATGATTAAGTCGAGTTAATTAACATATCCGTCACCTCACGTACCATTTGTTTTGTGATGAGAACATTTAGAACCTACTCTCTTAGCAAGTTTCCAGTATACAATACATTATTATTATTATTAGTTTTTTTTATTTTTAGAGATGGGAGTCTTTCTCTGTTGCTATGTGAGTCTTTCTGTGTTGCTCAGGCTGGCCTTGAACTCTTGGCCTTAAGTGAGCCCATTGCCTCAGCCTTCCAAG
The DNA here is from genome assembly GCF_000001405.40 of Homo sapiens. Lineage (NCBI taxonomy): Eukaryota > Metazoa > Chordata > Mammalia > Primates > Hominidae > Homo > Homo sapiens. The sequence goes on from NC_000014.9 coordinate 35,848,464, forward strand.
TAGCTGGGACTACAGGTGTGCACCACTGCATCTGGCTACAATACGTTATTATTACCTTTCATAATATTATCCTGCACAGTAGATCTCCAGAGCTTATTCCCCCTGTCTAACTGAAATTTTGTACCCTTTGGTGAACATTTCCCATACCCTGCCCCACTGCCCACTCCCACATTTCCTGGTAACCACCATTCTACTCTTCTATGAGTTTGATTTTTTTTAGATCCTACATGTAAATGAGATCATATTTATCTTTCTATGCCTGACTTATTTAATGTTAGTAATGTCCTCTAGGTTCATTCATGTTGTCGCAAGTGACAGGATTTCCTTCTGTTTTAAGGCTGAATAGCATTCTGTTGTGTGTATATATATCAATTTTCTTTATCCATTCATCCATTGATGGACACTTAACATTTCATCAATGGATGAACTTCCATATCTTGGAGGTGAATAATGCTGTAGTGAACATGGGAGTGCAGATATCTTTGACGTACTGTTTCATTTCCTTTGGATATATACCTAGAAGTGGAATTGCTGGAAATTGTATTTTTTTTTCTTTTTCTTTTTCAATTTTTTATAGAGACAGAATCTCACTGTGTTGCCCAGGCTGGTCTCAACTCCTGGGCTCAAGTGATCCTCCCACCTTGGCCTCCCAAAGTGCTGGGATTACAGGCATGAGCCACTGTACCCTGGCCTGTAGTTGTATTTTTAAATTTTTGAAACCTCTGTACTGTTTTCCATAATGGCTGTACTAGTTTAAGTTCCCAACAGTGAACAAGGGCTCCTTTTTCTGCACATTCCTGCTACCAACACTTGTTATCTTTTGTCTTTTTGTTTGTTTGTTTTTGAGACAGTCTTGTTCTGTTGCCTAGGCTGGAGGGCAGTGACACGATCATAGCTTACTGCAGCCTCAAACTCCCAGGCTCAAGCAGCTCTCTCACCTCAGCCTCCCAAGTAGGTAGGACTATAGGCATGTGCCACCATACCTGGCTAGTTTTATTTTATTTTATTTTATTTTTGTGGAGATGGGGTCATGCTGTGTTGCCCAGGCTGGTCTCAAACTCCTGGCCTCAAGTGATCCTCCCAGCTTGGTCTCTCAAAATGTAGAAATTACAGGCATGAACCACTGCACCCAGCTTGTTACCTGTCTTTTTGATAATGGCCATTCTAACGGGTGTGGGATGATAAATCATTGTTGTTTTGATTTGCATTTCCCTGATGATTAATGATATTGAGCATCTTTTCATATACCTGTTGTCCACTGTATGTTTTTGGGGGAATGTCTATTCAAGTCTTTTGCCCATTTTAAAATCTGATCATTTGGGCTTTTGCTACGGAGTTGAATATTTTCTTTCTGTCTTTCTTTTTTTTTTTGTTGACACAGAGTGTCGTTCTGTCACCCAGGCTGGAGTGCAGTGGTGTGATCTCGGCTCACTGCAACTTCTGTCTCCCGGGATCAAGCGATTCTCGTGCCCCAGCCTCCCCAGTAGCTGGGGCTACAGGCATGTGCCACCAGGCCTGGCTAATATTTTTTGTATTTCTAGTAGAGACGGGGTTTCACCGTGTTGGCCAGGCTGGTCTTGAACTCCGATCTCAAGTGATCCACCCGCCTCGGCCTCCCAAAGTTCTGAGATTACAGGCGTGAGCCACTGTGCCCGGCTGAAGAATTTCTTATATATTTTGGATATTATTGCCTTTTCAGATATATGGTTTGCAAATATATTCTCCCATTTAGTAGGTTGCCTTTTCTTTTTTTTTTTTTTTGAGATGGAGTTTCGCTCTTGTTGCCCAAGCTGGAGTGCAATGGTGTGATCTCGGCTCACCCCAACCTCTGTCTCCTGGGTTCAAGCGATTCCCCTGCCTCAGCCTCCTGAGTAGCTGGGATTACAGGCATGCACCACCATGCCTGGCTAATTTTGTATTTTTAGTAGACATGGCATTTCTCCATGTTGTTCAAGCTGGTCTTGAATTCCGATCCACCTGCCTCAGCCTCCCAAACTGCTGGGATTACAGGCGTGAGCCACTGTGCCCGGCCTTCAGTAGGTTGCCTTTTCACTCTGTTGTTTTCATTGCTGTGCAGAAACTTTTTAGTTTTGGTAGTCTCACTTGTCTATTTTTGCTTTTGTTGACGTGCTTTTTGTGTCATATCAAAGAAAGCAGTGCCAAGACCAGTGTCATGAAGCTTATCTTCTACGTTTTATTCAAGGAGCTTTACAGTTTCAGTTTTATGTTTCAGCTTTTACATTCAGCTCTTACGTTTAAGTCTTTAATCTGCTTTGATTTTATTTTTGTGTGTGTTGTACAATAAGGGTCCAGTTTCATTCTTTTGCATGTGGATATCCAATTTTCCCAACGTCATTTTATTTTTGGATTTTAACATTGATTTAATAATCTTATTTAATATACAGTTCTTACAAAAGTTGTCCCCCAAAACGTCATTTAGTTTTGTTTTGTTCAGTTTTATTTTTCAACTAATCCTAGACCCACCCAAGGATCAAGCACAGAATTTGGTTTCTTGTATCTTTTGTTTCCTTCACTTCTTAGCTCCCTCTTATTTATTGCTTTGCCTTTCCTGGTCTTGACATTGTTGAAAAGTCCAGGAAGATTATCTTGGAGGTTTCACAGTCTGATTTGTCTTTTGCTTCCTCATGATTAGACACAGATTTAATATATTTGGCAAGAATAGTTTATGGATAATGTCCTGTACTTCCCATTACCATCTGGTGGATTTGTTTCATTACAAGTTATTATTTGATCCTTTGGTTAAGGTGAAACCGCACAGGTGTCAGTCTACAGGAGAAAGGTTGAATAAACTCTGCTACATTCCTGCAATGGAGTACCATGAGGATGTAAAAAGGAATGAGGAAGATTTCTATGAATTGACATGAAGTGATTTCCAGATGTCTAAACAAAAAAGCATGCCAAAAAAAAAAAAAGAGGTGTAGATACTATGCTACTCTTTAAAAAAGAGGGATGGAAATATAAATGCTTGTCTATATTGCTTGCTTATTTTTGTGAAAAGAAGTACAAAAAGCTAGTGAAAAAACCTACAGGAGACCTACAGGAGAGAGAGAGGAAGGGCAAGAAGACAGGAGGAGGATTAAGATTTCTTTTAAGAATTCCTTGGCATGTGGTTTTAATTTTTAAGCATACAAGTGTTTTTCATAGAAAATATAATAAATTGAGAGAAATAAGTGTTGGAAAGGATGTGGAGGAATGGAAACCCCTGTGTACTGTTGGTGGGAATGTCAATTGGTGCAGCCATTTTGGAAAACAGTATGGAGGTGCCTCAGAAAATTAAAAGTAGAACCACCGTATGAGCCAGCAACCCCTCTTCCAGGCATACATCTGAAGAAAACGAAAGCAGTAGCTCAAAGAGATATGTGCACTCCCTTGTTCATTGTAGCATTCCAACACCATCTTTTGAAAAGACTGTTTTTTTCCCGTTGTGTATTCTTGGCACCCTTGTTGAAGATCGCTTGACTATACATGGATGGGTTTATTTCAGGGCTCCCTATTCTGTTCCATTGGTCTGTATGACAGTACTATACTGTTTTGATTATTGTAGCTTTGTAATATATTTTGAAATGAAGTAATGTGATGGTTCCAGCTTTCTCTTGCTCAACATTATTTTGGCTATATGGAGTCCTTTGTGGTTCCATTATGAATTTGAGGATTGTTTTTTCTATTTCTGTAAAAAATGCCACTGTCACGACAGAACATGAACCAGAAAAAAGAAAAACCCACTGGTATTATTTTTTGATGAGACAATGTCTTGCTCTATCACTTAGGCTGGAATGTAGTATCATGGTCATACCCACTGTAGCCTTAAACTCGTGGACTCAAGTGATCCTCCCAAGTCAGTCTTCTAAGTATAATAGTTGGAATTACAGGCATGTGCCACCCTGCATAGCTCCAGTGGTATTTTGATAGGGGTTGTGTTGAATCCGTAAATCACTTTGAGTAGTATTGATATTGTAACAATATAAGTCTTCCAGTCCACGAACTCTGGTGTATTTCCATTTGTGTCTTCTTTAATTTCTTTTATTGATGTTTGTCGTTTTCAATATACAAGTCTTTCAGCTCTTAGGTTAAATTTATTCCTAATTGTTTTATTCCTAATTGTTTATTCCTAATTGTTTTATTGTTGTGGTTGTAAATGGGATTGTTTTCTTAAATTTCTAATATCGGCCAGGCGCGGTGGCTCACGCCTGTAATCCCAGCACTTTGGGAGGCCGAGGTGGGCAGGTCATGAGGTCAGGAGATCAAGACCATCTTGGCTAACATGGTGAAACCCCGTCTCTGCTAAAAATACAAAAAATCAGCCGGGCGCGGTGGCGGGCACCTGTAATCCCAGCTACTCAGGAGGCTGAGGCAGGAGAATGGCGTGAACCCGGGAGGCGAAGCTTGCAGTGAGCCGAGATAGTGTCACTGCTGTCCGGCCTGGGCGAAAGAGCGAGGCTCCGTCTCAAAAAAAAAAAAAATTTCTAATATCACCTTGTATTTCTATCAGTCTTTGCTTTATATCTGTATCTATCTATCTATCTATCTATCTATATATAGAGAGAGAGACTTATCATACTCACACATTTTAGAATTTTTATATCCTTCTAAAAAATGTAATATTTATCCTTTTTTAATGCTCTTCTGTCCATGTTTCAGAGACAGAAAAACATTAAAAAGGGATTTAAAAAGTCTATTTTGTCTGATAATTAAAACGGCCACCTTAGTTTTATTTGGCGTGGCATTTGTCTGATACAATTTTTTTTCATTTTTTTAAAACCTTTTTTTCTGGCCTTATATTTTATGTTATCACTTTTTAAATAGCATATATCTTGATGATTTTTTAAAAATCCATTCTAACTACTTCTATTTTAACTGGTAAATTTAGTCCAATTACATTTATAGTGATTATAGTGATTACTTTGATGATGATGTTAATGATGATGATGATGATGATAATGATGATTTTTTGAGACAGGGTCTCATTGTCTCTCAGCTGGAGTGCAGTGGTGTGATCGTGGCTCACTGCAGCCTGTAACTCCTGAGCTCAAGCAGTCCTCTTGCCCCAGCCTCCCAAGTAGCTGTGACTACAGGTGCAAACCATCACACCTGGCTAATTAAGAAAAAAAAAAAAAGTCTTTTTGTACAGGCACAGTCTCGCTATGTTGCCCAGGCTGGGTCTTGAGCTCCTGGGCTCAAGTGATCCTCCTGCCTCAGCCTCCCAAAGTGCTGGGATTATAGGCGTGAACCACTGTGCCCAACCCATATTTTGATATTTAATGCTAACGTATTTTGAGTTTTCCATTTGTTCTGATTTGTCCTTTTTAATTCCCTCATAACTTTTTTGGAGGGGCTAATTTATCAAGTTTTAAAAATAATGTCATAAAGTTATATCCTCTATTTCTGTTAGTGATTACCCCCATACCTTCCATTTCTATTATTTTAATAATTGCCTTAAATTTTCAGCATGCATATCTACATTAATAGAATCTAAAAATTATTAACTCTGCCCACCTTCTTACTATAAAGGACCTTAAACCCTCTAACTCCAGTTATTCCCTCCCAAATTATAATACAAGTTATAGTTGTTCAGTATTTTAGTTCCATCTTGCTTTTTACCCTTCAAACGAGACATTATTTTGGTCTCATATAGTTAGTTCTTTTTAGGTTTATCCATATTTTATTGGTTTCTTGCTCACTGTTTTTGAGTTACAGCCCTTCCATGCAGGCTCCTTTTTGCTTCTTAAAGAACATCCTAGGCATCCCTTCACTAAGAGTCTCTTAGTGGTAAACTCAGTTTTTATTCATCTGAAAATAGCTTTATTTAGAATAATTCTGGAAGGGAAGTTTAGGGGAATATAAGATTCTAGGATGACAGTTATTTTCTCTTAAAGTTTTTAGGATCTTACTTTCCACAGTCTGTGCTTAAGAGCAAGTCTGCAGTCATTCGTCGATAAGCTGGGTTTCCTTCTCACTGGCCGCATTTGAGCTCTTGGTTGATCTTTGGTTTTTCTGCTGTGTGTCCAATATAGATTATTTTTCTCTCTCCTGACTTGGGTTTGTTGTGCTTTGTGAACTCGTATTTTCCTTCAGTTCTGGAAATTTCTCAGCCATTATATTTTCTGATATTGTCTCTGTTCCATTTTCTCTACTTCCTTCTTCCAGAACTCCATTATCTCTTTATTCAGCAAATTATTATCTAAGGTTCTTTGCTGTCTAAGTCTACTGTTTTTTATTTCTTTCATATCTCACAGCTTATTTCCTATGTTATGATTCTGACCTAAGGCAGACTTTATTGGTAGGAATTCTGTGAGCACTGGTCAGAGGATGTAGCTCCTCAGTCTCTGCTTTTATTTCTGCTGGATTGTTTCAGCTAGACATCATGGTGTGCCACCAGCCAATGACTAATTTTGTGCTTGGGATTTCTTGGAAGGTGCAGGTAGTCTGTGTTTGAATTTCAAGTACATAGAGGTCATGCTTGAGAGGACATACTTTCAGGAAAAACTTTTCCCCCCCTCTTACTGCCTAGGCAGAGACAGACATATTTCCCTCAGGTGGATCTTTTTGGTTTACTTTTACATTGTAGTCCTTCGGGGCTTTGTGCAGAGATCCCAGTTCCAGTTCCCTATTCTGCTTAGACCCAGGACCTTTCTCTGTTTCCCAGATAGCCCTGAAAAGCATGCCTCTAGGTTATTGATACCAGCAGATTCCTTTAAGGAAGCCACAGCTTCATCAGGTTAACATGCTGGTTTCTAGCTCCTTGTTGATTTTGGGTCCTTGGGGATATCCCTTATTTTCTTATTTTTTTGTAGAGATGGGGGTCTTGCTATGTTGCCCAGGCTGGTCTTGAATTCCTGTTCTTCAACAATTCTCCCACCTCAGCGTCCCAAAGCATTAGGATTACAGGTGTGAGCCATGTGTCAAGCCACAACTTTATTTTCTTAGAGTTTAAGAATATCTTTAAAAGGGTGTTTGTGGCGTTTTATCCAGGAAATCTATCTAGGTGTGTTGGGTATCTAGTCCACTGTATTGTAAGAAGCAGAAGTCAACAAGTAGTATTTTTATTTAAACACATTGGTCTTCTTCTCTTCTATCATTTTTCAGCTTTGAAAGCCATAGAGATGCTAAATATTAACCGAAATTTCTTCTATTAATAGTTTAGTTGTGGCCTGACATTTTTATGTCTAACATGTTAATCTGACATTTTTATGTTTAACATGTTAATCTGTTTTAAATCATCTATTATATAATTAATCTGAAGATACCAGTAGTTCAAAGACATTCTAGATAGAGGAAATGAAGCAGGGTGAAAGCTAACCTATCTTTAAAATGCTATATATTTTGTATTTACTCTGTCATTGTAATCCTTTCAACAACATTATGGAATAGGAATTATCTTGATTTTATGAGTGGGTTAACTGAGGCTAATAGATGTTGAGTAATTTGCTCAGGGTCACACAATTAATGAGCAGCAGAACCAGGATTGAAATCCTTTGATCTTTCTACCCATTCATGCAGTTTACCATTTAATCTGAATGTCATTATTCAGGGCTTTTTATCTGCTTATTCTTTTGTTCTTACGTTAGACTCATATGGAAATAATTCTGCAAGGCAAGGGAAGCGGAAAGAAGGAAGATACCCTGCCAATTGTCAGAATAAAAGTTTGTTTAGCAGCAGATAGAGAGGAGGGGCAGGACCAGAGACTGGACATGTTCACACAGGCATGCATACAGAAAGTGTCCCCAAAACCACAGGGGCAAGAGGCAGCAGATGGTTTGTATCAAATTAAGGAAGGAAATCACATGTATAGAATATGACAATGTGCCAGACACTAAGACAGGTGGAGATGCTTTATTTAGGTTATCTCAGTTAAGCCTCACCACAGGGCTTGAGATATGACTATTAAGATCTGACGGCAGGTGGTAGCAAGGTCTCAGAATCCTTCAGTGTTCATGTTAGGATTCAGGTTCTCGAGAAAATTGCTGAAAACTATTCGGGGTTCTGATCTTTTCGTTGTTTATTCACTTAATTTTTTTCTGATTATGACATTAGTAAATGTCTGTCGAGAAATAAGTCTAAAGAAAGATAAAATCAACTATAATCTTCCAACCAGAGGTAATCACTGTTAATAAGTATGTACATTTTTTTGGGGGGGGGTTTGTTTTTGAGACAGAGTCTTGTTCTGTCACCCCGGGTGGAGTGTAGTGGCGCGATCTTAGCTCACTGCAAACTCTGCCTCCCAGGCTTAAGCTATTCTTGTGCCTCAACGTCCTGAGTAGCTGGGATTACAGCAGGCATCTGCCACCACACTGGCTAATTTTTTGTATATTTAGTAGATACAGGGTTTGCCATGTTGCCCAGGCTGGTCTCAAACTCCTGGCCTCAAGTGATCCTACCGCCCCAGCCTGGCCTATTTTTTAAAAAACTAGCTAGTATGATTTTGAATCTACTATTTTCATATCCTAACTTATTTTCTCTTTTAAAAAATTTGTTGTGGCCGGGCACGGTGGCTTATGCCTGTAATCCCAGCACTTTGGGAGGCCAAGGCGGGCAGATCACTTGAGGTCAGGAGTTTGTGACCAGCCTGGCCAATATGATGAAACCCCGTCTGTACCAAAAATAGAAAAATTAGCTGGGCGTGGTCACACTTGCCTGTAATCCCAGCTACTTGGGAGGCTGAGGCAGGAGAATTGCTTGAACCTGGGAGACGGAGGTTGCAGTGAGATGAGATCATGCCACTGCACTCCAGCCTGGGCGACAGAGCAAGACTCCGTCTCAAAAAAAAAAATATATATATATATGTATATATACATATATATGTGTGTGTGTGTGTGTGTGTATATATATATATGTTTGTTGTTAGTAGGTAATGTGTGTATATATTTTTGAAGGCATAGCCTTATAATTTATAATGAAAAACAGCAGTCTTCTGTCCTATTTTTAAATTCTGTATCCCAGTGGCAATTATATTTCTAACTTGTGTATCAGTTGCTTCTGGAATTTACCCTCATATTCCTTTCTTAAAAAAAAATTTTTTTATAGAGATGGGGGTCTTGCTATATTGCCCAGCTGGTTTTGAACCCCTGGCCTCAAGTGATCCTCCTGTTTTGGCCTCCCAAAGTGCTGGAATTATAAGTGTGAGCCACTGCGCCTGGCCCTCATATTTCTAAATAAAGCAGTTTTAGACATTATCTATTGGTTTCCTATTATGGAAGCTGAGGATTTTTCTGTTTCATTCTTCTAATACTGTTGTGTTACAGTTTTTGTTTTAAATTATAAATATTGTTTACTGAGTCAAGAGTTACATTATGTTTAAAATTTTTCTTGTGTATTTTTTTAAACTTTGGAATTAATAATTGCTTCATTTATTGTTTGTTAGTTTTCTCTGTGTTTATCAATTCTTCCTACAGACCTTAGCAGATCTATGAGGGCCTCCTAATGCTGTTTTTTTTTTTAATTAAGCTAAACATGTACAGTTGTATTGATTTTTCATGAAGCCTGAGTATTCCACAAAATAAAGAGCATGTTACCTAATGGACTCAAGAAAAGTAAAAAAAAAAAAAAAAGCACTGGACCTCTCATAAGTTTTCAACTGTATGAAGATTTAAACTCCTGTCCAGTAAAGGTCAAAACTGCTTCTCGTTTTAAAGTTAGGTGTAAACAGTGTCTTCTGATGACTTCTAGAATGACCTAGAAAACCCCCTCATATTTGCTTCTTTCAGACACTGAAGTCCTAACGCTGTTTTCTCTGCGATCAAACTTATCAGATAATCCATCAGCCTCATTTTCTTCTGAAGGGCTCCCTCCTGGAAGCAACCCCTCTATCCCTCGTGTCCCCTATCCTCCTGCTCCATCTTTCATTTGGAGGCCAGCTGCATCTGTCTTCTTGGGGCATCTCTTTACCAGCAACCTGGATGTCCCCTTCACCTCTCCTCTGCTAGCATCTTATTTTCTCCTTAAGTTTGGTAGAGTGTATCTTTCAGTAGCATCCTGACAAAGGATTTCTAGAAGTTAGTTTTTTGAGATTTCTTGTATTGCTTGTCTATTGCTTTATAATTAATTACTCCAAAACTTAGTGGCTTAACACAACAATAAACATTTATTATTTTGCAGTCTCAGTGGCCAGGAATTTGGGAGCAACTTAGCTGGATGGTTCTGGCTCAGGGAATCCCAAGAAGTTGCAGTGAAGATATCAGCCAGGGATGCAGTCATCTCAAGGCTTGATTGGAGGCTGGAGGATCCGCTTCTAAGGTGACTCACTCGCAGGCTGGCAAGTTGTTGCTGGTTCTTGGTGAGAAGCCTTAGAGAACCCATGTGAGAACATGGGCCTCTCCACAGGCTGATTGAGTGTCCTCATAACCTGGTACCCAGGTTCTTCCAGACTTAGTGATCCAAGATAGCAAGACAGAGGTGACTGTTTTTATGGCCTAGATTTCTGCCAGATTTTGTTCACTAGAAGTCAGTTGCTATATCTTACCCATTTTTTTTTTTTTTTTGAGATGGAGCCTTGCTTAGTCACCCAGGCTGGAGTGCAGTGGTGCAATCTCGGATCACTGCAACCTCCACCTCTTGGGTTCAAGTGATTCTCCTGCCTCAGCCTGCCGAGTAGCTGGGATTACAGGTTCCTGCACCACGCCCGGCTTATTTTTTCCTTTTTTGTAGTAGAGACTGGGTTTCACCATGTTGGCCAGGCTGGTCTTGAACTTGTGACCTCAAGTGATCCGCCAGCCTCAGCCTCCCAAAGTGCTGGGAGTATAGGCGTGAGCCACCGTGCCTGGCCCATCCTACCCGTATTCAAGAAAGAGTATTAGTCTCTACCATTTGAAATTAGGAGTATCAAAGGATTATTGGACATGTTTTAAAACCACCACATCTTTCCTGTCTGAAAACATCTTGACGCTCACACTTAAGAGTATGGAATTCTAGATAGAAATCATGTTTCCTCAGAATTTTGAAGGCATTGTTCCATTATCTTCTAGCTTCCAGCGTTGCTTTTGTAAAGTCTCTTACCATTTTGATTCCTGATCCTTTGTACATGACCTGTTTTCTTCCTGAATACTTTTAGGATCTTCTCTTTATTCTTGTCTTGGTATTGTGGGATTGTGAGATGATGTGCTTTGATGTGGTCTTTTTTCGTTCATTGTGCTGGATACCCAGAGGAACTTTTGATTTTATGTATTTATTTATTTGAATTTTTTTTTAAAGAGACAGAGTCTCGCTCTATTGCCCAGGCTTGAGTACAGTGGTGCAATCATAGCTCATTGCAGCCTCCAACTCCTGGGCTCAAGTAATCCTCCTGCCTCAGTTGCCTGAGTAGCTGGGACTACAGGCCCACGCTGCCATGCTTAGCTAATTTTAAAAAATATTTTGTAGAGATGGGGTCTCACTGTGTTGCCTAAGCTGGTCTCAAACTCCTGGGCTCAAGTGATCCTCCTGCCTCCGTATCCCAAAGTGCTGGAATATAGGTGTGTGCCATTGTGCCTGACCAGATGAACTGTTTAATAAAAAAATTCGTATCTTCAGTTCTGGGAAATTTCTTATATATTGTTTCTTTAATATTTTCTTTTAGCTTTCATTTTATAAATTTAATCCTTTAGTCCATTTACTTTTATGTGTAATGTAAATTGTATAATGTAAAGCAAAAAATATTCAGGATATAGTTAAAATCATTTTTCTTTTTTTTTGAGACAGAGTCTTGCTCTGTCACCCAGGCTGTAGTGTAGTGGCATGATCTCGGCTTACTGCAACCTCCACCTTCTGGGCTCAAGCGATTCTAGTGCCTCAGCCTCCTGAGTAGCTGGGATTACAGGTGTCTACCACCATGTCTGGATAATTTTTTTGTATTTCTGGTAGAGTAGACAACGAGGTTTCACCATGTTGGCCAGGCTGGTTTTGAACTCCTGACCTCAAGTGATCCACCTGCCTCAGCCTCCCAAAGTGCTAGGATTACAGGCATGAGCCACCGTGGCTGGCCTAAACTCATTTTTCTCTTGTCATTTATTGTCAGATTCCCAGATGATTTAAAAAGTCACCTTTGTCATTTCCGCATAGCCAGAGTCTGTTTCTAAGTTTTAAAATTCTACTCTGCATTTTTTTTATTCCAGTGCAGTATGCTTAAAAAAAAAAAAAAAAAACTATTGTAGCGTTTTAATGGGTCACTCTCTGATAATAGCCTATGAAAATCTTCCAGGGCTCCAGTCCTGATAGAAGTTGAGAATTGTGAGGTATGTTAAGTCAGGGAACTGCCAAAGAGGAGTTGGTTCTGAATACAGGTCAGTGTGAGGTCGGTACAATAATGGAAGCTTGGGGCCACTTTCCTGGGGCTTTTTAAAGCTCTCCTGATGAGAAACAGCATAGGCGTCAGCCTGGGAAAGGGGTTATTAGTGAGCAGGATCAGTAAGTCTAGATGTGAAGACTAGAGGGATGTGGGATCTTGAGACCAAACCTATACTTATGAGTAGTATTTTTTTAAAAACCAAAGTAACTATTGAACATAGAAAACTCCACAGCCACCAAAGCAAGAGAGTTAGCCCCCTTCTTTTCCAGGTATCTTCTAGCTGTTCCATTAGGGCTTCATTTTCCATTCAGGGGAGGTTTTTGAGTGTCTTGAGAAGCTGGAGAAAAGGGAGAGAACTTTCCAAGAAAAAGAAAGAGAAATAAGAATGAGAATGGATTCATGGCAGTTTAAAGTATACTTCTGATATTTTTAGAGATGCCTTCAATGCTTCAAACATTTCAGTTTCATTGTGGCTTTTTAAAAAATAATAAAGAATGATTAGTGGATTTTTAAAAGAATTTCTGCTTGGCCTAATTTGTCAATAGGAAGAAAAGAGAATACACCAATTAAATGTTCATATCCTTAACAGCAAAAGGCTTATCACTCCAGCTCTGTATTTAGAGTCATCTTTGGTTGGGGAGATTGGATCTATTTATAGCTGCTACCACGGTCTTGTGGAGGGGAACTGCTCTCCCTTTTTCTCTGATATTTTCCGAGTTTTGCAGCACAATATAGATAAAGCTGGAATATTTCATAAGACTTTACTAAAGGCAAGGGAACAAGCAAAAGGAAGTAAGCAGAGAGAACAGCATGCAATGAAACCATGTTTGATATGAAATCTAGTTTTAGTTTTCAGCTTTGCTTTCTCCTTAGCACCTGGCTTGCCTCAAGTTTGTAAGCCATCTTTTCCCTGACACTCAGGAAACCCTTCAAGCATGTATAATTTCTAAATTTCAGACTCAAGAGAGAGGGCTTCATGATTGACACCAGGAATGCAGCCTACATGGGTGTGGCCTGTGTTTTCTACATGTAGTCATATCCAACTATATCCCAATAGCTTCCGCAAGACAGTCATATCTGCTATATCCAATTATCTAATATCCTTCACTAGAGGTAAACATGTGGCCATAGGTTTTTTTGTGTAATTGATCTTTATATATTATGTACATTTTATGGCTTTTTAAATTAGGGCTACAGTATTATATAATTAAAAACATGGACTAGAGCTAGTAGACCTGGGTTCTAGTCTATTTGCCAGTCTTGTATGTTGTAGCAATTCAATCTGTCTATGGTTTTGTAGAAAGATTTGGATATGATTAGTCTGTAATTTTATAATTTAGACTATAATTGAATTATTTTAAATAATCATAAAATTTGTACTTGAATCTTTCTCTTTGCCTATTTTAATATGATGCTGAGATATTAGTGAGGCATAATGACCCAATTATTATTCCTGTGAGAAAATATGATCCATTTTATAATGATATACTTTATAGGATAAGTTTTCCATGATGGTGACAGATGGGACCTACTTAAATTTAAAAGGGGCCATAGGGGTTTGCTATGAGTTTTTTATAAAGTAAATATTTACCTCTAAATGTACATCAGACATAATTTAGATGCTCTTATACAGAATGTAATTGCATGTAGTTAAATCTATATATAGATTCTATATTTTCTAGTTTTATTTCTTTCATGTATTTGACATTTCTTCTTTAGAATTTTTAATTGAATTGAAAAAGCAAACCAAAGCATCATATATTAAAGTACTTTAAGTTATTTGGTACTCTTAGTTAAGATACACCAATTTTTTTCTTTCTACTTAAGTATAATCTGTTTTTCTCCCCAGAGCGAAAAGCTGTTGCTATATGATACAGTCCAGAGTGAACTAGAGGAGAAGATAAGAAGGCTTGAAGAGGATAGGCACAGCATTGATATTACCTCAGGTAAGGAGAATGATATGATTGTGATGTTTGAGTGGCACCAGACCTTTGGTTTACTGTAGTGTCATATCGTATCTCAGTCTTCTAATATTAATATTATGTAAATGAAATGTCCCAGCAAAGGAGAAAAGGGGAAGAACTCTAAAGTGATGGTGATTATATTGTTATTGTTATTTGAATTCACACTTTAGAAAGATGTAAAAAATGGAGCACACGACAAGGGACGAAACAGAAGTATGACAGGAACCTACTGGCAGAATAGTGTCAGGGCTGGATGTGGTGCTGCACATCTATATCTACAGTCCCAGCTATGCAGGAGACTGAGGCGGAAGCATCCTTTGATCCCAGGAGTTCGAGATTGCAATTGCAGTGAGCCATGATGGCGCCACTGCACTCCAGACTGGGCAATCTTGTCTCCAAAAAAAAAAAGAATAGTATTGGAAATTAGCTATAGTATATGTTTTTCCTTGTAAGTCTTGAAAGACTGTTATGTGGAAGAAGGAATGAAAACCTTTTTGACATCATACAAGGTAGGACAAACTGATAGAAGTTATAGGGAGGTAGATTTTTGTTTCAGAAAAAGGAATAACTTATTAATGATTAGATCAGTCCAGTGTGAAATTGGCTTTTTCAGGGTGTTACAGAAAGGTTTTTTGCATTGAGTGGAAGGTCTACTAGGTTATCCTACAGTTCTTGAGTATATATTACTTTATCTGTTATAAAGTTTAGTTCTCTATAGGGTAGGCATGGTGGAGTCAGATAAGCTGAGCTCTAGTGCCAGTGCTCCCTCACCTACTAGTCTGGTGACCATGGACAGTTACTTCACTTTTCTAAATCAATCTCCTTGTCTGTAAAAGGAAAGTAATAAGAATACCTACCTCAGTGGTAGCTTTGGGGATTAGGTGAGACAATGCATGTAATATACATTTTACAAAGTGCATGACAATATGGTAATCAGTTCTTAGTCATGAAGTGCCAAATTGATTTTTGCTTTAATAAAGGCAGAGCAAAACTTAAACACGTAGTGCTCATGAAATTATGTACAGCTTAATCTATATATACCCAGCTGCCAATGAAGTTTTTTACGTTTTTACATGTAACTAAATAGCCACCATAAAATTAGAGTCTTTTTTCCTCCTTTGTTCACCAGAAACCCACTAATACTTAATCTTTATTTACCTGCCAGAGCTGTGGAATGATGAGCTTCAGTCAAGAAAAAAGAGGAAGGATCCTTTCAGTCCTGACAAAAAGAAGCCAGTTGTTGTTTCAGATATCCTTTTCCAAATTTTCTGTTTTTTTTTCCTTGATGTGCGTTTTTCCATTGTGCATGCCTTTATAACTTTTATTTGTAAACACTGACTTTATTTGCATGATCCTGTAATAAGCAAAAGATGATTTATTTATAAAACCGATTGAAGACAGAGGATATAGTGTATACTTTAGGTCAGGAGAGGTGGCAGAGGAGAAGAAATTCAATCATGATCTCAACTTTGAAAATTAATGTGACTTGTCGTTCACCAAGGGCTTTGATGTGAAACAGTCGTTTAGTATACAGTATGATTGTTTAATTCTCATGTGTACTTTTTTTTTCTTTTTGAGACAGGGTCTCACTGTGCCACCTAGGCTGGAGTGCAGTGGCACAATCATGGCTCACCTTAGCCTCAACCTCTCGGGCTCAGGTGATCCTCCCACCTTAGCCTCCCAAGTAGCTGGGACTACAGGCACGTGCCACTCGCCTGGCTAATTTTTGTATTTTTTGTAGAGATGGGGTTTTGCCGTGTTGCCCAGGCTGGTCTTGAACTCCTGGGCTTAAGCCTGCATTGGCCTCCCAAAGTGCTAGGATTGCAGGCATGAGCCACTGTGCCTAGCCTCGTATACTTTTTAAAAACATTTTTAAATGTTTCCAAAATTGGAGTGTAAATTAATACGTATATTCAGTTTCGGCATTCTCTATGGTACCATCCCTCTACCCCCATCTTTTCCCCTCCACCTTAAAAACCAGTGATTGTGTTAGTGATGTATATTACAATCAATGATATCATGGAATTAAGGGCATGTAGTTATGACATCAGAAGTACTAGACTGTATTTATGCTGGTACTAAGTGGTTTGAAGAATAATTTGAAGTCAGAATTTAGGATGCCAAAGCATTATGCTCATAAATCATCGTTCCATTTTCTGAAATGTAGTACTTTGGAAATATAATTCAAAGTGTGATATTCTTACAGCTAAATTGACCTTGACTATTCAACGTCCATATATAGTTTATATGCTACAAGATCTTGATATTCTTGAAGACTGGACAACAATTAGGAAGGTATGATTAATGAGCAGTGGAACACAAGTATGTTTTTATAGTCTACTTTTTAAGATTCTATGTTTTTTTTGTTAGTACATCAAAATATTATTGTAAATATGCTTTGCTTTTGCAACATTTTTCTAAGGCAATTTAATACTATTACAGATAGCAGTGAACTACAAGGATATTTTAAGAGTTAGAGACATGTCAGCAGTTTGATTGTATTTTTTCTATAATAATGTAACTAATAATTTATGGAAAAGTCCAAAAAACATTTATTTAGTCTGCCCAAAAATAATAACATCACCATCTGTGCCTAGTCCTTTGGCTGGTCCTGGCTTATAGAAAACACTTGATAAATATTTGTTGAACAAAAGAACATTTGAACCCTTATGTGTCTTGCATCCTATCATTAAACATTCAAGAATCATAGGCTTTTCTTTTCTTGCCTGAAAGTGGAGGCTTGTTTTCCATATTACATTTTTTCATTTTTGTAAATTTCTTAGTTGAGAATTAGAGATTATTTCAGGTATTGAAAACACCTCTAGGAGAAATTGTTATCCCTCATATTCTTTATGGTCTTAGACATTAAAAATTTGTTAGAGCAGCTAATGGTTATACTTTACTGTCTTTGTTATGGAGTTAATCGGTAATATTGTATATATTAAATAGATACCAAAATATATTTTCAGTCTGAACTCAGACTTCTTTCTTCCTCTTTTTTTTTTTTTTTAATTAAGGCAATGGCTACATTGGGGCCACACAGAGTGAAAACGGAACGTAAGTCATTTAGTCTGAGTTGGGAAATATTCTCTTTGGAGACTTGTTGAATCAGGGTTGTTATCTACGTACTAAAGAACTCTTGAATCAGTGGTTTTATTTCATCAGTGAACACCGTGCCTGAAATTATGAGGAATTCTTCTGGAGTCATTGCTTCACGTAAAAGTTTCAAAATTTCTGAATGTGGTATAATTATTTCAGTGTTCAGCTACATTCTTATTGCTAATAATGGATCAGTAACTCAAAAAAGTATTTATGCAGTGTTTTTTATGGGCTCTGTCATTCTATAGGGGAGGTATTTGGAATTTGTGGATTGGCTTCAGAGATTCTGTGAATCCTCTGAAATTATGTGCAAAATTCTGCATGTGCATTTTCTGAGGAGAGAGATCAGAATGCTGATATGCCTTAGTAAAATTCATATCAAGTTACACTTCCTTGATTTTTTTTTTGGAAGTCTAAAATCACTGCCAAAATGTGATGGTGTTTAGGATAAGTTTCTCTGTTTCTGCCTTCTTTCACTATAGGTGAGATTTCCTAATCCTTCTAAGGACAATGAAGCTAGACTAAAAAGAAAAACATATTTGAAATACTTAGGAAAGGAATTTCTAGTCACATTTAAACAGCTTAAGTAATCGATAAGAGACCAATTTCTGTTTAGGCTGGGCATGGTGGCTCATGCCTAGCATGATCCCAGCAATTTGGGACGCTAAGGCAGGAGGATCACTTGAGCCCAGGAGTTTGAGATCTGCCTGGGCAAGATGGCAAGACCCCATCTCTACAAAAAAATACAAAAATTAGCCAGGCTTGGCGGTGTGTACTTGTAGTCTCAGCCTCTTGGGAGGCTGAGGTGGGAGGATCACCTGAGCCCTGGAGGTCGAGGCTCCAGTGAGCCATGATCACACCACTACACTGGGCAACAGAGCAGGATTCCATCTCTAAGAAAAAAAAAATTGCATTTTATTTTTAACCCCATGATTCCTTTAAACTTTTTATTTTGTGAGGAAATTGCAGCAGTATTTGCCCTGGGGAATTAACTGCCAGAGCAGCTGCCTAGACCTGTAGAGCAGTGGTTCTTAACATTTTTGGGTAATAGATTCCTTTTGAGAATCTCATTATCATAGTTGAGTGTGTCTCCCTCCCACTCTTATCTTCAGCATTGTATCCTATTAGTTTTACTCATAGCACTTCACTCAATTTGTACTTTTTAATTTTGTCTATCTCCTGACTGGATTGTAAGCTCCACAAAGGCTAGAACCATATCTCTTTTGGTCACAGTTTTTTCCCCAGCATACTTCCTTGTGTATAGGAAGTGTTCAGACAACATTTGTTGAATGAATGAATGAATGAATGAATGAATATACCCGATGGTATTTTAGGCCCTGAGAATACAATGGTAAAAGAAATATGGATCTCCTGGAGCCTCTTTAGGGGAGGTGGAATCATATATATGTAGATAAACAGTTAAGAAGATAGTTACAGATTATAATAATTACTCTAAAAGAACTGTGCAGTTGATATAACAATTAGCTGAGGAGTGGGTAGAGTAGTTAGGGAAGACCTCTCAGGAGCTGACATTTGAATGACTTCATGGTATGCTTTTGACACTGTGTTTCCATAAAAAAGATTTTTTTTTCCTGTATGAGTTATCTGACTAATGCCAGATGATTTCTGGAATTTAAAAATAGAAGTTGTACTTAGGACATTTCCTTTTTAGAATTAAAAGCCTGGGGAATGCTTGGAACATGTATTAAACTCTGCTTCTTTCGGTATATCAGATGCCCGCAGGGGAAAAAATAAAAAGTATAATTTTCAATTGAAATATGGCAATTGATATTTTAAATACTACTTAAAATTCACACTAGTAATTGATAACATACCTGCTTCCCCTTCTGGTACTTAATTAGTCAATTGATGATTTATTGTTCATTGTTTAGCTTTGTTTAGTAGTTATATTAAAAACTTAGTGATTATGTAAAAGAATGTAAGGAATAAATCTTTTTATTACATTTTAGGTTTGTTATTTAAGAAATATTTTTAGGCCTTTTTTACATATGCATGGATTGATGTTAATTGTTAATGTTCTGACCCTTTGTTCTTCTGACAGTGTTTTATTAATATAACAGTTTTTGAACTGATCCCTTTAGCACCTGTGAAACTGGAAAAACATCTGCACAGTGCTAGATCTGAAGAGGGAAGACTATATTATGATGGTGAATGGTATATACGTGGACAAACAATATGTATTGATAAAAAAGATGAATGTCCTACAAGGTAAAAAAGCCTTTGTTATTTCAGTGTTGCTCAGTATTGTCATTTACAACATCGTTGTCAGTGAAATATTTCCTGCCTCCATAGTGTGCCTATATCATTAGTTGCTTGTGGATCCTTTTTTCACTTGACATATGGCTTGATTACATGTGTGTACAGCAGTGTTAATATGTATGAACCAGACTTCATATTAAGTTTATGAACACAAACTTTAATGCAAGTAGAAATGTTGAAATTATTTAGCCAGGTAGCTGATCCTGTTTCTTAATTCTTTTAGTAGGTGAATCGTTAGGATCGTGCTATAATGACCCTTAAACCTGACTATTATGAATTTTTGGTGGACCTAATAATCTTTAACTTTTTTGGATGTGTTACAATATTTTAGATAAAAAGAATTTGTATCAATTAGAGTAGGAAATAAATGGAAAATTAATAAAACCCTTAAGATTAATAGTAATTAAAGTATAATCTAGGGCTGGGTGCAGTGGCTGACATCTGTAATTCCAGCACTTTGGGAAGCTGAGGCAGGATTGGGTGAGGCCAGGAGTTCAAGACTAGCTTGGACAACTTGGCAAGACCCTGTCTCTACAAAAAATAAAAAAATTAGCCAGGTGTGGAGGTGTGTGCTTATAGTCCTAGCTGCTTGGGCAGGAGGATCGCTTGAGCCCAAGAGTTTGAGGCTGCAGCAAGGTATCATTTCACCACACCATTGTACTCCAGGCTGGGCAACAGAGTGAGACCTTGTCTCTCTAACAACAACAACAACAAACAACAACAACAACACAGTGTAACTTGAAAACTGCCTTTTAAAAGTCCTAGTAATATGTCTAGGCTTAAATAAAGTTTATATAACTATTTGTATAGCCTTCTAAGTTTTATCTGGTTGTGACCTTTTGAAAATATTGTTAATCATCTTTCATTCTCCAGTAGTGTAGGATTTAATTCTCAGAGTAGTAAACTTCTGTGGTAACAAAATATGGTTTTGTAGGTGTCAGTGGTAAATAAAACAACTTGAGTTTAGTCTACAGTATGCATTTTCCAAATACAGTGGTTTTAATTGTAAGATAATTTTGTCTTTAAATTTTTAGGATTCCAGGAACATTGTGTATAATAACTTTTCTTATAGAAGCTCATTGAACTACTAGTTTATATATGATACTCCTGGATTCTTCTGTTTATGTTATTGTTTTTGAGATATTTTACTACTACTTAGCATAAAAGTTGTTTAAAAAGAGATGAGGCCAGGTACAATAGATCTTTCCTGTAGTAATTCCAGTACTTGGGAAGGCCAAGGCAGGAGAATCACTTGAGCCAAGGAGTTTGAGACCAGCCCTAGCTGGTCTCTTTGTAGAGAACCCCATCTCTACAAAGTAAAAAAATTATCCTTAGTCCCAACTACTCAGGTTGAGATGAGAAGATCACTTGAGCCTGAGAGGTTGAGCCCTGATTGTGGCCCTGCATTTTAACCTGGGTGACAGAGAAACCCAGTCTCAAAAAAAAAAAATTCCTATTCACTCTTTAAAAAATAAATAATTAGGCCGGGTGCAGTGGCTCACACCTGTAATCCCAACACTTTGGGAAGTCGAGGAGGGTGGATCACAAGGTCGGGAGTTCAAGACCAGCCTGGCCAATATTGTGAAACCCCGTCTCTAGTAAAAATACAAAAATTAGCCAGGCATGGTGGCACGTGCTTGTAGTCTCAGCTACTTGGGAGACTGAGGCAGGAGAATCACTTGAACCGGGGAGGTGGAGATTGCAGTGAACTGAGATTGCGCCACTGCATTCCAGCCTCGGCGACAGAGTGAGACTCTGTCTCAAAATAAATAAACAAAAAATAAATAATTAAAAAAAGAATAAAATACAAATCTATTTAAAGAATAGATCTTTTTATGTAAAGATTAGTAGTGTAAAAAAAATTGGTATAAGTACCGTAGATGGTTTGACATTAGGAATTAGAGATTAGCATTTGAAAGATACTGACATGAGTTACAAGTATAATACCATATACATAGCGCTTTTAGCTCCAGTTTTTTTTTTTTTTTTTAAAGAGGTGGGGTGGGGATGGAGTAGGAAGAATGTGCTTTTAATAGTTCTAATAGAAAGTAAATTTTACGAACTCTATTAAGAAAAGAAGGATGATCTGCTGTGTTGCTGAATGTGATATTTTTGGCAGCATGTACTGCTGATATGCAGCATTCTGGTAAATGACAATTATATACCTGAGTCTACTGTTGTAGGCCAGTTTATTTTGGTTTTATATAGGTAATAATCTAAAGTGAATTGAGGAGACATTGTAATTCATTCATTCATTCTTTTTTTTTTCTTTTTAGTGCTGTAATTACAACAATTAACCATGATGAAGTTTGGTTTAAGAGGCCTGATGGAAGCAAATCTAAGCTTTACATTTCACAGCTACAGAAAGGAAAATATTCAATTAAACATTCATAATCATGATTTAAGTGTTATCTAAATTTACCTTATTAGTGTTACCAAATGTAAGTGCCATGAGAGTAAAAAAATGTATTCAATAACTTAATATTCTCACTGAATCATGAGAGAATGTGTATTTGTAGGTAGTACTCTAAATAGATCTCATTGATATGTTATTAAAAGAAACAGTAATAAAAATTTTATCACGATCCTTACGTTGATTTGCCTCTTAGGTCCGATGACCAATAGGTATTCTGTATATGGTAGGGGTTTCTTTCTAAACATTTTTCTTTGGTTTTAAAAAAAGTTATGCAAATTTGTCTTATCTTTAGTAAACTATGACTACATTTATCTGCAATTTTTAAAATTTTCCATATCTTTGTCATTCATTGTGTGTTTGTAAATAAGGCCGATAGAATGTTTCCTATAAATGGTTTGTACTAGTACATTAGTGTTAAACCAGAACTGAAATTTAAACATATATATATATGAGGATGTATATATGGCATCATCAGCTTATTTAGAACTGATGGCCATACCTTACAATCTTGTTTTACCCAAAATTAAGCTATTGGGGTTGAAAGCTAAAAGGAGCACTTTTGTAGAATAGCAACTTTTCTTTTCCTCTTTCTTGATTGTATGGTGGGGTGGTGACCTATTTTTACAAATTATACCTAATGAGTAAAATTAGTGTAAAGTGATAACATGCTTCTACCTGTATTTCTAGTGACCCTTTAGCGGCAGGTATTTATACCTGGTATTTATGATGCAGTATATAAGTGGTGAACAATAACTGACAGTATTGTGCTTGCTGTACATGTCTGGTCTTTTGAAACAGATTTTAGTAAGCATTTTCCAGAGGTAAAACTGTGTCCTTATTCTAATTTTATTCCTAGGGCAAAGTAGACAGGGATTATTTCCTTGAATCTATTTCCAAATTAATATTTTTTTCTTTGGTATTTCTACACTTTAAGGCCATTTGGTGCAATTTAGAAAGTGTTGGCCTCCCTTCCGCTAGCCACATTCAAAATTAACTTCCAAAACCTCAGGAACAGTACAAAGAATTGAAACCCTCAATATGGCAGCACAGCCGGCTGTAGTGTATATTTAGGGTACACCAAATCAGGTATTCCTGGTGGTCTTGTGCACTTTAATTTCTGTTACAATGAGTTAAGAGGATGAGGAAGAAATCTACTTATTAACACTTACTGCAGAAATGTCTGCATTATTCCGTTTGTTTTCTTATTATTTTACCTCTCCAAACATCTTCCTGTGCAGATCACTACTTCATAGTTGCCAAATTTTAAAACACTTAACTGCTGAAATTCAGTGTCAGCAAAGTGATATTACGTTGTTCTGTTTCTAATTAACCTTAGCAAATGTACATAATGTCAAAACCCAATAGTATTTGACAGTACTTATGTATACAATGTTTGATAAGCATTTTTAATAAGATTTGTATTTTTAAATTTAGTATATAATAAAAAGATGTGTTTCAGTGTGATTTGTAGTGTCTTGGATTACTTATGTGTATTTAGTTCTTTTTATAACCTATCCACTTGTAAGAAAGATTTGAATTGGTTTACGTTAATAGATATGGAGTAGGCTGGGTGCAGTGGCTCATACCTGTAACCTCAGCACTTTCTGGGGTATATTTAGATGTTCAAGACAGCTAAGTTATACTTAATTTTAAAATATATGCATATGTGTTGTACTTTGATTAAAAGGTACTGTATAAGTTAATGAAATTCTAAATAGAAAATCTTTATTTTTTTATTTTTATTTTTTGAGATGGAGTCTTGCTCTGTCACCCAGGCTGGAGTGCAGTGGCACGATCTTGGCTCACTGCAACATCTGCCTCCCAGGCTCAAGTGATTCTCCTGCCTCAGCCTCCTGAGTAGCTGGGATTACAGGTGTGCACCATCACACCTGGCTAATTTGTATATTTTTAGTAGAGACAGGTTTTTGCCATGTTGGCCAGGCTGGTCTCAAACTCCTGACCTCAGGTGATCCGCACACCTTGGCCTCCCAAAGTGCTGGGATTATAGGCATGAGCCATCACACCTGGCCTAGGAAATCTTTATTTTAAAACTATGATTTAGTACATTTATTTTCAAAACTTTAGTATTTATATCTTATGTAGTATTCTACCATAATATTAAGATTCATAAAAGCATATGCTTATCTATGACTAAAATGCTATAAAATATATTGTCTTATTGGCAGTTTGCCATTAGTTGTCTGGTCATAAAGTTTAATTTAGGAAAATTATTAGAAACTCCAAAATGTGATGTAGTGGCTGCTGCTGCTCCTGTGTTTATGATCAGCTTCTGTCTCAGGATCATTTCTTGACCTTTATTGTCACAGCTCCTAGTTTTTCATGTTCAATCCATCCCCTCCTTGCTGTTTCCCATTTTTTAAAAAGAGATACTATCTAAGTATCACTAATGCAATTCTTCAACTAATAATTATTGGCAAATAGTAATGGCACACTCCTGATTTGTCCCCTTTTTCACTGTTCATATTGGTGGGCTGGACACAGTACTTTTTTGCAGCCTTCTTCATGTAAAAGTTGTTCTGATGTATGCATTACTTGGAACACCAGTTGCAGAACCATGTATGCCTCATTAATAATTATTTAAAAAGAAGAAAAACTTCCAAAGATTCAGGAACAGTAGAAAGAATTGAACCTTTAATATGGCAGCACAACTGGCTGTATATGTGTGTGTGTATATATATATATATATATATATATATATATATATATATATATAACATTTTTTTTCCCATGACATAGCCTCAGGAGGTCCTGAGGACATGTGCCCCATATTTAGGGTACAACCAAATCACATATTTTTGATGGTCTTGTGCACTTTAATTTCTGTTATGATAAGAGTTAAGAAGATGAGGAAAAAATCTACTTAACACCTAGAGGAGAAGTTATCTGTTTTTTCTTTTTGTTTTTGGACCCAGTAAATCCAGTACAATAAAACTGAACTAAAATGAATTTCTCTTATAAGAAAATGGATATAGGATAGGCCGGGCGTGGTGTCTTAACGCCTGTAATCCCAGCACTTTGGGAGGCTGAGGCGGGCAGATCACAAGGTCAAGAGATTGAGACCATCCTGGCCAACATGGTGAAACCCTGTCTCTATTAAAAATACAAAAATTACCTGGGTGTGGTGGCGCGCACCTGTAGTTCCAGCTACTTGGGAAGCTGAGGCAGGAGAATCGCTTGAACCTGGGAGGCGGAGGTTGCAGTGAGCTGAGATCATGCCACTGCATTCCAGTATTCCAGTCTGGTGACAGAGTGAGACTCTGTCTCAAAAAAAAAAAAAAAAAAAAAAAAAAAGGATGGATGTAGGATGAATTAATACATTACTTAGGATTTATGTAGTTTCTTGCTAAATTGGAATGCAAACGATTTTAGTTGCTAAAGATGAGGAAATTAAAATATTTTAAAAAGAACATGAGGCCGGGCGTGGTGGCTCACGCCTGTAATCCCAGCACTTTGGGAGGCCGAGGCGGGCGGATCACGAGGTCAGGAGATCGAGACCATCCTGGCTAGCACGGTGAAACCCCGTCTCTACTAAAAAATACAAAAAATTAGCCGGGCGAGGTGGCGGGCGCCTGTGGTCCCAGCTACTCGGGAGGCTGAGGCAGGAGAATGGCGTGAACCCCAGGAGGCGGAGCCTGCGGTGAGCCGAGATTGCGCCACTGCACTCCAGCCTGGGCGACAGCGAGACTCCGTCTCAAAAAAAAAAAAAAAAAAAAAAAAAAAGAACATGAATGCTCAGAATGGGGTTAGAGAAAAATGAATGTTCCTTATGTTGTCTATGGATGAAGTACAAGAGTTGTGGCTGGTGTGTCAGTTAGGGTTTAACAGGGATAGTTCCCTACTGGTCATTGTGGGCCAAAGTCTTGCTTTTTATTTCATAGGTACAGAAACTTGAACTTTATATGATCTGTTATGGGCTAAACTTTGTGCCCCCAGAATTCATATATATATATAATATTTATTTTATTTTTTTTATTTATTTACTTATTTATTTTTTGACACAGAGTCTTGCTCTGTTGCCCAGGCTGGAGTGCAGTGGTGTGATCTCGGCTCACTGCAACCTCCTCCTCCTGGGTTTAAGCCATTCTCCTGCCTCAGCCTCCTGAGTAGCTGGGATTACAGGTGCATGCCACCATGCCTGGCTTATTTTTGTATTTTTAATAGAGATGGGGCTTCACCATGTTGGTCAGGCTGGTCTCGAACTCCTGACCTCATGATCTGCCCTCCTCGGCCTCCCAAAGTGCTGGGATTACAGGCGTGAGCCACCACACCTGGCCCAAAATCATATATTGAAGCTTTACCCCCCAGTACCTCAGAATATGACTATATTTGATGATAGGGGCTTGAGAGAGGTGATGAAGTTAATCATGTCTTTGATCTTGGATTTCCAGCCTGCAGAACTGTGAGAAAATAAATTTCTGTTATTTAAGCCAGCTAGTCTGTGGTATTTTGTTATGTCAGGCCTAGCAAACTAATAGATGCCCCAAAGTGACAATTCTGGAAACATTAGACTGGTCAATTTACAGCGGATTAAAGTGTACACCAAGTGTCAGTTTAATAATTTACATTGGGATTACATTGGGATTATTTACTGGGATTCCAGGCGTGAGCCACTGCACTTGGCCCAAAATTTATAGGCTGGATGTTCTAAAACTGTTATGTTGCTACTCTTTCTGAAAAATATATCTGTTTAGTGGTAGAAGGCTAAAATTTCTTTGCTGTTTAACTTGAAGCTAATTTGTTCTCTTTCAAGACACATTTTATTAAAGGAAAGTGAAGAGAAGAAGTTATGTAGTAACAGTCTTTAGAGTCTATTTTTTTTCTTCCTTTTCTGTTTTCCCATTTTTTAATACAGGTTTGAGGTGGTGACCTTGCCAGAAGACTGTTGCATTCTCTTGAGAGAATTATCATAATTCTAGTTCAGAAGCAGGCCACGTGGTCACATTTTATCTCTGCTAGTAAAGGTTACAGAATGATGTTAAACTGCTGAGAAAACCAGACCCTTAAGCAGAGGCTAAATGACATCGGCTGTTAGAGGGATGTTGAAATAAGTATCATATTTCATTTATTATTGAAAGATTTTGAAAATGGCATTGTTAATAGCAGAGATAGTAAAGTGCTTGAACTTGTTTGAAGTTAAATGCATGATTTCAGTGTATTATGTTTAGGTACACCTATGGTTAATTGCACTTATTAAGGAAGACTTTTTTTTTTAAGACTTGAGCTACTGTTTAGATGATTCATTGACTAGTAGTTTTTGATTTGAACCTTACACTCCATGGTGTTAACTTATATTTTATAAATGTATTCATATATGTACATATAATAACAGATTATCCACTACACAAGGGCCAACTTGCTTTGGGTCTTTCCTGCACACATTTGAGCTATACTGTCTCTCAGGCCTAAATGCTCTATTGGGCATCTTGGGTTTCTCATAGAGAGGGGAGCCCAAGGGTGTGCACTCGCCCTTACCTTCCTTTAGAGCTTTTCTTTCCCTCCTCCCCTGTGCACCTGCCCAAGGAAATTCTCAGTACAGGTCATGGCTCATGCCCACTCTGTGCAAGGCTGCCAAGGGGTGAGACTCAAGAAGGTGAGGCTGCTGCCTGCCTGGTGCCTTCTGTGACCTCTCCTGGGTCTCTGGATTTGCTCTTTTTGTACCTCTATTCTGAAGATTTTAAAAGATTCTGTAAGATTCTATGTTTTATATTGGTTGTTTTTCTGCCGGGTAAGTAGAAAAGGGTACAGCAGGCCTATTATTTACACTAAAGGAACACTACATGTATTCTCCTATACCTCTGATATGGTTTGGCTGTATCCCCACCCAAATCTCATCTTGAATTAATTTTCTTGTGTCGTGGGAGGAATCTGGTGGGAAGTGATTGAATTATGGGGGAGGGTGTTTACTATGCTATTCTTGTGATAGTGAATGAGTCTTACGAGATCTGATGGTTTTAAAAACGAGAGTTCCCCTGCACAAGCTCTCTCTTTTTGCCTGCCGCCATCCACGTAAGATGTGACTTGCTCCTCTTTGCCTTCAGCCATGATTGTGAGGCCTCCCCAGCCATGTGGAACTGTAAGTCCTTAAACCCCTTTTTCCTGTATAAATTACCCAGTCTTGGGTATGTCTTTACCAGCAGCATGAAAATGAACTAATGTAATTTCTCTTTTTATTTCTTTTTAAACATATGTTGTTGGTTTTTTTTTTTCTTTTCCCCCCCATCACTGAATATTTCTAGTGCATGTTGATGATCTTTCCATAGAAGTTCCCAGAGATCTACTTTGTTCTTGTTAATGACCACATGGTATTTATTTTTATGGAATAACCACATAGAATTCTATGGTGTGGAATGCCAGCACAATACTAATGAACATTGAGGTTGCTGTTTTCCTTCCGTCTTTCCTCCCTCCTTCCCTTTCTTCCTTCTTATTAAACAAGGCTGCAGTGAACACTCTTATACATATATCTTTGATGCTAGGAAAGAGTATATTTGTAGCATAAATTTCCAGTAGAATTGCTGGGTCAAAAAATGGTAGGGAAAATTTGTATTTTATTAGATATTGCCAAACTTCCCTGCAAACAAATTGTACCAATTTGTGCTCCTACTAACAGCATATGATGATGCCTATTTCTCCTAATCATCAGAAACACTGGGTTAGTTAATTTCTAGGTCATTATTGAAGATCATTCTTCTACCTTCTCTTTGTTTTTCTCTGGGCTGCATGTTAGGCCATCATTCTACTCCTTTTAGAAGATTTCATTCACTCATTGGCTTCAGCTACCATTTAGGTCCTAACAAATTCTAAATTTAAGCCTCTACCCTTACCCGAGTTATATATTCAAGTTGCCCATTGGGCATTTCCATCTGTTACTCTTAACACATTTACAACTTAATATAAAGAAAACCAAATATTATCTCCTGTGCACATTCCTCTCCCAGTCTGGAATGTACTCTATTTGTGCTTCCACCCTTGATACACACAATGACTCACATAAATTCAGACCTTGGAGAGGTTGTGGCAGGTAGCTAAACTCATGAATTTTGGAGCCAGATTAGCTGGATGTGAACTCTACCATTTATCGGCTGTATGACCTTGGGTAACTTCTTTTTTTTTTCTTTTTCTTTTTTTGAGACAGAGTTTCGCTCTTGTTGCCCAGGCTGGAGTTCAATGGTGTGATCTCGGCTCACTGCAACCTCCACCTCCTGGGTTCAAGTGATTCTCCTGCCTCAGCCCCCCAAGTAGCTAGGATTACAGGTGCGCACCACCACGCCTGGCTAATTTTTGTATTTTTAGTAGAAACAGGGTTTCACCATGTTGTCCGGGCTGGTCTCGAACTCCTGACTTCTGGTGATCCACCTGCCTCGGCCTCCCAAGGTGCTGGAATTACAGGCATGAGCCACTGCACCCCGTCAACCTTGGGTAACTTTTTAACCTTTTTGTGCCTCAATTTCCCCATCTGAAAATGGAAATAATACTTCATAGGGTTGTGGTGAGGACTTAATGAATATATGTCAAGTGTGTAGAACAGGGCATGTTACATGATAAATCCTATGTAAGGGCTGTTGATGAATTTGACTTCTCCTCACATCTGTGGAATTAGCTAGTCCTGTAGATTCTAACTCTGAAACATTTCTAACTGAAAGCATTCTCTTTTCTCTATTCCCACTGGTGCTGCCCTAGTTCAAGCCTCTGGTATATTTTACTGAAATAATTGTGATGGCCTAACTGGGTCTCTCTCTTTTTATTTTATTTTAATTTTTCTCTTTATAGCAAATATTACATTTCTAGAACCCAGAACTGATTTTTTTTTCCTCCCAGCTTTAAATCTTTTTTTCAAATCTTTTGCTTACCCAGAACTTCAATTCTACTTTTTCCAGGAAATGCTTCTTCCCTGATCTGACTGTGTGGTTCTAATGAGAACACCTCTTTCTCTAATACTGCACAATTCTTGGTCCTAGTTGAGTGCACTAGGTGAACGTGTAACTCAGCCTGCCCCAATTAAAACCCTTCTCTTGGATCTCTTAAACTATAACTGCAGGAAAAAGTATCAGTCTCCCTCTTATGTTGGAACTGGGACAATAAAGTTTGGAAATTATAGGCAATGACATTTCCTGCCCTGTGGAGACAGCTGAGGAGATGAGAGGTGGATGGGGAGTTTCTTGGCATTTAGCCTCGTGCTATGAGCTGACTCATAGTCCATCTGCACTCCGGTCTTCCTTGTGTTATGTGGGTCTTCTAATAAATTCCCCTTTTTCCAAACGATTTTGAGCTGGATTTCACACCCTTGCAACATTTATGATGCATCCTTAGAGCTTCATATTCTGTTGATATCCACTTTGAAAATCATCACAAACTTTTATAATTTCAGCACAAAGTCAAGGAATTAAAAAAAAAAGGTATTCATGGAATTACAAATATATGCATGAGAAAGAGAAAAGCAGTCCCTGACAACTAGGAACTGCGTGATAGGCCTTGGTGTTCTGTTGAACATAAACAATCTCACGGAACACCAACATCACGGCCACTCTGTGACCGTGAGGAAGTGGGGTCAACGCCCACCCCAACAACATCTTGTCTAAATATAGACAAAAACAAAGTCAGTCTGCAAACCACAAAAAATGTGGAACATTCCCCTATTCTGGCTAATGTGAATGACTTCTGCTTCTTTACCAATTATAGCATTAGCCTCACTTCATTCCACCTGCTTTATAAGTAAAACTCATTAAGATACTAAATTATGGGATTGCCCCCACTTCCTGACAGCATTTTATCCAGAGCAAAGCCCACTTCCTCAAACCCTACCAAAAATCTCCCAATAAAAGCCCAAATCCTATAAGTCCCTTTTAACACCTTCTTACTCAGACATCCACAGTTCCCTATGGTGTGGTTTCTCCCTCCCTGAAATGAGCAAGAAACCCAACTTGTGCAACTGCCGGTGTGTTCCTGGTGGCCTTTGGCTGGAAGGCATTGACACGTGGAACATTTAAAACAGTTTGCTGTAATAGTTTTTTTTTTTTAACTAGATTTAGACAATGATACAAAGTACATTCTGGACACAGATCTGGGAACTTCTAGTATATAATTATAATGGCTGATAAAAAACAGACTTTAATTTTCAATTACACATTATTGAAAGAATCACAAAAGACAAAAAGACAAGGCGAAAGGCATTTCCTGAATGCATTTTGTACTGCAATCTAAATTAGATAGTAGTACTTTGCTTCTAAAGCCAGAAAATAATATTAATATTTCTACTATATTAACCAGGGACTATCATCTGGAAATGTAAAAGCTACAGTCCCAGTGCATTTTCATTAAAACCTGAAGGTGGCAGTAAATTCCTACAAGACTTAGGTGCCTAGGTTAGAATTTGTATTTTTCCTCCTAATTATTCAAAATGGTATAGTGAGACTTCAGTTGTATTTAATCCTGTTGCATACTAATTAAGAGATGTTTAGGAAGAAGATAAAGCTCTACACAAGGATTATATTATTATTACTCTTTATTAGCTGAAAAAAATTCACCATGTAAAGGGCTTAGGGACATTGCAACTGGTTATATGCTTTAGAGTTACTGTAGAAACAAAGTATGTAATTAAACAAAAGGGAACATGAGAGCTTGTAATACAGATCAAAGTGCTCTGAAGGGATGTGGCAGTAAATATAATCATCCATCAGTATCCTCAGGGGATTGGTTCCAGGATCCCTGCAAATACCAAAATCTACAGATGCTCAAGTCCCTTATATAATATGGTTATTTGCATATAACCTATGCACATCATCCTTTAATTCATCTCTAGATTACTTGTAATTCTCAATATGATGTTGTGTAAATACTTGTTATACTGTATTGTTTAGGAAATAATGACAAGAAAAAAAGGACTGTACATGTTCAGTACAGATGAAACTATTCTTTTTTTCTGAATATTTTCCATCTGTGGTTGGTTGAACCTAGCTGATGTGAAACCTACAGATATGGAGGACTAACTGCATAGTTTATATTTATCTATTAAATAATAACCATGTTGTAGATTTTTGCCCCACATTTCTCCCAATTTTGTCCTCAAAATTCTTAAAATAGAATTTTGTATGGTTGTGTTTTTACCTAATTATCTACTATAATCAATATAATCTCTGGAATATTATTAATCAGGGAAGGCTTAACTGATAATTTAATATAGACAATTTACAAATAGCAAGTTAATATTCATACTGGAAAATGAGTTACTTTGTTGATCTTTTATATAAAGATCTAGAACTAGATTGTTTCATAGTTTCTTTTCTTAGAGAGTAAACATTATCATTGGTCCACTGAATTATATCCAAAGTTATAGTAATGTTTTAATGACCTCAATATATAGGCATGAGATTATTAGAACTTTGAAAATTGGGAAGAATAGGATTTCTGTAATCTTTTTAGATAAAAGTTAAATGGGAGCGAGAAGGAGACGGATGTTGAGAGAACGAGGAGGAAGGAGAGAAAATGGCGTCAACGGATTACAGTATCTATAGCCAAGCTGCAGTGCAGCAGGGCTACAGTGCTTACGCTGCCCAGCCTGCTCAAGGATATGCACAGACCACCCAGGCATATGGGCAACAAAGCTATGGAACCTATGGACAGCCCACTGATGTCAGCTATACCCAGGCTCAGACCACTGCAACCTATGGGCTATGCAACTTCTTATGGACAGCCTCCCACTGGTTATGCTACTCCAACTGCCCCCCAGGCATACAGCCAGCCTGTCCAGGGGTGTGGCACTGGTGCTTATGATACCACCACTGCTACAGTCACCACCACCCAGGCCTCCAAGCTGCTCAGTCTGCATATGGCACTCAGCCTGCTTACCCAGCCTATGGGCAGCAGCCAGCAGCCACTGCACCTACAAGACCATAGGATGGTAACAAGCCCATTGAGACTAGTCAACCTCAATCTAGCACAGGGGTTACCAACCAGCCTGGCCTAAGATATGGACAGAGTAACTACAGTTATCCCCAGGTACCTGGGAGCTACCCCATGCAGCCAGTCACTGCACCTCCGTCCTACCCTCCTACCAGCTATGATCAGAGCAGTTACTCTCAGCAGAACACCTGTGGGAAACCGAGCAGTTATGGACAGCAGAGTAGCTATGGTCAACAAAGCAGCTATAGAAAGCACCCTCCCACTAGTTACCTACCCCAAACTGGATCCTGCAGCCAGGCTTCTACACTGGAGGAGACTTCTGCATCAAGTTTTGAACGACTGATGAGTAAGTGCTCACCAGGTGAGGAGGAGCTCAGGGAACAGTTGGTATAAAGGCTTAGAGGTATGTGGGAGTTGGGATGAGTTTGGGGAGCAGCAAATTACCTGGGGTGCAGGGAGGAAATGGTGAGAGATGAGAGTAAAATAAAAGTTGCTAGAATTGTGAAGGGGCTGTCTTCGTTGTAGATAGTGAACTAGGTGAATTTGGATTATTGTACATGTGTTGCTGAATATTCTTGGTGATAGTTTTCTCCCCTTGTTGATGTTGAAGCTGATAGTGATTGAAAAGATTTAGTTTGTTAAACTTAGTTAATAACTTTTTAAATTTAAAAAAAATTTTTTCAGAACAATTCGAACTTTTTTTTTTTTTTTTTTAAAGGAACAGGATCTCACTCTGTTGCCCAGGCTGGAGTGCAGTGGCATGATCATAGCTCGGTTGCAGCCTCTAACTCCTGGGCTTAAGCAAGTCTCCTGCCTTTGCCTCCTGAGTAGCTAGGACCACAGACAGGTGCCACCACACGTGGCTAATTAAAAAAAAAATAGTAGAGATGGAGTCTGGCTGTGTTGCCTAGGCTAGTCTCAAACTCCTGGGCTCAGGCGATCCTCCTGCCTCTACCTCTCCCTCCCAACGTGCTTGCTGGGATTACAGGGGTGAGCCACTGGCCAGGCAGACTTTTTTTTTTTTTTTAAATAATAGAAATGGGGTCACACTATGTTTGCCAGGCTGGTCTTGAACTCTTGGGCTCGAGTGATCCTCCAGCTTCAGCCTCTCAAAGTGCTGAAATTGTGGGTGTGATCCACTGCACCTGGCCGCAGAACATTTTTGATAAGTGTTTTATATCACATGTTTTGCACTTATACAGTGGTGAATGAATTGAACTCATATGTTCCTGGGGATTCTTGCAAAAAATTCTTTTAAAGTTATACTTGCTCACAAAATGTTAATTTTATAAATGTAGCACACTCTACTACTAATAACTTTTATTTTATTATTCTATTATTTTTTATTTTTTAAGTAAAACAGCTCAGTGACCAATGTCACTGGTGTGTCTATAGTGTTTGAACAACAATATAGAAGGTGGCACTTCTATGTACTTTTCCTATCATAAGAAAATTTCAATCTGAAATACACTGCACTGTAGTTGTATGCTTGTGTTTGTGTGTATGAGTATGAGTATGTGTGTCTATAGATGTGTTGTATTATTTTAGACATTTTAAAACATACAAAAAATTAGAGGGAATAGAATAGTGAACGCTGTGTGGCCATCATGCTCATTCAACAATTACCAACACTTCACTATGCATGTTTCATCCATCAGCTCTCCACTTGCTTATATTAGGAATATTTTAACATAGCAATAGTATCAGAAAGCTGACAATATCACAAAACTAACAAAAATTTTTTAAAATATTCACTCCATATCAAAAATATCCTAATTTACTTAGCTATATAAAATACTGTTTGGTAAAGTAAGGACTCAAAAGAGATTTATACCTTGAATTAAAGTTTCTTTAATTAAAGCTTCTTCAAAATGGATGGTATGACCTCAGCTCACTGCAACCTCCGCCTCCCAGGTTCAAGTGATTCTCCTGCCTCAGCCTCCCGAGTAGCTGGGATTACAGGTGCGAGCCATACAAAATATTAGCCCGGCTAATATTTTGTATTTTTAGTAGAGTGGGTTTTGCCATGTTGGCCAGGCTGGTCTCAAATTCCTGGCCTCAAGTGATCCACCCACCGCGGCCTCCCAAAGTGCTGGGATTACAGGCGTGAGCCATTGTGCCCGGCCAAAACAGTTAGTTTTAATATAACAATTATTCTCAATAATTTAAATGACCAGTCCATTTCATTTTCAATTAGTGTATAAATTTGTTTTGTTTGTAATACTTAAAATCATTTAGCAAAAGCTGTCTTTTAACAGTAGATTCTGTGTAACTTAGAGCTATTCTAACTTATGGGGTGCCATTTCCATGTTGTCAGTTGGAGAGCATAATAGTAAATATTAGCATAACTCCCTTTGTATCAGTTTAAAACTTAGTAGGTACCAATGAAGTCTGCATGATTTTGTAATTACAGACTAGTGGCGGTGAACACTGGCTGCCAGCAGAGGGCACTTTGAGGTTTTTATATGTTAGAATTTCACGCCAATGGTGGCCCAAGATTCTAGACTATTTGTCTCCAAACTGTTTTCCTAAAAGACATTTCTAACATTTATCAATTCCCCGTGATTTCCTGTCTCAATTTACAAACTCCTGTGCTCTCTGGGAAGGGATAAGGCCATCTAAAAACAAACAAACAAACAAATAAACAAAAACAAAAAACCCAGCCGCAGTTCCCAGCTGTCACCATGAAAAGGTGTGAGAGATGGTCCTGTGTGTTGAAATCAGAGAGGCTGCTAACTCCCTGGATTTCTTCTCCCAGCCGCATTCAACTCCAAGGCCACTGTTAGCAGTTTTGCCCTAGAGATCTGAAAGGAACCCAGGAATAAACACGTGCAGTTTTAAAATGGTCTAATTTAGTCGATAAAAAGGTCAACACCAAAGGAAAAAAATGAAGCTGAAGAGAGCCAATCGGCAACAAGGTAGCCTTCTGGATTACGCAGGGCAATATTTTTCAAAAACTTTTTGGCTGGGACATGTGTTTGAATACATACATGTGTATGTACACACACGTACACCATATATTCACATCTAAAACGAGTCTCTTAAAAATATTTACTCTAATGGTGTATGATAAAGGTATATATAACTTTAAATACTTAAATGAAATACAGAAAATAAATTTAAATTATAAAAACAAAAACATTTTAAAGTTCATGTGTGCATGCCTGATCACAAGTTTCACTGGGGTCTGGGACATATCAAGACAATCTATACATACATAAGTACATTATTGAGCCTGTTTATTTTTTGCCTCTTTTTTTTTAAAAAAAGATGGGACTCACTGCGTAAAAGTGAACTGATTAAAATCTTTGATCCAGGGTGCGGTATCATTACCATTGGTATATGTGTGATCTTTCATTTTTTTATTTTTATTTTTTTGAGACAGAATCTCGCTCTGTCGGCCAGGCTGGAGTGCAGTGGCGCGATCTCGGCTCACTGCAAGCTCCGCCTCCCGGGCTCACGCCATTCTCCTGCCTCAGCCTCCCAAGTAGCTGGGACTACAGGCGCCCGCCACCACGCCCGGCTAATCCTCCTGCCCGGGCGCGGTGGCTCACGCCTGTTATCCCAGCACTTTGGGAGGCCGAGGCGGGCGGATCACGAGGTCAGGAGATCGAGACCATCCTGGCCAACACGGTGAAATCCCGTCTCTACTAAAAAAAATACAAAAAATTAGCCGGGCGTAGTGGCGGGCGCCTGTAGTCCCAGCTACTTGGGAGGCTGAGGCAGGAGGATGGCGTGAGCCCGGGAGGCGGAGCTTGCAGTGAGCCGAGATCGCGCCACTGCACTCCAGCCTGGCCGACAGAGCGAGATTCTGTCTCAAAAAAATAAAAATAAAAAAATAAAAAAAGAAAGATTACACATATACCAATGGTAATGATACCGCACTCTGGATCAAAGATTTTAATCAGTTCACTTTTATGCAGTGAGTCCCATCTTTTTTTTAAAAAAGAGGCAAAAAATAAACAGGCTCAATAATGTACTTATGTATGTATAGATTGTCTTGATATGTCCCAGACCCCAATGAAACTTGTGATCAGGCATGCACACATGAACATTAAAATGCTTTTGTTTTTATAATTTAAATTTATTTTCTGTATTTCATTTAACTATTTCATGTTATATTAAAAGATTAAAAGATCTTTTAAATTTACTCATAATATAATAGATTTAAAGGAAACTTTTATCCAATTCAAATTTACTCATAATATAATAGATTTAAAGGAAACTTATCCAATTCAGGAATTAGAAAATTAACAATAACCTATATCTACTTTTACTTTCTTTCCCATTCTGTCCTCCTGCCTTCTTCCAGGAGGTAAACAACCAATTTTGTCTATTATTCTCTTTCTTTTTAAAAGTGTGTACACACTCATAAACTGTCTACATACACACAGATTCTGCATTTATATGTACATTACATATTTATATATGTCATATATGTACATCTATACATGTATTTCTTTGTGTATATATCCATGTATATATATTTAAATGTTTAAAAATAGTTTTTGAAGTTTTCAAAAAATATATATATATTTTTGCAACGGAGTCTTGCTCTGTCACCCAGGCTGGAGTGCAGTGGCAGGATCTCGGCTCACTGTATCCTCCGCCTCCTGGGTTCAAGCGATTCTCCTGCCTCCTGAGTAGCTGGGATTACAGGCATGTGCCACCAAGTCCAGCTAATTTTTGTATTTTTAGTAGAGACAGGATTTCACCATGGGCAACCAGGCTGGTCTTGAACTCCTTACCTCAGGTGATCTGCCCACTTCGGCCTCCCAAAGTGCTGGGGTTACAGGCATGAGCCATTGCACCTGGCCCATATTTACCTTTTTATATCATACTAATTGGCTGCCAAGAGGTAAAGTACTAAGCAGGATATATTAACTCTGCTTGAAAAGACTATTTTCAATAATATTGCTGGTTGGGTATCTGAGTTTCTCTTCTTTTTGTAAATGATTAAAAATGCTGCAAAATTATTTTTAAAAATCTTCCCAAAATATTGAAGAGCTGGCAAGATAGTAAAGGATTTACCAAAAAGTAAATTTATTTAATACAAATTTCTTCAAAAATATTTAATTGTCAAATAAAGACATATATTCAAGGTGTACAACATGATGATTTAATATACATATGCATTGTATAATGATTACCACAATCAAAGTAATTAACATATCTATCACCACTCATGCTGTACATTAGATCCCCAGAACATGTTCATCTTATATAATACATTTTATAAAGGTCTTCTAAAAATTCAAAGAAAACAAATAAATCTCCCATACAATGTATGGATAGGAAGACTCAATATCATAATATAAACTGCATCTCAAATTGTTGAAAAATTTTGATGCAGTTTCAACTAAAATTCTAACAGGGTTTTTCAAAGGAACTTAACCAACTTGATTTGGAAACGTATATGGAAGAACAAAGGACCAAGCACTTCCAAAAAAGAATAAGGTAAGGAGATATTTCTTTACCAGATATTAGAATTTTAATAAAGATTCATTTGTTAAAACAGTGAGATATTGTCACAGGAATAGGTGATTAAGCCAATGGAGAATGGAGAGTCCAGAAGCAAACTCATCACACTTGTTCATCTATGAACACTTGATGTACAACAGAGGCAGGATTGCAAAGCAATGACAGAGTAGACTTTTGGAAAAATAGTTATTATAGGGTTTTGGAAAAATAGTTATCCAGGTGGGAAAACATGGAAATTGGGCCTCTACCTTTATACAAAAATTAACTTTAGACAGAGAATTCTGGGGAGATGATGATGGCAGCAGCATAGTTTCAGTCTCTGTATTTCTCCACATAAGGTGGTTTTTCAGTCTCTTATTTTCTACATAAAAACTGTCAGATAAACTGAGAGACAAAACTAAAAACTCATGGACTCCATTTACAACACAACCAAATAGAAAGTTTCCCCCACAAACTCCAAACTACGAATGGGTGGGGCCCAAAACACCAGTAGCCATAAAATACAAATAGCAACTGTGCAGGAGAAAGAAGAAGGAAGAACAGAAAAAGAGCAGAACCCTAAAGTAGCCAACAAGTATTCACCGGAAAGCAAGGTTAGAGAAGAGCAGCTGAAACCTGGAGGGAGGGGTTTTGCTTTCTTCAGCACCAAGTGAGTGCAAGGGTTCTGCAGTAACGACTGAGAAAACTAGAGAAGTCTATCCCTGAGGAGTTCTCAAAACTGACCTGACAGTGGACCCTTCTGGGTAAGAGGTCCACACTGAGAAACTCATGGGAGTGGAATCAAAATTGAGCAGGATAGAAACAATAGAGATGGAAGGAAAGAGACGGTTCAGATTGAAGTGGAGTGTGGAAACAGAGCCAAGAAAGCTCAGAAAGCAAGCTACCATCTTATTGGGCATCAACCACACAAAGAGGGAACTCTGTGATGATAGAGGTTTCCTGTACCCTGCTTATTCTAGGTGTCCAGAAAAACTATTTTCACATGAACTAAGAAGTTAAAAAATGTTAAGGTCAAATCTCATACAAAGTTATTATAAGAAAAAGAGGCTGGGCGCGGTGACTCACGCCTGTAATCCCAGCACTTTGGGAGGCCAAGGCAGGCGGATCACGAGGTTCAGAGATTGAGACCATCCTGGCCAACATGGTGAAACCCCGTCTCTACTAAAACCACAAAAATTAGCTGGGCGTGGTGGTGCACGCCTGTAGTCACAGCTGCTCGAGAGGCTGAGGCAGGAGAATCACTTGAACCTGGGAGGCAGAGGTTGCAGTGAGCCGAGATGGCGCTACTCCAGCCTGGCGATAGAGCGAGATTCCATCTCAAAATATATAAATAAATAAAAATAAAATAAAAAATAAAAAAAGAAAAAGAATAAGAGGTACAGAGAATAATAATTCTATGACAGAAAGATCAAAACTATGACCTACTATTTCAAAACAACTAAAAGATATGAAGAAAATGTTAGACACGACAGAACAAATATATCACAATTAGAAAAACTCAGAAATGAGGTGGCAGAATTCAGCAAAGAATAAGAAACAAAAGAAAAAATAATTTCAAAAGTGAAGCCTAAACTAGAAGGAATATAAAAGTGAACAAACTCTATAAATACTGCCATAAAAGAAATAGAAGGTGCAAAATAGGAAAATTAAACATAAAAAATAAATGTGAAAAGACACTAAAGGGATTCAAAAGGAAGTGATAAATATTAAAGACAGGCAAAGACTATATTGACTACATGGATTATAGGGTCCCTGAAGAAGAAAACCAAAGTAAAGGAACAGAACAAATAATAAAAACTGGAATATAGAAAACTTTGCTGAAATAAAAAAAGATTCAAAATTATGTATTGAAAGTGTAACTGAGAATATTCAATCAGAAGGACCAATAACAAGACATATTCTAGTAAAATTACTAAACTTTAAGGAAAAAGAAAAAACGGGGTGAACATCTAGAAAAAAAGAGCATGTGACCTATAAGGAAAAGAAATAGAGATCATTGAATTTTTCACAGAATGCTTTATACTAGATAAGAATGGAGTACCCTATTTAAGATATGCAAGGAAAGAAAATGTGAGCTAAAGATTTTATATTCAGCAAAACTGACTTTCAGAGATGAAGACCACACATTGTTGTCAGCAAACAAAAACTCAGGTACCATATTGCAATGAATACTACCTAAAGAATCTACAAGAGAATGAGCTTCAGACAAACAGAATGACTAGAGACATCAGAATAAGGACTGGTAAGCATTAAATATATTAACTGTATAACTAAGACTAACTGAAGGGTAAGAGCAGCACTGTGTTTTTTTGTTTTGTTTTGTTTTGTTTTTTAGAAATGACGTATATTTTAAGTTGAAATACCTTGTTTTTCAGCCTGTACCTATAACTTTAGTGTGAGATGCTATTTTTTTGCAAAATCCACTAACAGTTTTAAAAATTATCTCTGCAATAATAGTGTCACAAATATCAGACTATGAATAAATGCATGACTATTACCTGATTCAGTAAAGAAGTTGCTCATGTCATTGATGAATGATTCCTTCTAACATGAATGTTGGTTGATATTTTTATGTTAATGAGTAAGACAAATGTGAAACAATGAAGATGTATATCAGAAGTTCACAAATTTGTCAAAGATATAAGGGACTTCTTTGATGTATTGGATAATAGTTTTTAAATATTTACTCATATTTTTGGATGCTATCTAAAATGTAATGGCTATATACACAATAGGCTTAAGTTTAATTTGTATTATTAATATTTTCTTTATCACTTTCTTAAGTCAAGACAATCATGAAAAACAATAAAACAAGTCCTGATTTGTAGCATTGGCTAATTTCTATGGTATAAATATTTCCACCATGGCTGATTTCAGGATAGCAACTTGATGTCACTGAATGCTGAGTTGAGAAGTGATGTGCTCACCACACCATTATATAGTAATATTTATACACCATATATAGTTATATAGTATATAATTTAATTTAAATAATGGATGTGCTTAACAACTAGCTTGCAAAGTTCCTGAAAATTTAACAATTGGCTTTCCTGAGCTGGTATGAACTGGCTGCAGCACACCACTGGTTAAGAGGGAGTGAGTAAGCCAGGTACAGCGGCTCACGCCTACACTCCCAGCATTTTGGGAGACTGAGGGAGGATTGCTTGAGCCCAGGAGTTCGAGACAAGCCTGGGTAACATAAGAAGACCCTGTTTCTATGAAAAATTAAAAAAAGTAGCTGGGTGTAGTGATGCACACCTTCCCAGCTACTCGGGAGGCTGAGATGGGAGGATCGCTTGCTTGAGTCAGGGACATCAAGGCTGCAGTGAGCTGTGATCATGCCACAGCACTCCAGCCTGGGTGTCAGAGCAAGACCCTGTCTCCAAAAAAAAAAAAAAAAAAAAAGAGGGAGAGAGTGTAGTATATAATGGTTCTGACAAAGTAAATATAGTACAACTATTTTCTCTTTTATTGATATATAATATTTTATATATTTATGGGTTAGACATGAGTGTTTGTTAGGTACATAGAATGTGTAATGATTAAGTCAGGGTAATTGGGGTATCCATCACCTTGAGTGTTTATTATTTTTATATGTTGTTATCACTTCAAGTCCTCTCTTCTAGTTGCTAAGTGTAATCACCCTAGTTTGCTATCAAACAATAGAACTTATTTCTCCTATCTAACTGTGTGTTTATACCCATAACCAACCTCTCTTCATCCCCTCCTCCTTCCCCCACCTACCCTTCCCAGTTACTGACCATCTATCTATCATTTAATTCTCTATGTCCATGAGATCAAGGTTTTAACTCCCATATATGGGTGAGAACATGTAGTATGTGTATTTCTGTGCTTGGCCTATTTTCTGCAACATACTGACCAGTTCCATACATCTTGCTGCAAATGACATGATTTCATTTTTTTTTCTTTGTGATGGAGTCTCACTCTGTCAACCAGGTTGGAGTG
Organism: Homo sapiens; assembly: GCF_000001405.40. Classification (NCBI taxonomy): domain Eukaryota; kingdom Metazoa; phylum Chordata; class Mammalia; order Primates; family Hominidae; genus Homo; species Homo sapiens. Next base: position 35,890,867 of record NC_000014.9, read on the forward strand.
CAGTGGTACAGTCTCACCTCACTGCATTCTTCGCCTCCTGGATTCAAGCAATTCTTGTATGTTAGCTTTCCAAGTAACTGGGATTACAGGCGGGTGCTACCACACCCAGACAATTTTGTATTTTTAGTAGAGACAGGGTTTCACCATGTTGTCCAGGCTGGTCTCGAACTCCTGCTCCCAAGTGATCCACCTGCCTTGGCCTCCCAAATGGGAGGCCAAGTGCTGGGATTACAGGCATGAGTCACCAAGCCCGGCCATGAGTTCACTCTTTTTACGGCTGAATGAGTATTCCACTGTGTGTATATAGTACATTTTCTCTATCCATTCCTCCATCGATGGATACTTAGGTTGATGCCGTATCTTTGCTATTGTTTTATTTTGTTGTTTTTTGAGACGGAGTTTCGCACTTGTTGCCCAGATTGGAGTGCAATGGCGTGATCGTAGCTCACCACAAACTCTGTGTTCTGGGTTCAAGCGATTCTCCTGCCTCAGCCTCCTGAGTAGCTGGGATTACAGGCATGCACCACCACACCTGGCCAATTTTGTATTTTTAGTAGAGAGGGGTTTCAGCATGTTGGTCAGGCTGGCCTCGAACTTCCAACCTCAGGTGGTCCACCTGCCTCGGCCTCCCAAAGTGTTGGAATTACAGGCGTGAGCCACTGCGCCTGGCCATCTTTGCTATTGTTAATAGTGCTGTGAAAAACCTGCGAGCACAGGTATCACTTTGACATACTAATTTCTTTTCCTTTGGATAGATACCCAATATTGTGACTACTGAAACTAAAACTAATACTTTTAGTTTCCTGAGAAATCTGCATACTGTTTTTTATAGTAGTTGTACTAATTTACATTCCCATCAACTGTGTATAAAGACCTTTTTCTCCACATCCTCACCAGCATCTGTTATTTTTTGTCTTTTTAATAATAAATAGCCATTAGAACTGGGGTGAGACAATATCTCATTGTAGTTTTTATTTGCATTTCCCTCATGATTTAGTGATGTTGAGCATTTTTTCCATATACCTATAGGGCATTTGTATGTCTTCTTTCAGGAAATGTCAATTGATGGCCTTTGCTCATTTTTTTCCATGATCTGTGGTTTTCTTTTTAATTATCTTAAGTCTTATGATCATACATAATTTTAAAATTTGTGTATATCTCCTCTACTTTAATCCTTTTAAGTTGGCAAAAGCACCATTCCCAATCACAAATACACAGCAGTTTCTACAGTTTTATGTTTCTGAAGTCTGTTTAAAGACAATCCTAAATTATAACTTAGTTTGACTTAGATTTTAAAGAATTCAAGAGTGAAGTTTAACTTGCTACTATTTTAAAAGCATGTGACCTTATAGATCTATAAAATGTGAGAAGTGTTCAACAATCTTTGATATTACACATAAACCCCACACTAAAATGCCTTTCAATAAGTAAAATGAACCATTTTAAATACAGGGAATTCTAATTAGATTGGCATAGTTAAGGCCAAAAATATAAAGTAGACATTGCTCCCTTATTTATCTTCAACCCTTGCGTTTAAGAGGCAAATGAACACAAAACACAGGTGAATCTTGCTTTGTTCTGAGACAGTGAAGAAATTTCCCCAGTATTTAAATATATTTACATAAACAGTTATATAAATCTAAATAAAACCAATCTCCAATAAGTTTTAAGATGGCACTCACCATCTTTGTGGAAAGTTGAACGTTACTAACGAAGTCTAATCATATCTTTGGAAGGGGTAAACAGTAATAGCACTTACTGAATTGGAATTACTATTAAATTCACAAACTGAACATACTCATTTAGCCACAAGCCAGTCTTAGTTTTAAATCAGGACTGCCCAGCAAAATATTCTGTCAGTCATTCATGATCTGAATTCTAGTGTATGAGATCTATTAAAGTATGGTACATGTAGAAAAGTCATGAGACATTTCTGTTTTGTAGTAAATAAGGCCTTTGCCCATTTTTAAATGAAATTATTTTTTCCACTGTTGATTTGAGTTCCTTGTGTATTATGTATATTAGTCCCCTGTTTGAGGAGTAATTTGCAAATATTTTCTCCCATTCAAGAGGTTGTCTCTTTACTCCATTGGTTATTTCTTTTGCTGTGCAGAAGCTTTTTAGTTTAATATACTTCCATTTGTGTGTGTGTGTGTGTGTGTGTGTGTGTGTGTGTGTGTGTTTCTTTTTTTTCAGACAGGGTCTCATTCTGTTGCCCAGGCTGGAGTGCAGTGGTATGATCTTGGCTCACTGCAGCCTCTGCCTCCTTGGTTCAAGCGATCCTCCTACCTCAGCCTCCTGAGTAGCTGGGACTAAAGGTATGTGCCACAACACTTGGCTAATTTTTGTACTTTTTTTGGTAGAGATGGGTTTTTACCATGTTGCCCAGGCTGGTCTTGAACTCCTGGGATCAAGCAATCTGCCCACGTCGGCCTCCCAAAGTGCTGGGATTACAGGTGTGAGCCACCATGCCCAGCCTATTTTTGTTTTTATTGCCTGTGCTTTTGAGGTCTTAGCCATAAAAATCTTTGCCTAGACCAGTAAGTATCCTGAGGAGTTTTCCCTGTTTTATTCTAGTGGTTTTATAGTTTCGGGTCTTACGTTTAAGTATTTAATCCATTTTGAGTAGACTTTTGTACATGGTGAAAGATAGGGGTACAGTTTCATTCTTTTTTTTTTTTTTTTTTTTTTTTTTTACTTCAGGTTATGTATCTGATAGCCAGTTTCATTCTTCTCAGTATGGTTATCCACTTGCCTCAGCACCATTTATTGAAAAGGGTGTCATTTCTCCAATGTATGTTCTTGGTGGCTTTGTTGAAGATCAGTTGGCTATAAATATGTGGATTTATTTCTGGGTTCTCTATTCTATTAGATTGGTCTATTTGTCTATTTTCATTCCAACATCATGCTGTTTTGGTTACTTGTAGTCTGTTTTGAAGTCAGGTAGTGTGATACCTCCAGCTTGGTTCTTTTTGCTTAGTAATGCTTTGGCTATTTGTGTTCTTTCTTGGTTCCATACAAATTTTGGAATTTTTTTTTCTATTTCTGTGAAAAATGATATTAGTATTTTTGATAAGGATTGTATCAAATCTGTAGATTACTTTGGGCAGTATGGTCATTTTAATGATATGAATTCTTCCAATCCATGGGCACAAAATGTCTTTCCATTTATTCGTATCCTCTTCGATTTCTTTCATAGTGTTTTGTAGTTTTCCTTGTAGAGATCTTTCACCTCCTTGGTTAAATTTATTTCTAGGTATTTTTTTTTGGTAATGGGAACTGCCTTCTGGATTTCTTTTTTGCCTATTTCATTATTGGAGTATAGAAGTGCTACCAATTTTTGTGTTTTTGTATCCTGTAATTTTACTGAATTTATCAGTTCTAGGAGTTTTTTGGTGGCACCTTTTGTTTTTTCTAGATATAAAATTATGTCGTCTGCAAAGAAGGATCATTTGGCTTTCTCTTTTCCAAATTAGATGCCTTTTATTTCTTGTTCTTGTCTGATTGCTCTGGCTAGGACTTCCAGTACTATGTTGAATAGAAGCGGTGAAAGTGGGCATTCTTGACTTGTTCCAATTAATAGAGGAAAGGTTTTCACCATTCAGTATGATGATAGCTGTAGGTTTGTTCTAATATTGCCTTTATTATTTTGAGGTATGATTCTTCTATGCCTAATTTGTTGAGCATTTTTAATCCTGAAGCAGTGTTGAATTTTGTCAAATCTTTTTTCTGCATCTATTGAGATTAACATATGGTTTTGCCCTTCATTTTGTTGATGTGGTGTATCATGTTTATTGATTTGCATGTGCTGAACCATCCTTGCATTCCTAGTATAAATTTAAATTGATCATGGTGTATTATCTTTTTGATGTGCTGTTGCACTTAGTTTGCTAGTATTTTGTTGAGGGTTTTTGCATCTGTGTTAATCAGGGATATTGGCCTGTACTTTTCTTTTTTTGTTGTGTCCTTGTCTGGTTTTGGCATCAGAGTAATACTGGCCTTACAGAATGAGTAAGAGATGATTCCCTCCTTTTCAAGTTTTTGGAATAGTTTGAGGAGGATTGTTATTAATTTTTCTTTTTGCATTTGGTAAAATTCAGCTGTTATTCCATCTGGTCCTGGACTTTTCTTTGTTGAGAGGCTTTTTCTTACTGATTCAATCTTGCTACCTGTTATTGGTCTGTTCAGGTTTTTTATTTCATCCTGATTCAATCTTGGTGGGTTTTGTTTCCAGGAATTTATTCATTTCCTCTACATATTCCAGTTGGTTATCATATAGTTAGTTGTTCATAATGATCTCTGATGATCTTTTGTATTTCTGTGGTATCAGTTGTAATGTATCCTTTTTCATTTCTGACTTTGTTTATTTGGGTCTTCTCTCTTCTTGGTTAGTCTAGTGGTTTATAAACTTTATCTTTTCAAAGAGCATATATATATATTTGCTCTTTGAAATATTTGCTCTATTTCACCACTTCTCTGATCTTTGTGTTTTTTTCTTCTGTGAATTTTGGGTTTGTTCTTGCTCTTCCAGTTTCTTGGAGTGTATCATTAGATTGTTTATTTAAAATCTTTATTTTTGTTGATGTAGGCATTTATTGCTATACACTTCTCTCTTAGCATTGCTTTTGCTGTGTCCCACAGGTTTTGCATGTTATGTTTCTATTTTCAATTGTTTCAAGAAATTTTTGATTTTCATCTTAATGGTCATTCAAGAGCATGTTGTTTAATTTCCATGTATTTGTATAGTTTCCAAGTTCCTTCTGGTATTGATTTATATAGTTTTATTCCATTGTGGTCTGAGAAGATATTTGATATAATTTTGATTTTTGAAAATTTGTTGAGACATGCTTTCTGGCCTAACGTATAGTCAATCCTGGTGAATGTACCATGTCCTGATGAGAAGAATGTTTATTCTGCAGTTGTTGGATAAAATGTTCTGTAAATGTCTATTAGGTCCATTTGGTCTAAAGTCCAGTTTAAGTCTAATGCTTCTCTGGGAGTGGGGAGTTGAAGTCTCCCACTATTATTGTATCAGAGTCTAGCTCTTTCTTTAGATCTAGTAATATTTGACTTATGAATCTGGGTGCTCCAGTGTTGGGTGCATATGTATTTAAAATTATTGTATCCTCTTGCTGGATTTATCCCTTTCTCATTACATAATGACTGTCTTTGTCTTTTTTTAAAAACTGCTTTTGACTTAAAGTCTGTTTTATCTGATATAAGTATAACTGCTCCTGCTCACTTTTGATTTCTGTTTGTGTGGAATATCTTTTTCCAACCTTTTACTTTCAGTCTGTATCTGTCTTTACAGGTAAAGTGTGTTTCTTGTAGGCAGCATATAGTTGGTTCACTTTTTAAAAATTTCTTAAGTCAGTCTACATCTTTTAAGTGGAGAATTGAATCCATTTACATTCGAAGTAATTATTGATATATGAGGTTTTATTTGCTTTACTGTTAATTATTTTCTGATTGCTTCCTTTTTTTTTTCTCTCTTATTGTTTGTCCTTGTGGTTTGCTGTTCTCCTGTGGTGGTACCATTTGAGTCTTTTCTCTTCCTCATTTGTGTGTTTGCTTTATAGTGAGTTTTATAAGTTTGTGTATTTTCATGATGCTAACTGTCATCTTTTTGCTTTCGGGTTTCGGACTTTTTTGAGCATATATTGTAAGGTCAGTTCAGTAGTGATGAAATCCCTCAGCATTTGCTTGGGAAAGACTGTATTTCTCCTTCATTTATGAAGAATAATTTTGCTGGATGTAGTACCCTTGGGTAGGAGTAGTTTTTTCTTTCAGCACTTTGAATATATCATCCTATTCTCTCCTGGTGTGTAAAGTATCTGCTGAGAAGTCAACTGTTAGTCCAATAGGGGCTCCTTTATAAGTGACCAGATGCTTTTCTCTGGCTACTTTTAGAATCTTCTCTGTCATTGACAGAGAAAGCAGATCTAGCCTATCATTGAAGCTTTCAAGTATATTTTATCTTTCATTCCAGGAGTTCTCCAGTCCCAGAATTTCTATTTAGTCCTTTTTAATGATATTTATCTCTTTGTTACATGTCTCATTCATATTCTGAATTGTTTTTCTTATTTCTTTGTATCGTTTTTCAGAATTCTTTTGTATCTCACTGAGCTTATTTAGTATCACACTTTTGAATTCTGTTTTCAGAATTTCATGAATTTCTTTTTGATTGGCATCTGTTGCTGGGAAATTATTGTGTTCTTGAGGTGTCATATTTCCTTGCTTTTTCATGTTTCCTGCATCCTTAAATTGATATCTGTGCATCTGCTGTAGTAGTAATTTCTTTCAATTTTTAAAATTTGCTTTCATATGGGAGGACTTTTTCCTGAAGATGTATCAATAATGTTGCTTGGATAGGGCCCTTTGGGCTTTGATTCTGGGCGTGTGCAGTAGTGTAGTCTCTGCATGATTTCTTTGACTGTAGATGGCATGAATGATATCTGTGATTTCTTTGGTTGTTTAGGGTGCATTTATTAGTAGAGGCTGTGATGAAGTTTTGCTGAGGACAAAGCTGCCAGGTGGGCCAGTCTTCAGGCCTCAGTGGTGGCAGCAGTGGGCTGAGTATACTTGTTCTTAGCCCCAGGGTGACATTTGCTAGCACTGGTGTTAGTGGGACCAGGCAGGTCAATTCTTGAGCCTCCAGGTGGCTCACTCAAATACTGGCAGTGGCAGTGGTGGGCCAGGAGGGTGAATGAGTTCTGAGATACCTAGGCAGCTGGCGTGGTATGGGTGCTGGCAGTAGCAGTGGGAGGATGATTCTCTGGGTCTGAGTAGTGTGCACTGGTGTTGGCAGTGGCTGTGATATGAGGTCACCATCCACAGCCCCAGACATGTAGCTGACAGGCTTGCCTGCTCTTGGTGGCAGCAGCGCAGCAGCACCGCAGCACCACATAGAAGTGGGAAGGGACCCTGTCTTTTGCCCATAAGCCTGGGCATGAAAGCCACATTGCCAGTTGGGGCGTGGTTGCCACTCACAGCCCCAGACAGGCAGCCTTTTGTCTTGCCTGTCCTAGCTCCTGGTGGCAGCAGCAGTGGCTACAGCTGCAGCAGTGTGACAAAGGGGAGAGAAGGTCCTGCTGTCTATGGGCAAGCCTGAGCACAGAGGCTGCTCTGCTGGTGGGGGTGGGGTCACTTCTCTCAGCCCCAGACTGTCAGCTCTCAGGATTATCCACCTCGGCTCCTGGTTGCAGCAACTGCTGTGGCAGTATGTGGAGGTAGGGAGGGGTTCTCACTCTCTGCTTGTAAGCCTGAGCACAGAGTTTGTGCTGCTGCTGGGGGCAGGATTGCTTCTCACAGCCCCAGACAGGGAAGCTCTCAGGCTCTAGAAAGCATACACTTTATTTTCCTTTGTCCGGGGCTGCCTTTTTTGTGCAGTGCAATTTTCCAGGATTTCATGGATTTCTTTTTGATTGGGATCTGTTGTTGCGGAGTAGTACTCCCTGTGAGCTAGAGTACTGGGGACCCTACAGCACCTTTGGGGCCAGCCAGTGCTGTGCCACTGTAGCCCTCTGGGTGGACACTGGGGGATGTCAGTGAAGGCTCCTGGGATGTGGACAGATGGGAGCTGTAGTTCCCAGGGCAGGATGCAGTCTCATGATGGCTGTGCTCTCCCAGTAGTGCCCTGTTGCAGCTGCTTAGGTCTCAGGGGGTGTGAGTGACCCAGTATGAATTCCCTGTCAGTGTAATGTCCTTGCAGGGTCTGCAGGTCATTCCCCATGCTAGCATCAGGGTTTGTGTGGTTAGAGGAGCTTCCCATGGCTGGGGTTACAGTAGTTTGTTGTGGGGAGAATTGGACCACTGATGTTCTCTCACTTACCCTTCCCCACAATAGCGAGCACCTCTGGCTCCCAACTTCTCCTGACTGAGCTGGCCACTCGCTTCCTTCTCCTCTGTGCCTCAGGCGCTTGCTGAGACTTCTCTGTTGGACTCTAGTGCTCTCTCCTGGATGTTCTATTCGAGGTGTGCTTATCTCTTCATAATTTTGGGTCTTCTTTCTGGAGAGGGTGAGTGTCCAATGTCTCTAGTCAGCCATCTTGAACCTGAATCCTCAATAGAGTATTTCTATTTTAAGACTGGGGAGAGTATATGGATTTTAAGAACTTTTGCAGTAATCATATTGGTGGTAATATTAATATGATTATTCTGAGATTTGTGTGTGTGTAGTATGAGGTAAAAACAAGTGAGTAATTATGGAATATACTAATTCCATGATCCTCTGCATCTTTGAGAACCAGAATTCTCATATAGCAAAAGGAGATACAGATATAATAGAAAACAGGTTACATAAAATTGAGTTGAACTTGGAATGATCAATGTGGATGCATCAGGCATTTTATTTATATTTTCTAATTCTACCTACTGTATAGGCCTGAAAACAATGATCAACCCAGAAGGAATGAGTATCCTTTGTGCGTGCACAGATTGTGGAACAATCTACAATTCTCACCACAATTTCTCATTTACAAAAAAGGGCTTCTTAGAGAAATGGTTGATTCCAGGACTTAGGCAAGAAATGAATATGACAAGCCTGGAATGTCTTATATTATCAGAAAGAAAACTACTAGGGTCTCATTGTATATTACTAGGGGCATGTCAAAAGGATTCAGAGGACAGGTTTAAAGCACTTCTAAGCCAAAGATGGGACAATTTGAGCTCCAATAATGATAATAATTAAAACAGATTGAAGCCTATAAAAATGTTTATATTGAAAAGTTTATAATGATTATATGTGAGAGTGTGAGTGTGTGTGTGTGTGTGTCTGTGTGTCTGTGTGTGTGTATGTGAGACCTTTGGAGAATAACAAGGAAACAATTCATTATCTTGAAAACTGGTGAATAAAGGGAGGAAATCCAACACTTATCCTGCCTTTTCTATGTGAACTTGGTAACAAACAAGTAAATGAGAGTAAGTGTCTCCTTAGAAAGGTAATCCAACAAATAAATGAAAATAAAATGACAGAACTTTAACATCACCATTTGGCAATCTCTAGTTAATGGCTATAAGCATTAAACATCAATGGCTACTAAGATCATAAAAAGAAATAATTAGAAATCATATGCCTCATAGTCTTGAACCTAAGTCTGACTCAGTCTCTGGATCCAGCTGCCAATTTTCGGAAATTCAGAGGACAGATGAACTTCTTGGGTTGCACGAAGAATATGCGATTAGCAAAATCCAGAATGCGGGACACTCTATGGGTCAAATGGCCCAGGTTCTTTAACTGAAAAAGTATGAGGAAATGAGGGGATGGAGGAAGAACTTACAGAATAAGAGACATTTACAAGACATGTAATTTTTTTAACCAAGTAACACTAACAGATAATATGTAGGGATGCATATCTGAGTGACAAACTGCTTTTTTTTCTTTTTTTTTTTTTGAGACGGAGTCTCACTCTGTCACCCAGGCTGGAGTGCAGTGGCACAATCTCGGCTCACTGCAACCTCTGCCTCCCAGGTTCAAGCAATTCTCTGCCTCAGCCTCCAGAGTAGCTGGGATTACAGGCACCCACCACCACACCCAGCTAATTTTTGTATTTTTAGTAGAGTCTGGGTTTCACCATCTTGGCCAGGCTGGTCTTGAACTCCTGACCTCATGATCCACCCGCTTCGGCCTCCCAAAGTGCTGGGATTATAGGCATGAGACACCACGCCCGGCCGACAAAACTATTTTTAAAAAGCAAGAAAGTTATTATTATAAAAGCCAGATGGTGATTACTTATGTGGGAAGAGGAAGAGTTGTGACTGGGATGGGACACATGGAAGCAGCTTCTGGAGCTGCTGGCAATATCCTACTTCTTGACAAAGGTGGTGTTCACCTTATCATAATTTCTTGAGTTACAAATTTGTTCTAAGTGATTTTTCTGTCTTCATCTTTTGTTTTACAATAAAATAAGTTTAAATATTATTCCAGATGGATTTTTGGCTTGTATCAACTTTGCACCCCTAACCTATGTACTATTGTGTGCAATTCCTGACAGCTCTGCTCTCATAGTCCCTTGATGTCCCATGGTCAGGTGCTCAGTCTCTATTAAGGGCCAATAGCAAGCCAGAAGCTGCTTTTGAAACAATGTCTAATTCTCTGCTGTTGTTCTGGAACACTGGAGGTCCAGTTCTTCTACTGACACTTTCCAGAGACTGCGTAGCATCCCTCATCCACCACAGATACCTCTAGCACCACAGAATTTGCTGGCTTATAGCCTATGTGTCAGGGCTGCTTGTACCACAGCCTAAATCTGCTGCAGATCTCTTTCTCCGGACGCTGTTCAAAACTGGCAGTCTTTGGAGTCAAATGGATTGACAAATGGGTTGGATTCCCAAATTTGCATATTATCTAAAAATCTGAAGAGGGCTACCATTCACTGTGCCTCTTTCTTAGCAGTAGGATGTGCAAGGTGCAATAAATTGTTCTTTACCTTGGATAGGATGTCTCTGCATGACCGAGGCCAATGGGACCCTGATAATTTCATTGATGGGACAGGTCTCTGAATCATGCCACATGGTCTCTCTTTCACTTTCTGATGCACATCTATCTTGCCAGCACATTTAGAGTACTTACCATTTAGTGCCCCCATTTCCTACCACCAGTTTCATTAATAAGATGTCATCAATATAACTGACCAATATCATGTTTTGTGGAATGTCCACACAATCAAAGTCTCTTTGGACTACATTGCAACAGAGAGCAGGAGAGTTAATATAGCCCTACGACAAGACTGTTAATGTGTATTGATATCTGTTACAAATGAATATGAATTGCTTCTGATCTTTTTTCCTGGTAAGGATTTAAAAGACTGCTTTCAGCCTGTAATCCCAGCACTTTGGGAGACCGAGGCGGTGGATCACTTGAGGTCAGGAGTTTGAGACCAGCCAGGCCAACATGTTGAAACCCCGTCTCTACTGAAAATATAAAAAATTAGCCAGGCATGGTGGTACGTACCTGTAGTCCCAGCTTCTTAGAAGTGTGAGGCAGGAGAATCGCTTGAACTTGGGAGGCGGAGGTTGCAAGTGAGCCGAGATCGCGCCACTGCACTCCAGCCTGGGTGACAGAGTGAGACTCCATCTCAAAATAATAATAATAATAATAATAATAATAATAATAATAATAATAATAGTAAAAAAGACTGCACTCTCTAGATTAATAGCTACATACTATATGCCAGAAGTTGTCAGTCTATCCCATTAAAGATAGCAAATTGTGGTGCAGCAGCTCTGATTGGGGCTACCACTTAGTTAAATTCATAGCAGTCCACTGTTTTGCCATGATTTGTATGATTTTTTTCAGAGACTCAACTGGTACATCACATAAAGATGATGAGAGCACCACCCTGCATCTTTCATATTTTTGAGTATGTCACTACTCTCTACCATTTCTCCCAGGATGTAGTTATTACTTCTGATTTACAAATACTTTACTGATAAATTATTCTCTACCTTAATTTTCAAGTCATATGTATGTCCTATTGGAATTACTGTGAACAAAATCTATTCCAGGCTTTAACCACTCATAAACTTCTAAATATTCTGCAATACTGTAAGATTCAATGAGATTTTAAGAAACTAAAGGTATAGTTTAAGTTTATTGGTTCATTTACTATAAATAGTTGAACATGCCATATTCCACAGTTCTAGAAGAATTTGTTTTGGTACTTTGAACTATTCTCTTTTTTGCCACATATTATGATGTGATTGATAACTGTTTTTCTTTCTTGGAAAATATTTGAGTTGTTTAAAAGTGACTTACTTACCAACCTGGCCAACATGGCGAAACCCCAGCTCTACCAAAAATACAAAAAGTTAGCCAGGTGTGGTGGTGCACGCCTGTAATCCCAGCTACTCAGGAGGCTGAGGCATGAGAATTGCTTGAACCTGGGAGGTGGAGGTTGCAGTGAGCCGAAACGGTGCCACTGCATTCCAGCCTGGGCGACAGAGCGAGACTCTGTCTCAAAACAAAACAAAACATAAAACATAGTTTAAATGAAGTCCAAGATTACTGATTAGAGTGAATGCTACTCCTGATATTATTGCTATTTATCCCTCCAGATCCAGCATTTTTTGAATTTGAACACCTCAGAAACTTTTTATTCTATTATTCTTTTTTCTTCTAATAATAAGGCTATCCATTTTAAGAAAAATTTGTACCAGTTCTGTCATAGTGTTACAATTGTCATAATAGAAAAATGTCATGTTTCCTAACATCCCTTCTGAAAAGCACAGTGAAAGTTTTTAATGAAACTTCTTTGAAAGCCTTGAAAATCCTAATGTTCTTGCTAACAGTGGAAATGCTTCCAGAGTTCTCTTCATAACTTAAACCACAGAACGTTCAACATTAAATCTCCCATTACAGTGATCAGATTGACCATCACATTTCAAAAAATCAAAAAAGATGGCAGTGAACAAAATATTGAATAACTTTCTCAGCTAATGTGTGTGTTTATCACATCGCCCTCACTGTTTCTCTCAGACCATTCGCAGTAGTTGGCGTAGTCATTGCAATATGCACATTTCTTACTCAGAATTCTTGTTTTTCACTCTGAGATTTTCTGTTCTACCACAGTAGATGCCAGCTTCCAAGATGATCCCCAGTGGTTTTCACCTTTTGGTATTCACATTCTTGTGTAGTACCTCTCACATTGAATGGGACTGACTTGTCTAGCCAATAGGATATTACACAAATGAAGTGTGACTGCTGAGGCCAGCTCATAAAAAATAAAATAGCTTATATGCTAGTATCTCTTGGATCACTCACTTTGCCGGAAGCTGGCTGCTGTGTCACGCAGACACTCATGCAGGCCTATGGAAAGGTCCACATGGAGAGAAACTGAAATCTTCTGCCAAGAGGTCAACTTTTCAGTGTCGTGAGTGGGTCGTCTTGGAAGCGGATCCTCTAGACTCAGTCAAGTCTCCAGATGACTGCAGCCCAGTTACCACCTTTACTGCAACCCCACGAGAGACCTTAAGTCTGAACCATTCATTAAACTGCTTTAGAATTCCTGACTCACAGAAAATGTGTGAGAAAATACATACTCGTTTCTACTTTAAGAAGCTAAATTTGGAGGTGGCTTGTTACTCAGTGATAGATAACTAATACTGATTGTGGTGCCCAGAAGTGGGGAGCTGCTACACCGAAAACCTAAAATGTGGGAGTGGTTTTTAAACTAGGTTAACGGGTAGAAGCCAGGACTGTCGGGAGAGTTGTAGTGACATCTGAAATGATTTGAAAAGTTTGTTAGTATTTGCCCGATGACTTCTGAAAAAGCTAAGGGTGAGGAATTAAAGAAAAGTGAGAAGAACATTATTAGAAATTGGAGAGAAGGGGATTCTTGTTATATAGTGGCAGAAAGTTGAGTAATTGTTGTCTGTGGTAACATAAAGATTAGACAACTGACTGGACATGGTGTCTCATACCTGTAATCCCAGCATTTTTGGAGGCCGAGGTGGGAATATCACTTGAGTCCAGGAATTTGAGACTAGCCTGGGCAACATAGTGAGACCCTACCTTTAGAAAAAATAATAAAGATTAGTGGATATGGTGGTGTATGCCTTTAGTTCCAGCTTCTCTGGCTGAGGTGGGAGGATCACTTGAACCAGGGAGGCTGAGTCTGCAGGAGCCATGATTGTGTCCCTGCACTCCAGCCTGGGTGAGAGAGCAATACCCTGTCTAAAAAAATGAAAATAAATGAAATTAAAAATTGAAGAAGTAGAAAACTTGTCTAATGAACTGGGTGATCTAGTTAAGGAGATTTCTAGGGAGTGTTGAAGATACTTCTGGCTGCTTTTTGTTGCTTATAATAACAAGAGAAAGGACATAAGCTAAAGGAAGGAATATTAGATGTAAAGGAGCCCGGATTTGATGTCTCCAGCCTTTCCAAAAACAAATGGTACTAAAATTAAGAAATGGCTTCTGAACAAAGATAAAATCTATGGCACTACAGATAAAGCCATGGGTATAAGTTTAAAATCTTCTGTTAAGATCTCAGAAAGATCTAGAGAAGTGTCTCAGAGAATTCCAAGGAGCTTAAGGATTTGGTACTTCAGCAGTCTCAGGAGAAGCCCCAGGTAGAGAAAGCTCATCTTCAGAGACTTGTGGGCATAGCTTTGTCTAATAGAATGAATCCCACTAAGGCTTATAGGAGACCCACAAATATTTTAAGATAATTTTTTTTGACAGAAACACCTGAAAGAGGTAGAGACAGTACAAAAGGAAAAGAGGCCTTTGCACCCCAATTTCTATGACAAAAATCAATCTGAAGACATTTCAAATAGGGCTGTCTTTCACAGAAAGGAAGGATGAATCAGAAAGCCAAGCTAAGGTCTCAGAGAGCCAAGCCAGGACTTGAGAGTTATTCTCAGGCAGGAATGGGATTGAATCCTAATCACAGAACTCCAAATATTTGCTATGCTGGATTTTAGAATGGCTATGGACCAGTTATTTCCATGTGCTTCCCATTTTCTCCTTTTTTGGAACAGATGTGTCTATATCACTTTTGGTATGCCTGTCCCACAATTGTGTGTTAGGTGCATGCAGGGCAGATAACTTGACTCTCTAGATTGAGAAGAAGTATATTTGAGGAGCTGCACTAAAGGAACTACATCCAAAGATCCAAATTCTGGACTTCAGGTTGGTTCTTCAAAGTAATGAAGGACTGCTTAAAAAAATTAAACTGTTGATTTTGAGATTCACATTCTGTAGTAAGAAATAATACAGAGAGATCCTATGTACCCTTCACCAAGTTCCCCCAATGGTAACATCTTGCAAAACTATTGTATAGTATCACAACCACGATATTGATATTTTCATCGCTATAAGGATCCCTTAGATTGCCCTTTTAGAGCCATACTTCTTCTCTTTTTACTCCATCGTCTCTTTAGCCTCTGGCAACCACTAATCTGTTATCGGTTTCTATAATTTTGTCATTTCAAGAATGTTCTCTCTCTATATGTATATATAACTATATATATAACTATATATAACTATATATATAACTATATATAACTATATATATAACTATATATATAACTATATATATAACTATATATATAACTATATATATAACTATATATAACTATATATATAACTATATATATAACTATATATAACTGTATATATAACTATATATATAACTATATATATTTACTTTTTTTCTTTTTTTGAGATGAGTCTCACTCTGTTGCCCAGGCTGGAGTGCAATGGCGTGATCTGGGCTCATTGCAAACTCCCCTCCTGGGTTCAAACGATTCTCCTGCCTCAGCCTCCAGAGTAGCTGGGATTACAGGCACTTGCCACCATGCCTGCTAATTTTTGTATTTTTAGTAGAGACAGGTTTTCACCATGCTGGCCAAGCTGGTCTCGAACTCCCAACCTCAGGCGATCTGCCTGCCTCAGCCTCCCAAAGTGCTGGGATTACAGGTGTGAGCCACCGTGCCCAGCCCTAATTTTTGTATTTTTAGTAGAGATGGGGTTTCACCATAGGCTGGTCTCAAACTCCCGTCCTTAGGTGATCCGCCCACCTCAGCCTCTCAAAGTGCTGGGGTTACAGCTGTGAGCCACCTTGCCCAGCCAAGAATGTTACATAAATGGACTTATACAGTGTGTAACTTTTTGAGTTTGGCTTTTAAAACTCAGCATAGTTCTCTATACCTTCATCCAGGTTATTGTGTGTATTAATAACTTGTTTCTCTTTTAATTGCTGAGTAATATTTTATGGTATAGATCAGGCTTATCCAACAGGTGGCCTGCAGGCTGCATGTGGCCCAGGAAGGCTTTGAATGCTGCCTAACACAAATTTGTAAACTTTCTTAAAACATTATGAGATTTTTTTTGCGATTTTAAAAAACCTCATCAGTTGTTGTTAGTGTTAGTGTGTTTTACGTGCGGCCCAAGACAATTCTTCGTCTTCTAATGTGGCCCAAGGAGGACAAAAGATTGGACACCCCTGGTATAGATGTAACACAGTTAAAAAAATTATCTTATTGGTTATTGTGAAGAAAGCTGCTATGCATATTCATGTACAGGTTTTTGTGTGAATCTGAATTTCATTTCTCTGTGACAATGCCCAGGAGTGCAGTTCCTGGGTTGTATGGTGGTTGCATGTTTAGCTTTTTAAGAAATTGCCAAACTATTTCAGTGTCTCTACTATTTTACATTCTCACCAGCAATGTATCTGTGATCAGTTTCTCCACATTCTACTTGATGTTGTTTCTATTTTTATTTTAGCAATTCTGATAGACATGTAGTAATACTTAATTTTGGTTTTAATTTACATTTCCCTAATGACTGATGATATTGAAAAATAATTTTATTTATTTAAGATCTGTAAAATGTCTCTTCATGGGTTTTGCCCATTTTCTAATTGAATTGTTGTTTTCTTTCTTTCTTTTTTTTTTTTTTTGAGACAGAGTCTCCCTCTGTAGCCCAGGCTGGAGTGCAGTGGCATGATCTCGGTTCACCGCAACCTCCGCTTCTCTGGTTCAAGTGATTCTCCTGCCTCAGCCTCCTGAGTAGCTGGGACTACAGGCACGCGCCACCACCCCTGGATAGTTTTTGTATTTTTAGTAGAGACGGGGTTTCACTGTGATAGCTAGGATGGTCTCAATCTCCTGACATCGTCATCCGTCCACTTTGGCCTCCCAAAGTGCTGGGATTACAGGCGTGAGCCACTGCGCCGGCTGTTTTTGTTTTTTTTTTTTCCTTTACTGTTGAATTTTGAGATTTCTTTATATAGTCTGGGTATTAACTTGTCCCTTGTCTTATATGTGGTTTGCAAATACTTTCTACCACTGTGTAGGTTGTCTTTCATTTTCTTAATAGAGTCACAGAAGGAGAAAAGAAAAGAGGCTGGGCTGAACAAGTGCTCAAAGAAATAATGGCCAAAAACACACACCAAATTGGCAAGAGACTTAAACCTACAAATGCAAGAAGCTGGTATCCAAACAGGTTGGATCCAAAGAAATCCACAGCAAGATACATTATAATTAAAATTCTGAAAGCTTAAGACAAATAAAAAAATATCGAAAGCATTCACAGAAAAATGATAACTTACTTATTGGGGTAAGGGGAAGACAATTAGAATAACAGCAAAGGTCTCATCAGAAACCACGGAGGCCAGAAGAAAGCATCACAATATTTTTCAAGGGCTGAAATAAAATTACTGTCGACCCCTTAGGATACTGTCACTCAGTGAAAATATTTGTCAAGAGTGAAGGGGAAATGAAGATATTCTGAGATGAAGGAAAGCTATTTGTTGCCAACAGATTTACCCTAAACAGATTTACCCTAAAAGAAGGGCTAAAGAAAGTTCTCTAAATAGAAAGAAAATGATAAAAGAAGGACCATGGAACATCAGGAAGGAAGAAAGAGCATGGAAGAAAAAATATGGGGAAATAAAAGCCTTTCCTTCTCTTCTTGGTTTTTAAAATTATGCTTGATGGTTGAAGTAATAATTATAACACTTTCAAATGTGGTTCTAAATGTATATAGAGGAAATATTTAAGACAATTATAAATGGGGGAGGGTAAAGGGACATAAGGGAGGTAAGATTTTTCTTCAACACCAGTAGATTGGATATGTTATGTATATATAATGTAGTACTCAAGCAACCAGTAAAAAAAAAATCTATACAAAGAGGTACATTCCAAATATTATAGATAAATTAAAATGGAATTCTAAAAAAAGGTGTAACACATAG
This sequence comes from Homo sapiens, assembly GCF_000001405.40. Lineage (NCBI taxonomy): Eukaryota > Metazoa > Chordata > Mammalia > Primates > Hominidae > Homo > Homo sapiens. The sequence continues at coordinate 35,908,566 of NC_000014.9, forward strand.
TAAATCAGGAAAAATAAAACAGAGAAATAAAGAACAAAGAGAACAATCAGAAAACAAAAATAAAATGGCAGACGTAAGCCCTAACATATAAATAATTATGTAAAATATAAATAGTTAAAATACACCAATTAAAAGACAGAGATTAGCAGAATGAATTACAAAACAGGACCCAATCTACTAAGCTTTTTATTTTGTTTATTTTTCGGTTCTAAAATTTCCATTTGAGGCCGGGCACGGTGGCTCACGCCTGTAATCCCAGCACTTTGGGAGGCTGAGGCAGGTGGATCACTTGAGGTCAAGAGTTAGAGACCAGCCTGGTCAACATGGTGAAACCCTGTCTCTACTAAAAATACAAAAATTAGCCAGGTATGGTGGTGCACACCTGTAATCCCAGCTACTCAGGAGGCTGAGGCAGGAGAATTGCTTGAACCCGGGAGGCAGAGGTTGCAGTAAGCCGAGACCACACCACTGCACTCCAGCCCGGGCAACAGAGCAAGACTCTGTCTCAAAATAAAATAAAATAAAATAAAATTTCCATTTGGTTCTTTATAACATCGATTTCTTTGCTGAGGCTCTTTTTTTTTTTTTTTTTTTTTTTTTTGAGACACAGTTTCACTCTTGTTGCCCAGGCTGGAGTGCAATGGTGTGATCTTGGCTCACTGCAACCTCCACCTCCCGGGTTCAAGCGATTCTCCTGACTCAGCCTCCCGAGTAGCTGGGATTACAGGCATGCGCCACCACGCCCGGCTAATTTTGTATTTTTAGTAGAGATGGGGTTTCTCCATGTTGGTCAGGCTGGTCTTGAACTCCCGACCTCGGGAGATCCGCCCACCTTGGCCTCCCAAAGTGTTGGGATTACAGGCGTGAGCCACCGCGCCTGGCCTGAGGCTATTTTTAAATTTGTTTCAAGTGTGTTTTTTAACTGGTCAGTGAGGCATTTTTATCATGGCTGCTTTAATCTTTGTCAGACAATTCTAACATCTCTGTATCTCAATGTGGGCATCTATTGGTTATCTTTTCTCATTCAGTCTGAGCTTTTCCTGATTATTGATATGATGAATGATTTTCTGTTGAAACCTGGACATTTTCATATTGTGTTATGACACTCTGGATCTTATTTAAACCTTTTATTTTAGCTGATTTATGATTATTATTTTTTTTTACTAACACTGCTCTGGCAGGGAAACACTGTGTTATTACTGCCATGTAGGGGTAGAAGTCCAAGTTTCCCACTTGGCGTTTGTTGACACTTGTGTGTGGGAACTCCTCATTACTGCTGGGCAAGGGTGGGAGTTATGGCTTCTTACATAGTTTGCACTATACCATGATAGGAGTGGCCTCATTAGTGCTGGGCGATGGTGGAAGACCTGACTCTCCACTAGGCCTCCTGTCACTCCATCCCTGTGGGAGTACTGAGGTGCTTTGTTACATTTTCTTTTCTTTCCTTTTTTTTTTGAGACAGTCTTGCCCGGTCACCCAGGCTGGAGTGCAGTGGCGTGCTCATGGCTCACTGCAGCCTCAAATTCCCGGGTTCAGGTGATCCTCTCACTCAGCCTCCCTAGTAGCTGGGACTATAAGCATGTGCCACCACACCCAACTAATTTTTTGTATTTTTTTGGTAGAGATGGCATTTCACTATTTTGGCCAGGCTGGTCTCAAACTTCTGGGCTCAAGCGATCTGCCCACCTTGGCCTCTCAAAGTGCTGGGATTACAGGTGTGAACCACCGCGCCTGGCCAGTTAAATTTTCTTGAGAATGGAAGTCTAGGCTTTTACTAGCATGGGTTGGGGTGAGGTTACAGCTTTTTCTGTGGTGTTTGGTTAAAGTAGAGCGGTTATGGTTTAAAGCTGTCTGTCTTGCTTGGCTGCCTTTTTGCTGGTCCTTTGGCAAGAGAGAGGTTTTTGTTGGGGCTTTTGTTATCTGTACCCATTGGCAATTGTGAGTTGCCAGTTTCTTCAGCTGCAAGTGTGGGATATGAGGCACAAAGGAAAACCCAAGAAATTCACCATCATGTTGCTCCTTAGATCCCAAGAACCTAGTCTGTCTTTTTTTTCCCACCTTTCAGAGTCATCTTATATTTGTTTTAGATCTAGTGTTTGAAGTTTTCAGTTGCAGTTAGTGGGAGGAATAGGAAAAATTACATCTACTCTAGCTTACTGGAAGTAGAAGTCTCCAGGGCTCTCTCTGAACTTCATGAAAGGAAAATGAGTTTTTATGATGCACCTTTATACATTTTTGTCTTTTTGGTTTGAATACTTTGGTTGCAATACAGAGCATGTTAACGTTTACTTATTTTCTCAATTCTTGCTATTCATTAAAACAGATAATAATAACTATAACTCAGTTAAAACAAGTAGGAATACACTAGTTCTTTGGATGATCCATGTTATTTCTGATTGTTTTAATATTTATTTGTATGGGTTCAGAGAAGAGGATGAGAGTGTCTGAGAGGTATACGCAGTCTCATTCTGGCTCCCAAGGTATTTTTAGGAATCTTACACCTAGCAAAAAGTCTTTTCCACCACTAAATTATATCCCCAAAGTCTTATCAAATATATTTTCTAATTGAAAAGTTTAACACAGGCTTCACCTTATGAATGACTAGCAGGTATTGGGAAACTCAGAGATACAGACAGTACAGGCAGCTTTTCTTTTTCTTTCTTTATTTTTTATTTTTTAATTTTTTTTGTTGAGACAGCATTTCTCTCTGTCACCCAGGCTGTTGTATGGGGATGTGATCACGGCTTACTGCAGCCTTGACCTCATGACCTCAAGTAAGTGATCTTCCTGGCTCAGCATCCTGAGTAGCTGGGACCAGAGGTGTACACCACCATGCCTGGCTAATTTAAAATATTTTTGTGAAGACGGTATCTGACTATGTTGCCTAGGCTCGTCTTGAACCCCAGGCCTCAAGCGATCCTCCCACTGTGATTTCCCAAAGTGTTGGGATTACAGGCGTGTGCCACCACATCCAGGCAACTTTTCTTAATTTTAGATAAAGTCTTCCAGTTCCATCCTGAATGGTGTATGAATAGGAGAGGATGCCTGAATTAGCACGGAGCCCAAACTGAACCAGTTTTTCATGCTTCACACAGGGTGTAGAGAAGCATTGCCCAAACTGTGCAATGAATTATTGTACAATCAGAAGTGCTCACTTTTAACTTAAAAACACATTCATGTTAAGCATAATTTCTTAGATCCTCAAAGTCAGTATTTTAATTTGATTCTCTTTTTGTCACATCTAAAAGAAAACAACATCAATGTTAACTGGGTTGTGGGCTTTTGCCCATAGTCATTTGAATATCATCAATGTCTCCTTCTTGCTTTTATCTTTATTGTCCAAAATATGAATGTTATTTTTGGTTGTAATTTTCTTTGATCTTTCTGTGCTTTCTATTCTTTTAATATCTTAAATTAAGAACACTTCAATGTATCTAATTTTCCGACCCCTACCTTTATCTTAATGAGCTTGCTTTCACAGTCACTAGCACTAGTGACCGTGACTTTTTATGCAGTCATTTGTCCCCAGAGCTATCTTCCTTCAGTAGTAACTGCAAAATAAGCCAAAGAACAAACTGTCCTTATTCTTCTAAGGTTCTTTTAGGGCTTTGGTTGCTAGTATTATTTTCTTCCACCTAGCCCATTTTCTTTCCCTTTTTTCTATTACATATGCATGTTTACCTCCCTTGATTATCAAGATATGTCACCCCTAGACCTATCTAGTATAACTTTGATCTCTTTGTTTCTACATCTTTGACTTTTTCATGGCAACTGTTACTTCAGATTCCCTTAGCTAAACTGATCTGTTTCCCATTTTAAGGCTTACTCAAGATCAAGATTCTGTATCTGATTCCTTAGACTCTTGGCTTAGCCTGGACCATCTACCTAAATTATCAGCTTTTGGACTCTTAGTTTCTGATCTTCACCCTAACACATATAATTGCATATGGCAACTTTGTGAAATGTTCCAGCTGTTTGGGCTGGTTCCAAGTCTTTGCTATTGTGAATAGTGCCTCGATAAACATGTGTGTGCATGTGTCTTTATAGCAGCATGATTTATAGTCCTTTGGGTATATACCCAGTAATGGGATGGCTGGGTCAAATGGTATTTCTAGTTCTAGATACTTGAGGAATCGCCACACTGTCTTCCACAATGGTTGAACTAGTTTACACGCAGCTGGTAATGTCTTTCTAAACTGAGCTGTGACTACTGCAGCAATCAGCAACCAGTCTGATTATTGGGATAAGTATACCTCCCTGTATCCAATAAGAATGATATGCCTTGGAATATTCTGCCTTTCTCCCCACATAACTGGAGTGACTGGTTCAACAGCAGCGATAATGCAACCCAGGTTCACTGGGGATTGCATCCACCTGGAGGCCTGATTACCAACTCAACGGAGACCCAACAACATGTGCCCTTATAGGCACTACCTGTTGCACCTATAACCCTGATGAAGAGAATAATGTCACTGATATAGTTTGGCTGTGTCCCCACCCAATATCTCATCTTGAATTGTAATCCCCATAATCCCCACATGTCAAGGGAAAGACCAAGTGGAAGTAATTGAATAATGCTGTTCTTGTGATCGTGAGTGAATTCTCATGAGATCTGATGGTTTTATAAGTGGTAGTTCCTCCTGGGTTCACTCTCCCTCCTGCTGCGTTGTGAAGAAGATGCCTTGCTTCCTCTTCACCTTCTGCCATGATTGTAAGTTTCCTGAGGCCTTCCCAGCCATGCGAACCTGTGAGTCAGTTAAGCCTCTTTCCTTTCTAAATGATCCAGTCTTGGGCAGTTCTTTATAGCAGTGCAATAACAGATTAATACAGTCACGGATGCTTTAAATCATTTTCCAACTCAGATCCATGATATAACCCAATCAGGTTTCTTTGAGTCATTCTCAAATTGGTTACACACCTTACCTACTTACTGGAGTTAGGTTTTGCTAATAGGCATCATAATTGTAGTTACTTTCTGCTTTATATGCTGTTTTGTATACTGTAGATGTGGCCAGTATGCACAGCCATGGTTATACATAACAGGCCCATAAACTTCTACCCCAATACCCCATTCAGGGACTCTTGTGCAAGATTGGTGGAAAGAGTGTAAGAGCTGGGGAACAAGGTGGATGGTAGTGTGACAAGTCCCCCACCAGGTTACTTAAGGGTGTATATCCACTGCCTGAACTCTGAAGGCTGGGTGGTGAGTCAAGTCCATGGTGCCCAGCCAAGGAACAGGTGTATCTAAGAACCCAAATATCCCAGAGAGTATCCAAGAACCTACTAAGAAAAACAGTCTCATCACTCAAACACAATAGCCAAAAAGTCAGAAAATTATCTTAAAGTCAGTTTAGAGACAGGAGGTGGCACAGATCTCTAGAGCTATCCTGCCGCTGTCCAGGAGTGCCCTGTATATAAGTCCTAATAAATTCATCTACTCATCAAGCTGGACTTGTCCAAGTCATTCTTTGGTCTCTTGGCTTCTTCCCTTTTCTGGGGACATGTTACAGTCTCAAGTTTTTCTCATAACAGATATCTTAACAATATAGAGTCTTCCTATCCTACACCTCTCCATTAATTTAGGTCTCTAATTTCTCTTAACAATGTTTTGCAATTTCCAGTATATAAGTTTTGCACATCTTTTGTCAAATTTATCCCTAAGTATTTCGTATTTTTAATGCTATGTAGATAGAATTATTTATTTCAATTTCTAATTGTTCATTTCTAGCATTCAGAAATATAATTTATTATAATATGATTATATATATATTATATATATATGACCCTCAGTGTAGGGATTAAGGGTTGAAAATTTATGTATAACTTTTCTTAATTTTTTTTTTAAAGACAGGGTCTTGCTCTGTCACCCAGGCTAGAATACAGTGGTGTGATCATAGCTTACTGCAACTTCCACCTCCTGGCTCAAGCAGTCCTCCCACCTCAGCCTCCCAAGTAGCTGGGACTACAGGCATGTGCCACCATGCCCAGGTAATTTTTTTTTATTTTTTGTAGAGATTGGGATCTTGCTATTTACCCTGGCTGGTCTCAAACTCTTGGCTTCAAGGAATCATCCTACCTTAGCCACCTAAAGTGCTGATATTACAGGCATAAGCCAACACGCCAGGCCTGTGTATAACTTTTAACTCCCTCAAAACTTAAGTACTAATAACCTGCTGTTGACTGGAAGCCTTACCTATAACATAAGCAGTCAATTAATACATATTTTATATGTTATATGTATTATATACTATATTATAATAAAGTAAGCTAGAAAAAAGAAAATGTTATTAAGAAAATCATAAGAAAAGAAAGTGTATTTACTATTTACTAAGTGGAAGCGTATTGTCATAAAAGTCTTCAGCCTCACTGCCTTCACACTGAGTGGACTGAGAAGGAAATGGAAGAGAGGTTAGTCTTCCTGTTTCAGGAGTGGCAGAGGAGGAAGAAAATCCACATAGAAGTGGACCTGTGCAGTTCAAACCCATGTTGTTTAAGAGTTAACTTCATAACATATAAAATATATAATTATAAGACAGTTGACTATCTTACATTCTGCAACATTGGTAAATTCATATTTCATATCATTTTTGTAAAATCCTTCAGATTTTCCACATCTTGCCTGATTGTACTGGCTAGTGCCTCCAATACAATGTTGAATAGAAACAGTGAAAAAGAAACATCCTTGCCTTTTTCCTGACCTTAGGGAAAGTGCATTGTATCTTTGCCCATCAAGCATGATGCTAACTCTAGATTTTTCACAGATGCACGTTATCAGGTTAAGGAAGTTCTTTCCTATTTCTAGCTTGCTGAGAGTTTTGTTGGTTTTGTTTTGGTTTGGTTTGGTTTTTGGTTTTGAGACAGTTTCGCTCTTATTGCCCAGGCTGGAGTGCAATGGTCTTGGCTCACTGCAACCTCCGCTTCCCGGGTTCAAGCAATTCTTCTAACTCTTGCTGAGAGTTTTTACCAGGAATGGATGTTGGGTTTTGTCCAATGCTGTTTATGCATCTATTGAGATGAATATATAATTTTTCTTTTTTAGTTTTTTAATATGCTGATTTTTATTAATTGATTTTCAAATGTTAAACCAATCTCATATCTCTGAGATAAGCTCTGTTGTTTCACAATGCATCCTTTTTATATATTGTTGATTTGATTTGTTCATAATAATCCTCTATTATCCTTTCAATAGCTGTAGAACCTATTGTGATTTTCTGTCATGCCTGATTTTGGTAATTTATGTCTTCTCTCTTTTTCTTCTTGGTCACTCTGGCTAGAGGTTTATCAATTTAATTGATCTCTTTAAAGAATCATAATTTTGTTTCGTTGATTTTTCTCTACCTTTTTTTCTATTTCATTGATTTCTACTCTGCTCTTTGTTTTTTTTTTCTTCTGTTTACTTTATGTATCATTTGCTCTCTTTTTCTAGTTTCCTAAGGTGTAAGCTTATGTCATTTATTTGAGGCCTTGTTTTTTTCCTAGTATGGTCATTTAGTGCTTTAAATTTCCCACTAAGTACTGCTTAGTATAGTAGCAGTATTCTACAAGTTTTGATGTGTTGTGTTTTCATTTCAATTCAGTTCAAAATGCTTTCTAATTTTTCTTTTGATTTCTTCTTTAACCCATGGGTTCTTTAGAGCTTAGAAATGCACTTTTCAGTTTCCAAATATTTAAGAATTTTCCAAAGATCTTTTGCTTATTGATTTCTAATTTAATTCCATTGTGACTGGAGAATGCACATGTTTATGTATAAATACCTTTAAACTTACAGAGACATATTTCATGTCCCCAAAATATGGTCTATCTTGTATTGTGTGCATGTGGAAAAAAATGTGCATTCTGCTGCTGTTGGAGTTTTCTAAAAAGGTCAATTAGATCAAGTTGGTTACTAGCGTTGTTCAAGTATTTTATACCATTGCTGATTTTCTGTCTAGTTCTCCTATCAGTCATTAAAAAAAGGTTTTTAAATCTCTGTAATTGTGGATTTGTCTATTCTGTACATTTGTGGTTTGTGTATTTTGAATCTCTGTTATTAGGTGCCCAAATGTTTTGGATTGTTTTTTGCTTATGATGAATTGACTGCTTTTTCATTATGATAACACGTTCTTCATCCCTGCTAATGTCATTTTGAAATCTGCTTTGTTTGCTATTAATAACTATTCTAGTTTTTGTTTAATTAATATTAGCATGGAATATCTTTTTCTATTCTGTTACTTTTTACCTGTTTGTGTCTTTACATTTAAAGTGTGTCTCTTGTAAACAGCATATAATTGGATTTTGCTTTTTTTTAATCCAATCTGATCAGCTGTGCCTTACAATTAGGGTATTCAGACTATTTGCATTTAATCTCATCACTGATATGGTTAGGTTTAGATCTATCATATGGCTATTTTTTATATCTTCATCTGTTCTTTTCCCTTTTTCAACTTTTTCTGCCTTCTTTGGGGTTCACTGAATAAAATAAATATATTCTTGCTGAGTACAGAATTCAAAATTAAAAATTTTTTTCACTGCTTGAAAGATGTTTCCTCTCTGCTTTCTCACTTACATTGTTTCAGATGGGAAATCTACGGTCATTGTTATCTTTGTTCCTTTATATATAACATGCATGTGGTAGGCAAAACAATTATCCATGCCTGGTTTAGATGATAAGATTTGAGACTTTTGAGTTAGTGAATAGTTCAGATTTTTGACTTTGCATTGATGCTGTAAGGGATGAGATCTTTGGAGATCTGGGGATGGGGTGAATGTATTTTGCATTCAAGACAGATAGGTAAATTTAGGGGCCAGAAGACAGACTATGCTAGGTGGAATAATGGCCTGCCAAAGATGCGCACATCCTAATTCCTGGAACCTGTGAAAAGGTTGGGTTACACGGCAAAAAGTAACTAAGACTGAAGATAGAATTAAGGTTGCTAATTACATTACCTTAAAATAGGGAGATTATCCTGGATTGTCTGGCTGGGTCCAGTGTAATTACAAGAGTCCTTAATGGAAGAGACAGACAAAAGAGAGTCAGGAAAAAAGATGTGACTATGGAAGCAGAATCAGAGAGATGCCTTACTGTTGGTTTTGAAGATGGAGGAAGGAATCCAGGTGGCTTCTAGAAATTGGAAAGAGCAGGGAAACACTTTCTTTCCTAGAGTGTCCAGGAAAGAATGAAGCCTTGATTCCTTTGAATCACTGCTCACACCTTGATTTTAGCACAGTGAGACCCAGGTCCTTCTTCTGACTTAGAGAATTGTAAGATAATAAATTTGTGTTTTAAGCTTCTATGTTTGAGATAATCTCTATGGCAGTGATAGGAAATTCATACATGTTTTTTTCTTCTCTGGCTACCTTTAAGATTTTCTTTTTATCATTGATTTTGATACATAGCATTTTTACATGCCATACACACATTGCCGTCTTTTCCCCAGAAAAAATACTAATAGAAAATACAATTTTAAAATGTTTTGTGCCACTAAAGGAAAAAGCAATAGCCCAGAAAAAGAAGAAGAAAGTTCAGCGATGCATATGTAGGTTATTTCACAAAGCAAACACTTTCTATTGAAGGCTGTAGATAGACCTTTAAAGGACCCTTCTCATCTCTTAGTTAAGTGTAGTCAATATAACATCATCTTCAGAATGATTATACATTATTATCGATAATCTAAGATTTCATAATAAAGGAAGAAAAAAGATATATATTAAAGCTGCTCCATGGAGAAGAAATGTTCACAAATCAGTAATAGAAATGTTTCTATATGTACACTCAAGGACATATGATAGGCTATTTACCTTAATCTGGTTTCATAATTTTATGTAAAGAAAATGCTATCTGTTAATCCAACTAAATTCTATATTTTAAATTCTACCAGGATTATAGAATGATATTGGGCTTTTAAAGCCCCTTTCTTCTGAGGAACTCAGAGTACTTGTGTTTATAATATGGCTTTAAATGGTCACAGTGGTCCCCAGAATTTTATCAAGGTAATAAATATTCCTAAATAAAGCCAATTCCCTACCCCACTCCCAAGTGCTAACATTGGTTGGAATTAGGAAAACTTCTTATTTTCTAAGTAAAGAAACCCTGAGGATATTTTTAAGTAAATAAGGATTAAAGGTTAGAAGAGGGCATTCAGCTGTGTAGACACAAAACAATTGAATTTTGGCAAAGCAAATTCATAATTTTCAGATAATTTGAGGCAAATTATTTCTATGGAAAAAAACTTTAACTTTTAAAAAATTACATGTCATATGTGTTCATTTTCAAAAATTAGAAGATGAAATTAAGGAAGAAAATATTAACCCAAAACCCCACTGTCAAGAATTACCTCCATTAACATGTTGTGTACATACATTGAGCTCGATATTTTCTGTTTGTCCCTTTAGTGCTAGTCCCAATCCTCTCCACCTTGCTCTGTGCCTTGGGAGACTAATTATATGGCCTTCATCAAAGAATCCCTTTGAGGTCTGACTTCTGGTAGGGCTTAGTCAATGAAGAACACCAGGGAGAGAGAAGGGGGAAGAAGGAGAGAGAGGCCAAGACATTTGTTTCCCAGCAACCATGCTGTAGAGTTTCTGTGAGAGGGCTACATCCTTTTACAAAAAGTCAGATGTCCTGTCAAAAGGCCCTCTCCCACATAAATCTTCCTGCCTAATTCCTCTGGCTCCTTCAGACAGGCTTAGACATGGTAAGAACATCCTATCCCCCACACTCATACAAACTTCAGGTTCTATACTATTCCTTGTTGTTTCTCTACATTTTGCCTATACCTTATAAATAGTCCCTATATTGAACCCTAGTCAAGTTATTCAATTTGAGTATGCTTCCTGTATCCTGCTGCTACTTTGGCTACTACCTCTATCCAGATTTGTTAGTGTATACACAAACACACACACACACACACCCCTCACATTCATTTTTTTAACAAGGTACCTGCAAAGTATGCCAGCTATTGTATAGCTGTATCAAAATATAAACAAATTAATATATTAGAAATTTAAATTGTTTCCTTTTTCTATTCTAAATAATGATGCAATGAATATCTATATACATATATATGTACCTTTTCCCTCTTGTTTATATTAGTGCCGTAAAATACATTCTTAGCAGGAGTATTTCTGAGACAAAGGACCTGTGCATATTTAAGGCTTTAGATATTGCCAACAGTCTTCCATACAGGTCATGATTATATTCACTTCCCCATGTAGTATACAAGAATGCCCAAACGCCCATCCACTCACTAACCCTCTGTATTAGTCCATTCTCACGCTGCTAATAAAGACATACTCGAGACTAGGTAATTTATAAAGGAAAGAGGTTTAATTGACTCAGTTCCACAGGGTAGGGGACGCTTCAGGAAACTTACAATCATGGCGGAAGAGGAAGCAAACATGTCCTTCTTCACATAGCAGCAGGAAGAAGAAGTGCTGGGCAAAAGGGGGAAAAGCTCCTTATAAAATCATCAGATCTTGGCTGGGTGCAGTGGCTAACACCTGTAATCCCAGCACTTTGGGAGGCCAAGGTGAGCAGATCACCTGAGGTCAGGAGTTCAAAACCAGCCTGGCTAACATGGAGAAACCCTGTCTCTACTAAAAAAAAAAAAAAAAAAAAAAAAAAAAAAAAAAAAATTAGCCAGGCGTGGTGCTGCATGCCTGTAGTCCCAACTACTCAGGAGGCTGAGGGAAGAGAATCACTTGAACCCAGGAGGTGGAGGTCACAGTGAACCAAGATTGTGCCACTGCACTCCAGCCTGGGCAACAGCATGAGACTCCATCTCAAAAAACAAAAAAACAAAAAAACCATCAGGTTTTGTGAGAACGCACTATCACGAGAACAGCAGCATGGGAGTAACCACTCCCATGATTCAACTGCTCACACCAGGTCCCTTCCATGACATGTGGGGATTATGGGAACTACAATTCAAGATAAGATTTTGGTGGGGACACAGCCAAACCATATCACCCTCCACCAAAACATTTTTGCAGAAAGAAAAATTAACCTTGTCACTTACATTGTATTCACACCACTTAGCACTGTATGCTAAAGCTCTACCTCAGGTCACCAAGTTGCTAGTTGAAAAACAACTCAAAAATCAGCTCTTAAGGCCAGTTTCAGACATCACAACATAGAGCTTCCTGATATGTCCTCCTTATCCCAAGTGTCCCCCAATAAGTACAGCCTTTTAACTCATGAAATATAATGTGTAAAAATGTTCATTTTTTTAGGGGTGGAAAAACACATACATATAAGTACTAAACTAAAAGAAAGTAGGGTGAATCTAATTAAATCCCCAGTTTCTTTTATAACATTCAAAATAAAATTATCACAAAATAATATTTAAGTCAATCCCATAATAATGAATTGAATCCCATGTTGTAGAAAACGTTCGAGTAAACTGCTATGGAAGATGCAGGGATGCGTGAAATGTGTTCCTTTCCACTAGGGCCTACTGTCTAATGTAGGAAGCAGACACACAGAGGAGCAATGCTAAAAGGTATCTTAAAAACAGTTAAATTGACAAATAAATCTAAAACCTGGTTCTCTGAAAATGAAAGTATATCCTGAACAAACCTCTAGCTAATCAAGAAAAAAGAACACGTATACATAGAAAGTAATGAATGAAATGGAAGCTATAGTCATAGATATGGCAGGGGTTTTTTCTTTACAAAATACTATCAGCAACCCTGCTAAAACTTTAAATATATATATCAAATACAGAATTTTCTGAAAAAAACATGAATTAAACATACCCATTAGATCGAAAACTATAGAAAAAATGGAAAAGTTATTAAAGCAGAATTGACTACATATTAAAAGCAGAGTCTTAAGTGCCCTTGTCCTATTGCCCTTCCAACCCTGGGTGACACCACCCTCTGCCTCATCCACTCATCCTCTGAGCTTTGCTGGAGAAAAATCAAACAGTCAAGTAGATGGAATCTAATACAATTTTACGGTCATCAACCTCAAATGGGCTCTCAGCCCTGAATTACAACTACAGAACTATGTTTTTCTAGTTATGGTACTTTCTTATTCTCTACATCTCTATTCTTCTCAAACTTTTGGATTCTGCCGCCTCCTATCCTGCCAAATCATTCAGCAGGCAATCTGAGGCAATCAGACTTCTGTTTTCAGAAGAGAAACAAAAGCCATCAGAACGACTCCCTCAAATTCCTGCCACCAGAACAATGACACAAACCTACTTATATATGAATCTTCTTGGCTTTCTTTCTTGTTTCAGAGGAACAAGTGACCTACCTCTTGTGCCTTCTCAAGTACCTTACTCTGTTCATGTTTCTTCTCTTTCCTGTATCTTCAAACTGCCTCTCTCTGCTGGTTCCTTCCCATTAGCCTTCCAACATCTCCCCTCCTACAGTCTCCTCCCTTTTCTGCTCCTCTTCTTTTCTTCATCTCTCTTTCATTTCACAATCCACCACATTCTGATTACTGGTCTCAACAAGACTTCTCTTGTCAAATTCACCCCTGACCTCCATGTTGTTAAATCAAACTGACACATTTCAGCTCTTCTCCTGCTTTTCCCTTAGACAGTATTTGGTACTGTTGACAATACTCTCCTCACCTTCCACCTTAGTAACAGGGTTTTTATTTTCCACTTAGCCCATATCTCCACAGATTGAATTTTCACTTTGTAATACAATTTGTAATGATATATTGGTGCACTTATTTAGTCAGTACCACAAGGTAAAAAGACCACATCCTGCCAAAGTAAGTCTCCTTCCCACTCTTGTGCCCCAGCTTCCCAATTTCCTTACCCGGAAGTCATGTGCCACAAGCACTGTGTAAGTCCGGAGCTGCACAGTGCCATCTTTCCCACCATAAAAAGACTCTGCTTGCTGAAGAGCAAAGGCTGCACAGAAGAAACAGAGCTGGAAACAACAGGTGCTGGAGAGGATGTGGAGAAATAGGAACACTTTTACACTGTTGGTGGGACGTAAACTAGTTCAACCATTGTGGAAGTCAGTGTGGCGATTCCTCAGGGATCTAGAACTAGAAATACCATTTGACCCAGCCATCCCATTACTGGATATATACCCAAAGGATTATAAATCATGCTGCTATAAAGACACATGCACACGTATCTTTACTGCGGCACTATTCACAATAGCAAAGACCAAAGACTTGGAACCAACCCAAATGTCCAACAATGATAGACTGGATTAAGAAAATGTGGCACATATACACCATGGAATACTATGCAGCCATAAAAAAGGATGAGTTCATGTCCTTTGTAGGGACATGGATGAAACTGGAAACCATCATTCTCAGCAAACTATCACAAGGACAAAAAACCAAACACCGCATGTTCTCACTCATTTGTGGGAATTGAACAATGAGAACACATGGACACAGGAAGTGGAACATCACACACGAGGGCCTGTCATGGGGTGGGGGATGGGGGAGGGATAGCATTGGGAGAAATACCTAATGTAAATGACGAGTTAATGGGTGCAGCACACCAACATGGCACGTGTATACATATGTAACAAACCTGCATGTTGTGCACATGTACCCTAGAACTTAAAGTATAATAAAAAATAAAAATAAAAAAAAAGAAAGACATTACCAGCTACCATGGGTAGCAGGAACAACAGCCTATGGGCATAAACACCTGTTTAGTAAGGACATTCATGAGTGCATTCATTATTTATACTGTTATTACCATTGTATCTTCTGCCATTGGCCGTATTAGGGAGGCAACAACAGGCTTCAGGCCTGGCTGACAGTACCACATATGGCTTCCTTTCCCAGGAGCAGGCATAATAGCCAATTGATAAGTTTCTGGCCTTGCCCATGCTTCCCACACTGTGATTGCTCCAGCAGGTATCGGTGCTGCTGTGTGTTGATGTCTAAGGCTCTTGGACCTCCATCAAGGAGCACAGCTGGGACCACCTCCCCTCCCGCAGTCTTCATGGCACTCTCTGGTGCTGTAAAACTGACCCAATATGGGGGCGCTTTCCAGCTCAACTTCATGTCCAGGTAGCCATCACTGCTTGGCAGATCCATGCGTGTTCTCAGGAGCACAGCCCGGCTGTCTGCTTCAGGACCATGTCTCAGTGTGTCAGCGGTAAACCTGAGAGTTTGTGGGGCCTGTTTTACAGGTCCTGCCAACCATTCATAGGGAGCGACGCCATGTGTGGCAGTGGCTGATTCATTTAAAGTTTGTATGGTGGCCGGGCTTGGTGGCTCACGCCTATAATCTCAGCACTTTGGGAGGTCAAGATGGGCGGATTACTTGAGGTCAGGAGTTCCAGACCAGCCTGGCCAACATGGTGGAACGCTGTCTCTACTAAAAATACAACAAAATTAGCTGGGTGTGGTGGCCCATGCCTGTGGATCCCAGCTACTCGGGGGGCTGAGGCAGGAGTATTGCTTGAACTTGGGGTGGGGGCAGAGGTTGCAGTGAGCTGAGACTGCGCCACTGCACTTCAGCCTGGGTGACAGAGTGAGACTCCATCCCCAAAAAAAAAAAAAAAAAATTGCATGTCTTCAGGGAGATTCTTACTCCAGGACCTTAACCATCTGTCCTGGGATAGTGCACATAATTGGGTTTTTTACAGGCCATTCTTTTTTTCTATGAGGCCTGCCCCTGTTGGGTTATAGGTAAATGGAACCACCATTTTATGTTTTGTTCTAATGCCCAGATACGTTTGCTAGGCCCCTCAGTGTACCAGGCCCCAGCAGATGTTGGTAGGGTCCCCTCATATATGGTGGTTTTGCCTGGGAGGTGGCTTTACGGTCATGTCAGCTCCTTCCACTTGTTCACAGTGGGTGGGTCTGAGCACCTCCTGCAGTGCCTGACTTTAAGGACTAGTGGACAGGACACCCCTCTGTGGTGGACAGGCATGCGTTTTCTGGAGGATGTGTGATTGTGCCATCCCAGAGGTGGGCTTGGCTAGGAGGCCTTTCATTCACCCTTTTATGGAGCAGATAGTTTTTATTGTGATGGTCTGTTTTGTGATGATGGCCTCTGCTTGTCGCAATGCCCTGTACATGGCCAATAGCTGTTGCTCTAGGACTCTGTAGTGGGATTCTGCCCCTTTCCATAATCAAGATGAAAGCCCTACAGGTACTATTCTTGTTGGTTGCTTTTGCCACAAACCCCATTCATCCCCAAGGCATCTCTGGCAACTTTTAATATAGAAAGGTGCTGTGGCAGTGGAGCTCTAGGGCTTGGGCTTGTTTCACTAATATTTTTATTTTGTCAAATGTCTCTTGCTCTATGTGTCCAGTCTCATTTTTTTTTTTTTTGAGATGGAGTTTCGCTCTTGTTGTCCAGGCTGGAGTGCAGTGCTGTGACCTCCGCCTCCCGGGTTCAAGCGATTCTCCTGCCTCAGCCTCCCGAGTAGCTGGAATTACAGGTGCCCACCACCATGCCTGGCTAGTTTTTTGTATTTTTAGTAGAGATGGGGTTTCACCATGTTGGCCAGGCTGGTCTTGAACTCCTGACCTCAGGTGATCCACCTGCCTTGGCCTCCCAAAGTGCTGGGATTACAGGTGTGAGCCACTGTACCTGGCCTTTTTTTTTTTTTAACCATTTTTTATTAGGGTGTATAATAGGTGGAAAGTTTGTGCCAAATGAGGAATGAATATCCTCCAGTAACCCAGTAAACCTGGGAAAACCTGAAGTTGCTTTTCTGTCTGGGGAACAGGCTGCTGTGCTATCTTATCGATGACAGTTCTAGGTATGTTTTGTGTCTTACCCAACCAGGTAACTCTCAGGAATTTGATGGCTATGCCAGGACCTTATTTCTTCTTGGAGTTGCCTTCCCATCTTCTGTCCTTTAGGACATCCACGATGGTTTGTAGAGCAGTGATATGGTTTGGCTCTGTGTTCCCCCAAATCTCATGTTGAACTGTAATTCCCAAAGTTGAGGGAAGGACCTGGTGGGAGGTGAGTGGATCCTGGAGGTGGATTTCCCCATCCTGTTCTCGTGATAGTGAGTGAGTTCTCACGAGATCTGATGGTTTAAAAGTATGTGGCACTTCCCCTCATTCTCTCTCTCTCCTGCCACCCTATGAAGAAGGCACTTGTTTCCCTTTTGCCTTCTGCCATGATTGTAAGTTTCCTGAGGCCTCCCAGTCATGATTCCTGTTAAGCCTGCAGAACTGTGAGTCAAACCTCTTTTCTTCATAAATTACCCAGTCTCAGGTAGTTCTTTATAGCAGTGTGGAAACAGACTAATATAAGCAGTCTCCAGATCTGCAAGAGACTCTGAGGTTAGCATGTTATCATTAGTATAGTGAAACAGGGAGCTTGGGACTGGCAAAGAGAGTCTAGATGGGCCCTGTGCAACCATACTGTGGCAGATGGTGGGGCTAGGCAGGTATCCTATGGTAGCACCTGGCAAGTCCATTGTTGGCCGTTCTAAATGAAGGCAAACTGGTCTTTTGAATCTTCTGCTAAAGGAACGCTGGAAAAGGCATTAGCCAAGTCAATCACAGCATGAATGTTCCTCAGCTTAAGGATCACTTAGTCTAGCAGGTGAGCAATATTGGCTACAGCTGCATGGATGGGGGCATCACTTTGTAATCTGCCATCATTTTCCAGGTGCCATCTGGCTTCTTCACAAGCCACATAGGGCTATTATAGGGACTCTGGGCTGGCCTATCTGTACCTTATTTAATTGCTGAGTTGTTTGGGTGACTTCAGAGTGTCCTCCTGGCAGGTGGTATTGCTTCACGTTCACTGCCTGCCTGGGCTGGGGCAGGTGTGCAGGCACCCATTTTGGCCCATCTTTTTGCTCCTTAATTTCTTTCTGGACTTTGTTCTTGTTCTTATCCAGCTCACTGAGGTCTGCCAATGCTTCCCTCATATCACAGATTTTATTTCCCATTAATGGACTCAGAAGTGTAATCAATGCCCCGCATCCTAGCCCTTTTTAAGTTGAAAATGACTCAGATATTTAATGAGTATCTAAAATAATTTTAAGATTTAAAACTACACAAAAAGTTTCCTACAAGCATTTACCTCATTTATATTTACACAGTTTATTCATTTTTAGTAGTTTATCTAAATTATTCATGAGAACCAAGACACTGGACAAAGCTAATTATCATTCTAAGTTACTTCCTTCTTAACCATTTTCAGAGCCTCTGAATATCAGGTGTTCATCTAAGCAAGAAACTTAAACACATGGGAAGTTTTGCTGATAACTCAGAAAATTTAGCTGTTTTCATTGAACCCACAATATTAAATTAGCCTTATTTGTCAAAAAAAGTACACAAACAGGCCGGACACAGTGGCTCACGCCTGTAATTCCAGCACTTTGGGAGGCCTGAGGCAGGTGGATCGCTTGAGGTCAGGAGTTCGAGACCAGCCTGGCCAACATGGTGAAACTTCATCTCTAATAAAAATACAAAAATTAGCTGGGTGTGGTGGCGCACGCCTGTAACCCCAACTAGCTACTCGGGAGGCTGAGGCAGGAGAATGGCTTGAACCCAGGGGGCTGAGGTTGCAGTGAACCGAGATTGCGCCACTGCACTCCAGCCTGGGTGACAAGAGCGAAACTCCTTCTCAAAAAATAGATAAATAAATAAATAAAATAATAATAAAAATGCACAAAGATCATCCCATATTAGGCTGGGTTTATCATCTTATAACTTTCACGTCAAGCCTTGATATCTTAAAATATTTTAGCAGAAGCAAAATATATTGCTGAAGAATATAGTTGCAGAAGAAAATATAAAACTCATCTAATCAGTAAACGCAGACAAAAATGCATGCTGACAATTCTGAAGACATTTCTATTTTTATTTTACCAATAATTTTAAAGGCAACTTACTTATGTTTTACATCTTAGCTAGAACTGACTGAACTGTATAGAAAAACAAAATCTCCAAATGGCCTTGAATTGGCAAGACCATAAACAGTGAGTTTTATCTCAATACCAGTATCTTAATAACAGGAGATTCAAAGCAGGCAGAAAAGAAAATAGAGAGCGTTAGAAGACTCGACTTAACTCTGTAGTGCAGGCTAACCATTTGAGCTCTGATTTTTTTTTTTTTTCTAATTTGCCTGCCAGTTTTAAAATGTGCAGAAGAAAGGGCCATAATACACAACCAGCTAGAGTTCTAGAAAACCTGGCATGGCTTTAAACTTCCTCAGGAGTTTCTACCCTTTCTCCCGTTTCTACTCTTAACGATTTCTTAGTACCCAGCCTTATTGCAACAATAGTGTGTTTGCTATCCTTATAGTACTTTAATGTCTTAGCTTCTTGGAGTACATGCTCAGTCCCACCAGTATTTTCTGAGTGTCCCTGTACTCATGTGGTAGCCCACGGGGTTGAGTAGTTGGGCAACTCCACCTGACATGCATGTTGCTAACTACCCTGGGGATTCTCCCTGCCGACACCCTTTCCTGACTCATCATTTGGTCTCCTGGATCCTGTTGGTGATACCAATAGTTATGAGAAAAATTTGGAACTGTAACATCTCCCCCAAACAGGGAAGGAGTCAAGAGACCAAAGAATGACTCAGACCTAAGTCCAGCTTGATGAGTAGATGAGTTTATTAGGACTTATATACAGGGCACTCCTGGACAGCGGCAGGACAGCTCTAGAGATCTGTGCCACCTCCTGTCTCTAAAATGCCTTTAAGCTAATTTTCTGGATTTTTGCATACTGTGTTTGAGTGATGAGACTGTTTTTCTTAGTAGGTTCTCAGATACTCTCTAGGATGTTTGGGTTCTCAGGGACACCTGCTCCTTGGCTGGGCACCATGGCCTTGGCTTGCTGCCCAGCCTTCAGGGTTCAAGCAGCGGACATACACCCTTAAGTAACCTGGTGGGGGACCTGTCACACTACAATATCAAATCTCCCCAAATTGATTTTTGAGTCAATGCAGTTGCTGTAAAAATCTCAGCATATCTTTTTATAAAAATTAACAAGTTAATCTTTAGGTTCATACGGAAATCAAAGGATATCGAATAACTAAAACAATTTTGGAGAAAAACCAAAGTCATGGGCTAATATGAACTTTGTTCAAGGCTTATTATAAAGCTGTAGTAATCAAGACAATATGGCTTTGGATAAAGATAGATAAATAGATCAAAGGAACAGAATAGAGTTCAGAAACATACACATACTTTCATAGATAACTGATTTTTGAGAAAAATCAGTGGAGAAAACTTTTTAACAAATGCTTCTGGAAAAATTAGATACCTATATGCAAAAAAATGAAATTTGATCAATACCTTGTATTGTAGATACAAATTAAATAAAGATGGATTAGAGATCTAATGTAAAACACATAATTAATAAAACTGCTAGGAAAATATATGAGAAAATTTTTGTGACCATGGCTTAGGCAAAGATTTCTTAGGTACAAAAACAAAAGCACAGTCTACAAAATAAAAACCTGATAAATTAGACTTCATCAAAATTTAAAACTTCTGCTCTTCAAAAAACACTGTGAGAGTATGAAAAGACAAGGTACAGGCTGGGGAATAATATCTGCAAAGCATGCATCTGATAAAGGATAAACAATCCAATTTAAAAACAGGCAAAGTATCTGATCTGAGACATCACCAAAAATGTATATACAGATAGCACATAAACACATGAAAAGATGCTCAATATCATTAGTAACTAAGGAACTGCAAATGAAAACCATAATGAGATATCACCCTACACCTTTTAGAATGGTTAAAATTACAAAGACTGACTCGTGTCAAGAGCTGTTGAGGATTTGGAAGAACTAGAACTCTCATATGTAAAATGAGAATGTAAACTGGTACAACCACTTGGAAAATAGTTTGGCAGTTACCGAAAGTGTGAAATGTACTTCTACCACATGGCTGAGACATTTTGTTTCTAGATATTTACACAAGAGAAACAAATGCTTATGTGTATACACAGACTCGTATAGGAATGTTCTCAGCAACTTTACTTGTGATAGCCCAAAACCTGGAAACAACCCAGCATCCATCAACAGGCGAATAGACAAAGAAATTCTGTTATATGCAGGCAGTGGAATACTACTTAGAAATAAAAAGAAATGATACATGCAACAAGACAGATGAATCCCAAAATAATTTTGCTAAGTGAAAAAACCAAAGCCACAAGTTGTACCACTTAGGTACAATTCTAGAAAATGCAGACTAAAGTGATACGACGTAGATCAGTGGTTGCCTGGGAATGGGGAAAGTAGGGCTGGGGAGAGACAGGAGAAGGGCATACAAAAGGGAATGAGGAAAGATTATGGTGGTGATTGCATGGCTATACGCATATATCAAAATTCACCAATTTTATACCTATATATAATCAGTTTATTGTATATTAATTATATCTTAATATTTTATTTTTCTAAAGATGTATATTCATTCTTCCTTGTTCAAATAGTAATGGGTTGTGATAGGAATGAAGAATCCCCAGAATATGTTTTTAAGCTAATTTTTATAGGTAAAATATTAGTTGGGGAGGCACAAAAGGTCAAGGTCATAAAACCATTTTTCCCCCAGTGCTTTCTTTTCAGTGATATGCTGCAGTGTTACTATGCAATTATCTTTTAGTTATTACCCAAGGAGTACTAATGAAGTGTTTGAGACCAACAACAAATTGCAAAATCTCCTTTTTCTTTCAATGTTGCATAAATAATAGTGATAAACATTTTCCAATGTTCACTTTTTTTTTTTGAGACAGAGTCTCACTCTGTTGCCCAGGCTGGAGTGCAGTGGTGCCATCTTGGCTCATTGCAACCTTCACCTCCTGGGTTCAAGCAATCCTCTCGCCTTAGCCTCCCAAGAAGTTGAAATTACAAGCATGTACCACCACGCCTGGCTAATTTTTTGTATTTTTAGTAGAGACAGGGTTTCACCATATTTGCCAGGCTGGTCTTGAACTCCTGACCTCAAGTGATCCACCTGCCTTGGCCTCCCAAAGTGCTGGTGTTATAGGCCTGAGCCACTGCACCTGGCTCAATGTTCACTTTGACAGAATGTGAAAACATCTGAGATTGTCTCATTATCCTCTGACTTCTTTCCTTGCAGATCCTTAGCAGGCAGTGTGCATGTCACACAATTCTAAAAAGCAGCACCTTGAGGTGGTATCTAGGCTGGTTGGGTTCTTGGCAGTATCACGAAGTTTTCATACATACAAAAAGTAAGCTTTTAGAAAGAAACTACAGGTTTGTTTCCTGTGGTATCATTAAATATGTTTTTCCCTTTGATGCGAATAACATGGCATTTTTTCCAAAGCTCAGGATGCAAAACATGTCTCTGGAAGAATAAATGTTTGGGAGCCTTAGAAATTCTGGATAGCAGAGATTCTTCATGAAATTTGTCTTTGAAGGATATTGAAAGTTTGGGAGGGGTTTTTTCCCCCTCTGGTTTTTACCCTTGAGTTAAAAAAGATTAGCCGAGAGACTGAGTCCTTAAAGATTGCTCCACAACTTTTCTACCAGAGCGTTTCAATCCTGAAGAGTGAAATCAGCCTCTTTTACAGTGTGTTTTATATCAATTTTTATCTGGTCTCTCTCAATTGCTAATTGCCTCTAATTTCAGCTCAACTTATATGGTGGCTGACATAGAATCTAAAATAATTGTATTGGTCACTTTTTATGTATTTTTTTTTTAGAGACAGGGTCTTGCTATGTTGCCCAGGCGGGATTCAAACTCCTGTGCTCAAATGATCCTCCCCCTCAGCCTCTGGAGTAGCTGGGACTACATGTGCGCTTGTCTTGTATTACATTTTAAGAATGCAGGCATTAAGGAAGTCTCTAAAGGTGAAGCAGGGTAATGGATACATCACTTTCTTTTTTTTCCCACCTTTAATCGATTATGGACATTTATGGCTGATAATGAGCACATGTGGCTGATATTTCTAGTTAGAACCAATTGAGGCAGGTGATTTGTCACTCTCCAAGAGAGCTGTTAAGTATCTCTGCTTTTCAGCCCTGACTGCAGTGCCCTTGGCTCAACTGATATCTCTACATTTGTTTGGTTTTCATTTCTCCAGAATTGGAGTTCAGATTATATGAGTAAAGGTCTTGCACAATACTTATTAATTATTTTATCCTTTAAAAACAAGACAAATATGTTTAACAAGCTAGTCTCTGTGTGTGTATACATAGATATAAAAACAATTGTTTTGATAGTAAGCTATACAAATGCAACATAAATTTTATCAACAAATTCTATTCTATGCCTTATTTTTCAGGTCATACAATGCTGCATATGTGTACCCTATTGGCGTCATTATGAAGTAATTAGTTTGCGTGTGTGAGTTGTGGCACAGGACTCAATGCTTGGCAAGCTGATATTCATATATTTTGTCTTATTTTAGCTCTTAGAATGAGCCAGATATTTGAAATATTTGTGGCACTTTTCTTTTTAAAGGTCAAAACATTTAAAACTATGTACTTTGAGTATCATGAATTTAGTTCTACAGATAAAGAACAAAACTGATAATTCTCGAAAGTTTTATTAAAGTCAATTTATATTTAAGTTATATGTATATCTCCTAAACATTGTGAATCTGTCTTAGTCCAGGATCTTATAACTTTTCGCCAGAACTATTGAAGTATTCTTTCAATTGGTTCCTGCTGTGGACAGACTAAATGGCTGTAGGATGACTCCAATTATTCTACCCCTGGTGGTCTGCCCTGTGTAACTCCCTCCCCTCAAATGTGTGCCAAGCCTGGGACTTGCTTCTCACCTACAGAATATGACAAAGATGAGGAGATTTTTCAGATATAATTAAGGTTCCAAATCAGTTTTTGAGTTAATTGAAAGATTATCCTGGGTGGGCCTTACTTGATCAGGTGACAGCCCTTCAAAGGCAGACTGGGCTTTCCCTGAGGTGACATTCTCTCTTTCTTGTTGGTTTTGAATAAATAAACTGTCATGAAGTAGGTGGCCTTATTGAAGAAGCCCATCTGGCAAAGAACTGTGAGTGACTTTTTAGGAGCTGAGAGTGGCCTCTAGCAAGGAACTGAAATCCTCAATCCTACAGCTGCAAGAAAGTGAATTCTGCCAATGACCTGAGGGAGCTTGGAAGATTTTTCCCCAGTCCAGTTAGCCTGAACTTTCTGCATGAAAATTTTGATTATATTTCTCCTCTGCTTAAAATGCTGCAGTAAGTTCCTGTGGTCAAAAAGATGAAGTCTAAACTTTCTGAGTGTGTTGAGTCTTCATGATTCGACACTTGCCTGCCTTTTCCTCTCCTCCCCACGCTTTTCTCCCCCGTGCATCCTGTGCTTTCATCATTGAAACCACCACGAACCACCTGCACCAAGCACATTTTCACTTTCATGCGTTTGCACGTGTCCTTTTTCCTGGGTTTACTTATCCTCTCCAATCCTTGGGAAGTGTTAGGGTGATTCCTCAGTATTCCTGCTCTTTGCCTTCTGCGTATATTGTAGAAAGGCACTGCCCTTCCCCATTAAAACTAGGTATGATCATGTGACTTGCTTTGGCAAATGAAAATGGTGCAGAAGTGACACGTGTCTTATAGATAGAGATGCAAAGAGCCAGTACACGATCCACCATTTCCCCTTTCCTTGCTATAGCCACCGGCGGTGCACCAGATGCTGGAGGCTCTGACACGGGCACCAGAGTTCCCACGCCAGCCTAACAGGTTTTGCAAGCAAACTTGGACATTTATTGTCATAAGCCATCAAGATTTGGGGATTTTTGGTTACTGTGGCAAAATTTATGTTATACAAGCTGATACATCACTCCCCTCTTGTTGACATAGTTATCCTACAGTACTCAGCTCAAATGTCTGACCTTTCTAGGCAAAATGAAGTGTTTTCTTCTTTGTGTTCCAATAGACTCTTAAATGTATCTTTTTAGTATCTATCTCATAGATTGCTGTGAGGATTACCTGAGTAAATATATAAAGTGCTTATTAACAATGACTAGCACACTATAAGTGCTACCTATTATTATGATTTTATAGCACTTCTCTTGTTTTATTGCAATGATCTATTAAATATTCATCTTCTTTTAGACTATGATTATTTGGATGGCAAGATCTATGTTGTCCTTCATCATTGTATCATAGACACCTGGCTCAGTGCCTAGAACATAGAAGTCACTTACTAAATATTTGCTAATAAACGTATATTTTACATATGCCAGAAATCTCTGTTCCTAAGTTTCTCCATGTAGAACTATAATCCCAATGTGTATTTTGTTACCATAATTTATAGACAGTGTTTAAGAGAAAGTTATGCTTTTCTTGTTTCATAGCTGTTAAGCAATGAGGAACAGTTACTAGACTATGATATTAAAGATTCTAGTAGGCTTGAATTCTGTATCTGTGACCTTGGACACAACAAGCTTCTTTTTCCTCATTTGCACAATGGATACTTACCTCGTGGTTTTTATAAGGAATTAATTAAAATCATTTTTGTGAAATAGCACAGTGCTTGACAGATGGAAAACATTTAGTCATTTATTATTTTTATACATTGGCTGTTATGTAAAAATAATTATTGGTTCTTATTTTACTTCGGGCTTTCCCCGGCTTGCTTGATCTACATGTTTTAGTGTCTGTTTACAAAACAAGGAGGCTGATCCTTTCTTTTTCATAAAAATGATGTAATTTATAATTTTTGCCACATGCCTTGAGTTTCATACTCTAATTGTAAGTAACATGAAATAGTATTGTATACCTATAACCATTTGAGCTAAAACCAAAACCAGACGTTGTTGTCATTGTATGAGGAATTCACTAATGTATTTAGCATTCTCAATATAGTAAAATCCTACAAATTATGCTTACCCTAGGAGAAAAGTGAAAAGCACATCTTACATATTTTTCCTGCCAATGTCACAATTACATTGTTTCTATCTCAAAAAAACAATCATTACCTGCATTAAATCTAGATGTACCACTTTATACAGATCCTTGCATCTTTTTTAAAAAAATTTAATTTAACTTAATTTTAAGTTCCAGGATACATGTGCAGGTTTGTAACATAGGTAAAGATCCTTGCATCTTTAAAGGTAGCTGCCAAAAATACTCTCGATGTGTAATCTTTAACTCATTCTAGAAAATCTGTCCAATTCTTTTCAAATGAAATTGCAATCTAGTCAAAACTAAGTATCCCTTTAGAAACAGAATAGAGGAGTAAAGAAGATTAAAAAAGAAAACGGTCCAAAATGTGACTCATTCCTCTGGTTTGAGGTTTTTAAAAAGACATGCAAGGAAGAGCAGAATATAGATTTTCATTTTGTGGTGAGTAAAAAATTACCTTAGTGGTAAAGTGGGTACCATTTTGCATGAAATACTGCAATTTCTTAAAAAAGTAATCTAAAAACTTATTTGGGTCATTGTTAGCAAAGTTCACACCAAGTTTCTTCAAAACATAGCTCCTAATCTTTTTCTAAACTTTTCAGAGTAACTACAATGGTAGAATGAAGAAAATATTTTGATATCAGAAAATGTTTCTCCAGCATTGTAATAAAATGCCCAGTTCATTATCTTAGCAAGACTTACATTACTATAGTTAATTTTTTAGTCCTTTTTTCTTTCATATACCATGTTCTAAAATTAATTACAATACTCTAAAATGTAAATTGTGGAAATGAGTATTTAGAATTCACCTTTTTTCCTGTAAAATGTTTTTAAATTTAGAAGTACCCTTCAATGGTTGGGCCAGATACATTTTTTTAAATTTACTTAACTTTTGGAAGAAATTAAAATATTTTGTTTCACGATGTATTAAGACCTTTCCTTGTCTCCTTGTGAAGTGGGAATAGAGCTCATCATTATTAAGATGAATGTTTGAAATATAGGATTCTTAGGTTCTTGCTCTGTCGCTCAGGCTGGAGTGCAGTGGCGTGATCATAGCTCACTGCAGCCTCAACCTCCTGGGCTCAAGTGATCCTCCCACCTCAGCCTCCTGGGCAGCTGGGACCGCAGGCATGCACCACCATGGCCAGCTATTCTTTTGTTTGTTTGTTTGTTTTTTATAGAGACGAGGGTCAGACTTTGTTGCCCAGGCTGGTCTTGAACAACTGGGCTCAAGTGGTCCTCCCACCTCCACTTCCCCGAAGTGCTGAGATTACAGGTGTGAGCCATTGCACCCAGCCTGAAAATATGATTCTTATAAATTCTTAACTAAAATAAAATTATTTAAGAAAATACTGTTTTATTTATATATCTGTTATTTCCATACCAGGAAAATTTCTAGATTAGAAAATTCATATGTAGAATTGGCAATTATGTATTTATTTGAATACAAAAATAATGTCACTCTCACCAGTATTTTCTGGTGTCATAAATGTTAATATTAAATATTTAGAAATCTGTTAACAAATCATGATGTGATTGGCTGGTGTATACAACACTTACTGCACTCATATGAACAATAAAATAAGAATAGAAGCAGTTTCTTCTAGGGTGTGATACTTCCTTTTTTACAAAAGTAAGTACTGAATAAGAAAAGCAATTTAGAAAAATCCTTTTATGAGCAAAATGTGCCGCATTTCAACTTTCTAATTCAGGACAACATGTGCATTTTTGAAGACATAAATTGTCAGTCATGATAAAACCACCACAGTCTAATCTGGGGAAAAAGACAGCATTATCGCCATAACAATCTCTTTTATAACACAGTGTGCATCATGTGCATGAGTTTGGAAGGCAGACAGACCTTGGCTTCTTCCCTGGTTTCTCCCTTTCCTGCTGCATAGCACAGTTAAGTGACTCAGTGTCTCTCATCGTCAGGTTTATCATTTATAAAATAGGGATAATAGCATCTATCTCCCAAGGTTATGTGAGGTTTAAATAAACCCTTGTAAAAAACCCTTGTTTCACACAGCTTGGTACAGGTAAGCACTTAATATCCATTACTATTATTATTGCAAGTGTAGTACTTTATTTCTTAAAATGTATTTTCACATAGACTCTCTCATTTGAGATAATAAACTCCTGGATGACAGCACAGCTTCTTTTTTTTTCTTTCTTTCTTTTTTTTTATTATTATTATACTTTAAGTTTTAGGGTACATGTGCACAATGTGCAGGTTAGTTACATATGTATACATGTGCCATGCTGGTGTGCTGCAGCCATTAACTCGTCATTTAGCATTAGGTGTATCTCCTAAAGCTATCCCTCCCCCCTCCCCCCACCCCACACCAGTCCCCAGAGTGTGATGTTCCCCTTCCTGTGTCCATGTGTTCTCATTGTTCAATTCCCACCTATGAGTGAGAATATGCGGTGTTTGGTTTTTTGTTCTTGCGATTCTTTACTGAGAATGATGATTTCCAATTTCATCCATGTCCCTACAAAGGACATGAACTCATCATTTTTTATGGCTGCATAGTATTCCATGGTGTATATGTGCCACATTTTCTTAATCCAGTCTATCACTGTTGGACATTTGGGTTGGTTCCAAGTCTTTGCTATTGGACAGCACAACTTTTATTACAGAAGTATATACAAGTATTTAATAAGTGTGATTTTTGCTGAATGTGTTCAGATGAAAAGACAGCAGATTACATTCCCTGTGCTTTCATGTAAGATCACAATGTGTTGAAGATAATATTTTTCTACTTGTAGTATATGACTTCAAAACCATTTAAAGACATTATTTCGTTTATTCACCCTTGTGAAGCTTTATCCCACAAATCCATCTTTTATTCCCACTTTACAGATGGGGAAGAGAAATGTGAAGTAACTTCCCTAAGGCCACTGGGCAATCAGCTCTATAATGAACCCTCTCTTTATGATGGAATGCTCAGAATGTGGTATCTTCTGTTCTGGATGTTGATAAATCCTGAAAATTCCAATCTTGTTTGTAAGTGTTTGAATGCAGAGAAGTGAAAAGAGGGCATTAATCAGTTGTGGTGTGAAGCCTTTGGTAGCAGTCTTGCCATCCAGTCATGGCTATTGATGCCTTTAATCTCTCAGTGACCAGCAAGTGTTAAATCCATTTTTAAAAGTACCTTGTAACCTCCAACCTTGAGAAGATGAAAAATGGTTTGGGGAGCAATTAAAAGCCCCATGATATGTGGAGTAATTTTTAAATGAGATTTCCTGCAAGTACTTACATTTTACCCAAAGGTTGAGAATTCTTTTCTCTCTTTGTCTGGATGGAGTTAGCTTCTTGCCAGGAGGAAGCAAGGTAATGTTGGTAATAGTCTCAAAATGACCTATGAGAACATTCTGCTTTAGGGTCTATTTCTAGGAGGCAAATGACAATTGCTGCCATTCTGTCACACCAAAACATGCTAGTGGTAGTGGGGACCAATTTGTATACTCAGCAAAGAGGTCTGGTTGCAATTGAGCTAATTGACAAATTTCAGTTTTTTTCTTGGGCACAAAACATGTTCTAAGAGCCTTGTGGGAAAAGGCGATATATGTGGAGCTCCTATTATTCCATTCTGATTTATGTGCATTGCTACTTATGAATGGCTTCCTTTTAATTAGGTGTTTAATTTAAAACAGAACCTGTGACTATAATAACCCCCAAAGCACAAACTTGGAACATTAACCATTTGGGGTTGGGGGGAGGTGGAAATTCAGAAAGCCATTCCATCACAAGGCTATAACTGATGTACAGCACATGAAAGAATTCTTTATTATTTTATAGGACCATTAAGAAAACATTATGGAAAACAGCTTACACTGCTAAATAAAATTTAATTTGTTTTCCAGAATTATGATTTTTGTAAAAAATTATGTCTCATTGAGTGTATTTCTTTTTAACTTTTGAGTAAAGTAGGTTGGAAAGGGTCTTTAATTTGGGTGTTTAACCAGAAAACCTATTCTGAAGAAAAACCTCTTTCTTAATTCCTTGTTGCTTTGCAGACAGTATGTAAATCCGAAGGCAGGATTTAGGATGAAAGCAAATGAAAAGGGACATTGAATAATTAATGGTCATAGGAAAGAAAGAGCACTCAATGGAGTCATCACTAAATTCCTGTAAGTCCAAGACTCTAACACCCTTAAGAAAACACACACACACACACACACACACACACACACACACACACACACACACACGGTAAACGAGGCTTTAAGAGTTTAACAATTCTATACCCAGCTGAAAATTAAACCAAAAGAGTTTCATGGAGTCATTCTGAGATGCTCATAGAAGTATTAGCAAAAAGGAACTAATCTGTTTTATACTTCATGTTCACATTTTAGAATAGCATTCTGTGATCATTTTTAATGGGAAAATAAAATATAGGTGACCTCTCCAGGAATCAATATCCTTTTTCTCCGTTCTTGGTATTTTGCAGGCTGATTAATTTGCAGAGGTTGGCTTTGATTGCTGCTGAAGTAGAAAGCATTATAGATTCTCTGTTATTCTACAATCCACTTGGATGAGATCTGTGGTTCTATCTCTATATATTTATCTACCTTTCCGCATGGTGCTTAGTACCGTAGCTCTGTGCCTCTCCTAAACACATTGTGAAAATCTATTGTGCTGAACTCTCAAGTCTCTTGCTGTGAATAGGTAACTACTCTTTTTTCCCTCCCCCAGGAGAGCTGTTCTGTTAGGTAAAGGTAAATGAGCCAGACAGAAACAGGCATTTAGAAAACAGCTTTGTGTGTGTATATGAAGGATGTTGCTGGCTAAGTTTGAAAGCAAAAAGGGAAGGCACTGAAGGTCAGAAGATTTATATAATTCATATAGCAATTAAAGAAATAATGACTGAGAGAAAATGTGCTCAACGTGGAATGTGGGGTATTCTCCAATGCTTTAATGGAAGAGTTCGATATTTCCAGTCTTTAACACCCATTGGTGTAGTGTCTTGGTTATGGTTTTTGGCCATCAGTCAATCCTGGATAAACCTTTTTTCAGTTTCTAATGAACAGTTAAAGGAACGGTATCATAAATAGTCTCTAAATCACCTCTTTTCAAAAGTTTGAGATAGAAATAAAGCATAAAGGTTTTTTTTAAGGTCTAGTCTAGCTAGGAATGTTTCTTATAGATTACATCTTTGAGCAAATATTTCTCTACATTTGAAATATTTCATCATTAAGTGGTAGAATTATTGTACACCCTTTGACTTTTAAAGTATAGGTATATTTGAAGTTGCTTAAATGTGTACATTGGGAAAAACTGGGTAAAGTTTGCATAGATCCAAAGTTTAGATTAGTTTAAATACACACTGAATCAAGTATTATAATGTAAAAATCTTTAAATATATTTGATCAATTTTTTAGTATTTGATGATAACATTATACAGCTTGTTCAAGTGACTGTCAAAACCATCTTAAAAATGCATTTAGAAGGATTATATAACCCAGTTATATGTTAAATATACTCCTTATGCAGAGATTTATGCTTTAATAATTATGGTGATCTTTAAATAATTAGTAGTTGTTGAAAATGTTATTTAATTCATTATATTTTCTGAAAAATCAATATAGCATTAAATACTTTTATGTGAAGCCTATGTAGAAAATAATCTGAATTCCTTCCCAGGAGCAAATCCAGAATCATATTGGCGAATAAACACCATTATTGCTACTGCAAACTGCTACTTAAGAAATTTGCTCCCAATTAACCTTATAGAAAAATGAAAAACCGTCTTCTAGAAATGAACGCATTTATTGCTGTGAATATGTAAATTCCTCCACATTTCTACAATGTCAAAATAAACTGTTTTTAATCTATATTTATAGATCAGAGTTGGGAGCAACTTCTCTGTCTTTTACAAACAGCCTTGACTTCCCACTCTGAGTTCAAAACTGCCTTAAAATGTGTATTTTTTGTATACAAAAGGCATTCTAAAATTGTATTATGCAGTTATTGTGCTGAAAGAATGACCCTTGCCATGCTTTGTTTACTGAATGTCAAATTTTCATTTGTATTACAGCTGTGTACCATAGCAGTTTCGGTTTTGTATGAAGGGCAACTAATGCACAAAACAGTCAAACCACAGAGCAGTAATTAGTCTGGAAAAGATCAAAGTGTGCTCTTCTAAATCCAGCCAATTTGCTCTGGGTGTGCAAAACCAATAGTCTTTCTTTCGCTAAGGTCTCTTATTAATTTTTGCTTTCGTTTGTTGCAGAGCAGCTGCTTTACTGTCAATCCAACATCCTGCTTTAAAAAAATCCATTTTGATGCCACAAATGCAATTTCAATGGGTTTAGGAATAATAACCAGCTTTTCCCCCACCCCACTTCTAGGAGATAGAAACTTGAAAGTTTTCGGCATCTGTAAAGTGCAAGAAAGCAACATAAAGCATAGCACTGTTTAGATTTGTTGCTCTAGAAAAGGCCGAAGAAGAGTGATTAGTAAATGTTTCTGCTGTTACACTGTATGTCTGTTGTTCTCTTTTCTTCTTAACATGAGTTATTTTTATCCTTACGGTCACATTGTTAATTTTCGTGGAAAAATTATTTAATGCTCCAAATTATTAATTAAATTCAATCCAGCTGAAAAAAACTTAAACCGACTAATACTTCACACATCTCAGGATAAATACAGTAAAATAAGTAGTATCACTTGCTATTTTCTTGCTGTAATTATTATTTTTGAGTGAGTATGAAAGTGGCATTTGAGGCTGATGAATAAACCTTATCACAGGAGGTAAGTGAATAAGACTGCAGAATGAGAAAAAGAGCATAATATCATCACTTTAAATTTCTTTATCCAAGCAATAAATATTAACATGTACTAGCTGAATAAATATGCTTTTTTTGTGTGTCTAGTGTTACAACAATTTTCTGGTTTCACAATAAACTATTTAAATTTGATTCTGAACTAGTATACTCCAAATGTGTGGCAAATCTTTGTTTTGGTGTCAATGTCACTAGCTAACCAGACACTAAAACACAGTTAAGAAAGCCAAAAAGAGTAATGATACGCACAGTTATTACAGCATAATGGAGCTAGCGCAGTGGCTTATACCTGTAATCCCAGCCCTTTGGGAGGCTGAGGCAGGAGGATTTCTTGAGCTCAGGGTTTCAAGACCAGCCCGGGCAACACAGGGAGACCCTGTCTTCACAAAAAATAAAAAATTAGCCTGGCGTGGTGACTCGTCCCTGTAGTCCCAGCTCCTTGGGAGGCTGAGGTGGGAGGATTGCTTAAGTCCAGGAGGCTGAGGCTGTAGTGAGCCATGATTGTGCCACTGTACTCTAGCCTGGGCAACAGAGACCCTATTTCAAAAAAAAAAAAGAATCAGCATAATGAAGAGAAGTCCATATAAGTAATTTGCAAAAATTTGTTCATATGCAAATGTGCAATGCCAATAAAATGACCAGATAGGTTTGTTCCTGAAACATTTTCAATTGAACAGGAATTAAGTGCTTTTGAAAAGTGACAAAGTGATCATACAGTGAAGTTAAGACATCTCTTTCTTTATGTAACTGGTATAAATCAGGTACTAACTCTTGATTTTACTCTGAATTAACCACGACATACTAAATGAACTTGGGCTTCAGGGTTCTTCATCTTCATATAATATTACATGGTGTCTTACTAAAATCTGTTAGCTCCTGTAACCCCTATGATGCATCGCATGCTTTTCCATTTATTATTATTTTAAGGGTCAACTCTGAAGACGATAGTAAATGTGATGGGAGTAAATCTATACTAAAAATGAAATAAAGATATATAACCTACATTTCAGCTACTATTACATAAAGTCTTGAGATTCAAATAAAATCTCATTGCTTACCTTTCTCCAGCATCATCTAGGCCTTAACCTGAATCTCCCTATAAGACAACTCAAAACATGGCATTTAGCATTTTAAATTGCCTCAGGAAATGCATACAAAAATTCTGAAAATGTTTGAACTGAGAATTTTTTAAAAAAGATATTGATGAAAACGAGAGCTCTTCGAAAATTCAATAGTCGTTTTTTTTTTTTCCAAAAAGAGAAGAGAAGCTAATTTGTAAACTGTAGGTTGGTAGTCTCATTATCAATTATTGAGAGAGTGGTTTGTAAATCCTTGCAAAAGTAATTTTCTCTGCCAATGCAGCAAGGCAAGAAAATATAGAAAAAGTGCAAGGACTGGAAGGTAAGAGACAGTATTGTCATTATTCTTAGACGATTTGACATTTGATTTTCACAGAAAACTTAAGACAAGTGACAGGCTATTAAAATTAATGAAGGAGTTCAGTGAGATTGCTAGAAGAATCCAATAATAACAACAAAAATATTAAGAAGAGTTCTACACTTTCACCAACCAATTAAAATATGCAATGGAAAATATGATGGCTTTTATTAGAGCAACAAAGCTTGAAGAATCTAGAAAGTGACCTGAAATGCAGACAATACTCATGGAAAAATATTAAAACTTGATAAAAAGATATAAAGAAGCTCTTAGAGTTTGGAACATGGTAGGCACTGAAGAAATATTTGTTGAATGAATGAATCTGAATAAATGGAGAGATACGGCTCTCTCTCTCTCTCTCTCTCTCTCTTTCTCCCCTCTTTGTTTTTTTTTGGAGACTGCCTCTCACTCTGTCATCCAAGCTGGAGTGCAGTGGAACGATCATTGCTCACTGTAACCTCAAACTCCTGGGCTCAAGCAATCCCCCCGCCTCGGTCTCCTAAAGAGCTGGGATTACAGGTGTGAGCCACTGGGCCTGGCTGGCATTCTCATAGATGGAAAAGTTAACATTGTACAGCCCTTATTATTTATTTGTTTTTTAATGTAGTTCCAATATGGTGGGAGAAAACGTAAGGGGAAGAAACAATATTGGGAATGTGGTATAAGGGGGAACAACAACAACAACAAAAAGTAAAAATAAAATAGGCCCAGGCGCGGTGGCTCCTGCCTGTGATCCCAGCACTTTGGGAGGCCGAGGCGGGTGGATCACCTGAGGTCAGGGGTTCGAGACCAGCCTGGCCAACATGGCGAAACCTCGTCTCTACTAAAAATGCAAAAATTAGTTGGATGTGGTGGCACGTGCCTGTAATTCCAGCTACGCGGGAGGCTAAGGCAGGAGAATTGCTTGAACCCAGGAGGCAGAGGTTGCAGCGAGCCAAGATCGCGCCACTGCACTCTAGCCTGGGCAACAGAGTGAGACTCTGTCTCAATAAAATAAATGAAATAAAATAAAATAAAACAATAAACTGATGATGATAGGGTGCCATGAGCCAATCAATTTCATAGCATGTGCCTGAGAACCAAGAGAGGCGAAAAGAAATAACACAAAACTTTTCAATTAACATAAGCTAGAAAGTTACAAAATAAAGCCAGAAGCTATGGCTGATGTGCTTGATGGTGATCATCATCCCAGGAGAGCTTGAAAAGTGAATCGTTGGGTTGACTTTAGCAAGATGAAATCAGATAGGTGCAAGGGTAAAGTCTTGTCCTTAGGTCCAAAAACTCAATGGCAAAAACAGAATATAGAGAGAAATGCCTTAACAATATCACATGGGAAAAAAATTTAAGAGTTTAAGCTGTGTGAATTAATCGGATGTAAAACTGACTTACCCCCCACCACAAAAAAAGGAAAATAATCTGCTTTTAAGCTGCATTGATAAAGTAATAAAGTGTTATATAAGCCAATAATGCTCAACTTTATATTTGTAAGCCCAGCCTTCTGACATCAATACTTATTTCCCACAAGCATCTCAGATACAGCAGATACATTAGCTTTTTCTCCTAAATGTTATTCTCTGTCAAGGTAGTTTCCCAACTCATCTGTTCCCAAACTTGCATGGCTATCTACTCTTCCTCTAGAATATACTAATATACTTTCCTTTTTTTTTTTTTGACGCAGTCTCACCCTGTTGTCCAGGCTGGAGAGCAATGGTGTGATCTTGGCTTACTGCAACCTCCGCCTCCCGGGTGTGTTGTTCCTCTCCTGTGTCCATGTGTTCTCACTGTTCAGCTCCCACTTATAAGTGAGAACATTGGTGTCAATGTTTTTTCATGCATGTCTTGCCTGTAATGATGTGGGGGATGAATTTCACTATGGTGCTAACTTTGTCACCATATCCTAGGGTCTCTTTTTTCTCCTTTTTAGTTAGTTTTTATACTCAGTATTTACTTAACATAGTGTTTTAATAGATAGTGATGAGAATATATGCTTACATTTTATTTTATTGGATCACAAAAAAGTTGCTCTTCAAGTATTTTATTATTGACACAGAGTCTAACAAACATAAAGAACAGATACTTGTTAGAAATATTTATAATTTGATCCAGCTATTTAGCAAAAATTGTAATATGTATTTCTTTGAATGTTGAGCTCTGTTTCACCTCCTCCTTCTTTCTAATACCTTTTAGTCACTGTTTTAGGTTGGGTTCCCAAAGAAGCAGATCCTGAGGCATGGATTCGAGTGTAAGAATTAATCATAGATTTGGGAGGAAGAGATCCAAGGAAGGGATGGCGGCAGTGAGAAAAGGCAGGAAATGAAGCTACCGCAGGGAATGTTCTCAAGCAGCTTTCTGCTGTGGGCAGCTCCCCCTGGGACCCTCTGGAGTCAGTACAGATTCTGAGTTGTGTCACATGGAAGGCAATACATCCCTCAGCTCTTATATGTTTGTCATTGGCTAGACACCAATAACCAAGCACTTCCGGCCTACCTATCTGCGGCCCCAGAGAGAGCCCTCAGGTGGAGAACACAGGTGTTGCGGCAAGATGCAGTTGTCTGGCATAGGGACAATCTGGACAAAAGGAATGTGGGCAGGGCCACTGCCTCCTGTGAGATGGTCACCACACCGCCCTCAGAATGTTGTTGACCATGCTTCCTAAGGCAGAAAGAACAGGTATTTTTAATTTGTACTTTTGAATAAAAATCCTGCAAAAGAGACTTTTTAATCTTTATCAAATTTAGTAAATTTTTGTAAGGTTTTCATAGCCTAGATATAAATCCATATTTTAAATAGGCTTCTTCATATTTATATGTGTGTGTGTATATATATATATATATATATATATATATATACACTATATATACACATACATACACACACAGACACACACACACACACACATATTTGTGGTCAATGAATTGTTAGTATTTTTATCTGGCAAAGATATTATACAAGGAATAGAAGGATCAGTTTTGCCTTTTTCTCAGTTTCTCTTGTGCTAACTCTATTAGAATTATCTTCAGTGTGGTGTTTCTTGGAAGAGATCTTTTAATTTATCTATTTTATGACAGTTATTTGCTTAAAACTAGGTAATATTCATAAATCTATTTAACTGGACACCATAAAATGCAACATGTTACAATAATTACAAAAAAGAATGATGAGGTGATGGTCCAACCCTTCATATTATGGGATTCCATTTTCCTGCAGGATGCTCTGCTCACTATATGATGTGTGACAGTTTGACATTCAGACCTATTGATTGTTAATTGAAATGAAATATTAGTGAAGCTTAACATTTTCCTAAATCTTGGAGTAAAAATAAGTTAGAAGTTCCCATAATTTACCCCAGTGGATCATCTTGTGTGTCCCCTGTGGTGTGTGCACCCCAGTTTTGAGACCCCTGGACTGTAGGAAACAGTTCAGATGCCTTAGTGTGGCACACACTGTCCTCCATTGCTTATGCTTCCAACCTCAGTTCTTGCCTGGTCATGCCTCATACCTTGCGTTTTGGTCAATATGAACTTTTTGAAGTTGAATTGATCATGTTGAAGCGTATGGCAGAACCTTCACTTATAATTGCTTCTGCTTGGAATGCTCTTTCTTTGGACTGTCCAGTAACACCTCCTCCATGAAACTTGCTGGTCCTTTCCCACGCCTGAGGGAGAACTGAAAACATCCTTTTTGGAACACTACAGTACTTTCCTCCTTAGACCTTAACCCTTCTGTTGGACATATTTGCTAACCTTCTTGGCTCCTTTTTTTTTTTTTTTTTTGAGATGGAGTCCTGCTCTGTCACCAGGCTGGAGTAGATAGTAGTGGCGTGATCTCGGCTCACTGCAACCTCCACCTCCTGGGTTCAAGCGATTCTTCTGCCTCAGCCTCCTGTGTAGCTGGGACTACAGGCGTGCGCCCCCATGCCCAGCTAATTTTTGTATTTTTAGTAGAGACGGGGTTTTAGCATATTGGTCAGGCTGGTCTCGAACTCCTGACCTCGTGATCCACCTGTCTTGGCCTCCCAAAGTGCTGGGATTACAGGCGTGAGCCATCACACCAAGCTGGCTCCACTTATAGACCTTCATCTCCTTAAAACCAAAGATATTGTCTAATTTATCTTCACATCTCGGGCATGTAGCCCTCAACAGGAACACAGTCATACTGTTGAATTAACTATGGAAGTGGCACTGCATTGGTCGACCAGAGTAGAGGACTGTGTTTAGCTCTGTGAGTGTCTTGAAGAAGGATTTGGAAAACTGATGTGTACCCAGAAGGAAAGAATTGCAAACAATCCCAGAGCAATTGTAGCCTGAGACCAAAGTATAGAATAGCAGAGAAGAGGGATTTGGTTCTAATATAAGGAAGAATTATTTAACAATTAGAGCTGCTTGAACATGGGATGAATAGCTTTGAAGTATGGTGAGTTTCTCACCGCTGAAGATGTTGAAATAGCCTGAATGGGTAACTTCCTTGAGCAGGCTGAACAAGGGCTTAAAGCATCTGGAGTGATCACAGTGAGTGAAGAAGAATTTAGATAATCTTTGGACTGCACAACAATCTAGCTGAGATTTGAACCCCTTTGATATGTCTAGTGATAGGTCTAAACTTTAATAGATACTGTTTGAAAGAAAAGCAGTGAGGATATTTTAAGTAAACAATCCCTCTGTCATTCTGAGTCTCTGGATCTAGGTGAGACACAATAGTAATGCTGTTTTGCTTTCTCATGAGTCAGGTGACACTGAAGGCTAAGAAAGTCTTTGAGCTTGTACCGATGCTCTTATTTTTCTTTGTAACTACAGACAACTAACTTGCTTCCTTTTTTCGTCTTAGAAGTAGTCTATCCTCACCCTGCCCAACCACGGATTTAAAATTTGTGGTCTGAGAATCCATAACAAAGTGATAAAGTCTCTTGGGTTTGGGAGCAGAGGCAGTTGTCTTAATCTTCCATATATTTAGGGCTGCCTGAGACAGAATTTTAAACTACAATATTGAATCGATTAAACTTAATTCAGGATATAAATAGTAAACATGGCCAGGTGCAGTGATTCATGCCTGTAATCTCAGCACTTTGGGAGGCTGAGGTGGGAGGATTGCTTGAGGCCAGGAGTTCAAGACCAGCCTGGGCAACATAGCGAAACCCCATTGCAAAATAAAAAAAAAATAGTAAATACATACCACAGGTTTAATAGACAGTATAAAATAATCCAATTATTACACATTTATGGGCATGAATCTTATCATATGGAAACAGAGGCTCAGTGAAGTTAAAGAGACTTATCTAAATACTGAACGACTAATTGGTTTCAGAACCTAGACCACAATTGTTTGAATCTAATTCCACTTCCATGGTTTCTTCATTGTATCACACTGCCTCAAAAGTAGAAGATGTGGTCGCTGCCCTGAAGGACTTTTGCAATCTCCTAAAGGGATAAGACATATCCATAAAACAATGATTGAATAACGAAAGTAAAATGAAGTGCAGTATATGTGTTACAGCTAAGGAATAGTTGGGAAGGTCAAGAAGGTGAGAAATCACAGGCTGGAGGATATGGAGAGTAATCACAGGCCAGAGGACACGGAGAGTAATCACAGGCCGGAGGACACGGAGGGTAATCACAGGCCGGAGGACACGGAGGGTAATCACAGGCCGGAGGACATGGAGAGAAATCACAGGCCGGAGGACACGGAGGGTAATCACAGGCCGGAGGACACGGAGGGTAATCACAGGCCGGAGGACACGGAGAGAAATCACAGGCCGGAGGATATGGAGAGTAATCACAGGCTGGAGGATATGCAGAGTAATCACAGGCCAGAGGATATGGAGGGTAATCACAGGCTGGAGGATATGGAGAGAAATCACAGGCCGGAGGACACGGAGGGTAATCACAGGCCGGAGGACACGGAGGGTAATCACAGGCCGGAGGACACGGAGGGTAATCACAGGCCGGAGGACACGGAGAGAAATCACAGGCCGGAGGATATGGAGAGAAATCACAGGCCGGAGGATATGGAGGGTAATCACAGGCCGGAGGATATGGAGAGAAATCACAGGCCGGAGGACACGGAGAGAAATCACAGGCCGGAGGATATGGAGAGAAATCACAGGCTGGAGGATATGGAGAGAAATCACAGGCCGGAGGACACGGAGAGTAATCACAGGCTGGAGGATATGGAGAGTAATCACAGGCTGGAGGATATGGAGAGTAATCACAGGCCGGAGGATATGGAGAGAAATCACAGGCCGGAGGACATGGAGAGAAATCACAGGCCGGAGGATATGGAGGGTAATCACAGGCTGGAGGATATGGAGAGAAATCACAGGCCGGAGGACACGGAGAGTAATCACAGGCTGGAGGATATGGAGAGTAATCACAGGCTGGAGGATATGGAGAGTAATCACAGGCTGGAGGATATGGAGAGTAATCACAGGCTGGAGGATATGGAGAGAAATCACAGGCTGGAGGATATGGAGAGAAATCACAGGCTGGAGGATATGGAGAGTAATCACAGGCTGGAGGATATGGAGAGAAATCACAGGCTGGAGGATATGGAGAGAAATCACAGGCTGGAGGATATGGAGAGTAATCACAGGCCGGAGGACACGGAGGGTAATCACAGGCTGGAGGATATGGAGAGTAATCACAGGCTGGAGGATATGGAGAGAAATCACAGGCTGGAGGATATGGAGAGTAATCACAGGCCGGAGGATATGGAGAGTAATCACAGGCTGGAGGATATGCAGAGTAATCACAGGCTGGAGGATATGGAGAGAAATCACAGGCTGGAGGATATGGAGAGTAATCACAGGCTGGAGGATATGGAGAGAAATCACAGGCTGGAGGATATGGAGAGTAATCACAGGCTGGAGGATATGGAGAGAAATCACAGGCTGGAGGATATGGAGAGAAATCACAGGCTGGGAGAGATGGAGAGAAATCACAGGCTGGGGGATATGGAGAGTAATCACAGGCTGGAGGATATGGAGAGAAATCACAGGCTGGAGGATATGGAGAGAAATCACAGGCTGGGAGAGATGGAGAGAAATCACAGGCTGGGGGATATGGAGAGTAATCACAGGCTGGAGGATATGGAGAGAAATCACAGGCTGGAGGATATGGAGAGAAATCACAGGCTGGGAGAGATGGAGAGAAATCACAGGCTGGGGGATATGGAGAGTAATCACAGGCTGGAGGATATGGAGAGAAATCACAGGCTGGAGGATATGGAGAGAAATCACAAGTGGGAGAGATGGAGAGAAATCACAGGCTGGGGGATATGGAGAGTAATCACAGGCTGGGAGAGATGGACATTTTTATTAAGAGCAACTGTGAAAACAGTTCTGAAAGATAAGTAGGCTTACAAAATTTTTCTTTGGTTGCCAAAGTGCCTGTTGGCTTTTTCCACATTCACCAGTGTCTTTTCTTCTCTTTTATTTCTTTTTAGTTTAAGAAAAGAAACTATCTGTGTCATACTGGCCAATAGTACACAAGCATCTAATTGTAGCAAATCCTTATACATTCCAAGTTACCCCCACAAAAAGAGGTCACCATGGTAACCAAACAAAAAGGGACTGGAAAACAGAAGCAGAGTATTTACTTAATGTCTGATGGGCTCTCTGCATGATTTTCATTAGACCTGCTGCTGGCTTTCTTTCAGGTTTGGGTGCCAGTCACTGTTTACTTTGTAAGTTGTTAAAAGATTAAAAACTTTATCGGGCCTTACAATATAGAAAATTGTACTGAGCAGTGAAGTCAGAGCTGTTGATTTTTAAATACATAAATCTTACTCAGATTTGTTAATTTATTACTTAGAGTTAACCCAGGAGCTATGTAGCTCTTGCCAGTGGAATTCAAGAGCACAGAAGGGTCATTTGATGATGGTAGAGTCTTTCAAGAATGCTACAAAGAAAGAAGGTGATAGATTTGAAATAATTTTGTTAAGGGCCCTACTATTTATTTTTGCCACCCCCATTAAAAAGGTGTAGAGAATTCTTCAGTTGATATAGAGAATTCATTGCTAAATATTTTATGTCAAAGTCTTCAATAGACCATATTAATAAATGCAATCCACTGTGCTCTAGCTAGTTTTAATCCTTTGGTGAGGAAGATTTTGATGATGAAATAGAAAGCCATGTAGGTTCATAAACTATGTCTGACATTTTCTGAATTGGGGAATAGGACCCACTCTCTTCATTCCTACTGTTGTCTTGGTACCTCTTTGAAGTGCAAAAACATTACAACTTCAAAAGCGGTCCAGGAAGATGGCGTCTGCAGCTTATGACAAGTGCTGGAAGTGTAGCCAAATATGCATCATGTCACTAGGTGGTAGGTTTGCTAGGGATCTTGACATAATTGACTTTCCTTCCTTAAAGACAATTAAAATTTGTGTACAATAAATTGTTTCAATTGACACTTGCTTTTAAAACTCAAACTCCATGTATGTCTTGCTGAAAAGTGATTCTACAATGCAAATGTCGTTCGTTGGAGAAGAAAAGAAAGCTGGATGCTTGTTTGGAAGCTTAGTAGGCAGGAGGGAGAAAAGTTATTCCATAAAGGAATAGATCTTCTATGGAATGTTTCTGCTCTGAGATATAGATCTGCCCATGTGCATATATGGAATTTGTTGTGTTGACCTAAAATACCTTCTATACATCTTTCTCAGCTAGTTCTCTTTATCTAGTAACTGAGTGTGGAATACTTGGAGCAAGATTTTCTTTCAATGAAGGGATTTGCCTCCTAGGAGTAGAGTGCACACAATGCCAGACTAATTCTGCACTAGGGTCAAAAAGAAGACAGGTAAAAAATAAATATGATTTTTTTTTTCATAAAAACAATATTTGTGGCTGGGTGTGGTGGCTCATGCCTGTAATCCCAGCACTTTGGGAGGCCGAGGCGGGTGGATCACGAGGTCAAGAGATCGAGAGCAGCCTGGCCAACGTGGTGAAACCCCATCTCTACTGAAAATACAAAAATTAGCTGGGCGTGGTGGTGCACGCCTGTAGTCCCAGCTACTCGGGAGGCTGAGGCAGAAGAATCACTTGAACCTGGGAGGTGGAGGTTGCAGTGAGTCGAGATCATGCCACTACACTCCAG
Organism: Homo sapiens; assembly: GCF_000001405.40. Taxonomy (NCBI): domain Eukaryota; kingdom Metazoa; phylum Chordata; class Mammalia; order Primates; family Hominidae; genus Homo; species Homo sapiens. The sequence goes on from NC_000014.9 coordinate 35,951,621, forward strand.
CCTGGGCGACAGAGCAAGACTCCGTCTCAAACAAACAAACAAACAAAAAAACCCAAAACAATATCTGTAATAACAATAACAAAGTACACAGGAGAATGTTTACTATGTATATTTGTATTAATGCCTCAAATATGATCTATGCTATTTTTGTACTTTGGGATATATACTAATCCTTCTGCCTTCTAAATTGAGCTGTTCATGTGAAGGACAGTCATGCAGCCCTCACCAGTATCATCAACACCTTCCTCACCTTGTAACCGTAGAGGAAGAATTGGAACCAATGTAATGATTGATTCTTATTTGGAATGTTTCTGTCCCAGCCTCCCAATTTAGTCATTCTTTGGAAAGGAGGGGGTAGGTGTGAGTGAATTTTTGGAGTTAGGATCCAGTAAGAACAAGAGTTATTGAGTTTCAGCTTTAAAGTTAATGGAGGCAGATTTTGCTCTGAGGAGACGCGTTGGTGGATGTATTCCCATCCTTGAGTTCCTGCACATAAAATCTAGTCCATGCACAGAAAAGGCCACACTTTAAGGGCTTGAAAACAACACCAGAAGAATCTGGCAAAGAGTTCTTTACTGAAATTAGGGAAATTGGGAAAGTAACTTTGTCCTTTGTCTATCTTCAGGGAAAAACATAGGCTGGTGGGAAAAACAAGGGATTTCGGCTAAATCCTTTCTGATTCTTCCTACAATAGCATTTAAGTGCTTGCTTTCTAACCCTTATCAAATGATTGATATTGACTTTTCCTCGCTTAAGTAAAATTCATCCTTTGTTTAATTTCTGTCCAGTGAACAAAATGCTAGTAACTTTTTCTGGGTGTAGTCTCAACTAATAGTTTCAATTAGCCAAAAAATTTATTTAGAATCTTCAGTATGTGGCATATGCAAGATTTAAGAAATTAAATTACTCCCCTCTCCGATCTCCCTTATGAACCCCCCACCCAAAAGTCAGCACACTTTATTTCACTTGATTGCATAAAAGACCTAGCAGAACGACCTCAGCTGCTTTTTATTTTTTTAATTTGTGAGTTTGAGTCGGCTGAGCCTTGTCAATAATTCCCTTAAGTATCCAAAGGAACCCTTCTCTTTCTTTGGCTTCTTGTCTCCCACAGGGCCCATTATCTCTATTAGCCTGCCTTAGAGAAGGAAGAGACATTCACGACATGGTCTAACTTCTCTGAAGTCAAGGATGCCTTCAAAAGCAAAGTTTGGGCCACTGGGGGAGGGACTGCAGGAAAGGAGACCACAGGGAGGAGGGAAGGAATTATAAACAAAGGGACAGCTGTGTATTGGCCCATTCTTTCTGGACAATTGTGGAGCTTCTTTAGAGCCACTGAAGAAAGTAAAATCCAGAGGCACCTTTAAAAAAATGCCATTTAAGGTCTGACTTCTTAAGCTTATCTGCATAAAAAATAAGGATAAAAGAAATAATGCAAGCCAGGTGGCAAGATTCTAACCCAATCCGGTTTTCAGTTATGTTTATTTTGTAAAAAGCGACCATTACATTCTCTATTTGGCAATGATGGGGTTCAGGACATGGTACTCCAAAATATCGCACCTTGGCATTTGAGAAAACAGCAGAAGCAAGGAAGTCATTCTCACCCCGTCTGCGTTCTTCCCCTGAAGCAGGTAAGAAAACCTGGAAGGGTTTTCTGATTTTCCTCTGAAGAGGGTCATAAGACACTCATTTGAGAGGTGCCCTTCCTCTACCAGGAGGAAAGGAACATCCTTACCTCTGAAGACACAGGAACACAGAGAAGAATCTGAACAAACAGGTCTTGCTAAGTACTCCCCACCCCCATTTATTAAATTAGATCATACTTTTTATCCAATCATGTCTTCGTGACTCTCGACTTGTTTGTCAAACTTAAAAATTATAAAGGTTTACCACTTTCTTCTAGTCTTCATTTCCTTATGAAGGCTCCCGTGTTCTGCAAAAGTGATATTAAGTAAATGTGTATGCTTTTCTCTTGTTAATTCTTCTTTTGTTATGGGGGGACTCAGCCGTGATCATCGAATGGGTGAGGGAAAGATATTTCTCTTTCTCTACAGAAATATGCCAGAATAACCCAAATGGGTAAGCCAGGGCATCCCTTGGTTGCAGTTTCCTGGACCAAGACCTAAATACCCTCAGATGCTACCCCACTTAAATGATCTATGCTATTTTTGCACTTTAGAATACATACTAATCCTTCTGGCTTCTAAATTGAGCTGTTTATGTGAAGGATGGTCATGCAGCCTTCAGGTCCCACTAAGAAGCCATAGATTTAAAAACTTTAAGTTTAGGCTGGTGCTGTGGGTCAGGCCTATTATCCCAGCACTTTGGGAGGTTGTGGCAGGTGGATCCCTTGAGCTCAGGAGTTCCAGACCCGCCTGGGCAACATGGCGAAACCCTGTCTTTACAAAAAACTACAAAAATGAGCCAGGTAGGGAGGCGCCTGTAGTCCCAGCTACTCAGGAGGCTGAGGCAGGAGAATCGCTTGAGCCTGGGAGGTGAATGTTTCAGTGAGCTGAGATCGCATTACTGCACTCCAGCCTGGGCAACAAGCCAAACCCTGACTCAAATAAAATAAAATAAAATTTAAGTTTATAAAATCTTAAATAGCTTTGGGTGAAGTATGATTAATAAAGAAGGAAATTATGGAGAGAGAAAAAAGAATTTTTTTCCCTTGATTGTGTAATTTGGATTTTCTTTCCAAATAAATAGCTGCTTCCACTAGCCAGGTGGAAGCATCTACGTCTGTGACCACAATGAGGCGCTAGGAAGGTGGTGCACGCAGAGTGTGCCTTGCCCTCAGCATCTCTTCATTTAGCTGCTCCTGAGTTGTATCCTTCATAATAAACTGGTAAGAGTAAGTACAAAATAAAAATTAGCCAGTTGTTTCTCTTACTAACATGACATGAAAATATTTAATTTTCTTAGCGAATTGATGGCAAAATTCCATTTCTGAGGAGTGAAAGATCAAAGATTAACTTTATTATTTAAAAAATAACTTTTTCTAAGTATAAAATTAATTCATTTTCATTATGAAAAATTAGGGGAAAATGAATGTGACATTACATTAAAAATCACAAATAATTTATAAGACCTTCTTGCTTCATAATTAATCTAGCTTGAGGAAAATAGTAGGAAAAACTTACTAGAATTAGAAGGCGAGGAATAGTGAGGGAGAAACCTTCTTTTATATGCCTGCAAAAGAGAAAGAAAAAAAAAATTCTTAGGGCTAGTTAGTGGCTTTGGGGCACCTGTCTCTTTCCCTCTTGGGCCTAGAACTGCTGACCTGGAATATGATTCCCCATAAGACTTTAACATATGTGAGCGAGAGGATTGTGTGGAGACACCTTGGAGCTGAAGTCTTAAAAGGAAGCTCCTGTATGAGAGCTGCCCAGCACCAGCTGCTGGCTTGGTGACCAGATACAGTGAGGCACCAGGAGGGCCCCTGTGCAGGGTCAGATAGACGATGTGGGTCCCTGAGAATTCCCTCCATGAAAATCATTCGTCTTTAAACGAGATCAGAACAAGTTCTTGGGGCCTACTCTTTAGTTGGGAGTTCCCCAGTGTTATCATTCTGGAATATTTAAAAAATCATGGCTGGGCACTGTGGCTCACGCCTGTAATCTCAACTTTGGGAGGCCAAGGCGGGCAGAGCACGAGGTCAAGAGCTCAAAACCATGCTGACCAACATGGTGAAACCCCGTCTCTACTAAAAATATAAAAACTAGCCCGGCGTGGTGGCATGCACCTGTAGTCCCAGCTACTTGGGAGGCTGAGGCAGGAGGATCGCTTGAACCCAGGAGGCGGAGGTTGCAGTGAGCCAAGATCACGCCACTGCACTCCAGCCTGGGTGACAGAGTGAGACTCCATCTAAATAATAATAATAATAATAATAATAATAATCCATGTGGGTTGAGTTCATGTGTGTGTGTGTATGTACACTGTATGCTTTGGACTTTATCTTCCAGTAAAATTATAACTTTGAAAAGTTAGCTGAGGTGATAAGATATGCTATACTTTTTTTTGTATGCTATTTTTCATTTGGGAGTGGAGAAATGGTTTTCAAGGAGCTGAAGAACTAAAGTAGTATATTTTATATATTACTTCTGTATATTTTGACTTGTAGTGAGTAGCCAAGCAAAATCTTGGGCCCTCTGAGAAGGCTGAGGTTGTCATGCAAATGACCTTGCTCTGCAGACTCTCACCAGCAATTAAGGATTAGGAATCTGGGAGGCTTCAGTACTGGTTCGTCTTGATGTAAAGTTTGGATGATAGTGGGACTCTAATTTTGGGCTATTCTTCCATGTGAATGTGTGGGAATCATGTATATTTGTGAATAATTCAGAAACTCAGGGGTCTTAAAGTGAATTTTAAAATTATAAAAATCCTAACTTTTCAGTTCCTTTTATGTGTCTTCCCAGAAATATCTGTTTAGAAGGAAAACTTGGGAGCTGGTCCATCATCTTTTTTCTTTCATTTGCCGTGATTAGGGGAAGAGGGGCTACAGAATTGGTTTGGTCATCACCTCTTCATAATTTAGTTGTGATTCAAGATGTTCTCTTATGAGAAGTAGCAATATGCGGCCATAATGTGACATCTGTTTTGCACAATCAAAACATTCCTTTGCTGAGCTCAAATGCCCTTTTAGTGCTTCTGGGATAAGCCCCGAGAAAATGCTTTATCTGCTTCTGTACATCCATGAGGAAATAAACGGCTTTAAGAAAGCTTCTCAACTGGAGGTGTAACTCTAAGAAAAATTGGAACAAACGCTCACTTCATCTCTCACCCAAAATGTCTTCTGCAAACTTATTCAAAGAGCCTCAGAACCAGAAAGAGAAGGAGGCATATCTACACAATGTATCTGGAGATTGGAAGCTGGAGGCAGGATTGAATTGCCAGTGAACTTTGCACTGTGATTTCATATTGAAGTGGCTGCATCTGTGCCACCTGTGGATGGCATGATTGGAGCATTAGTCCTTGCTCAGCCTCCGCACCATTGATAACTCTGCTTAACATCGCCACAGCGGAAGCTTTGTTGGAAGCCGCAGTCACTTTGCTTCGGCAATGGTGTACATTGGTGCCCCATTCAACCTTTTTTTCTGACATTAGCACATTTGAATGGGCCACCAGTGAAGCCATTCAGCGAGAACATGCAACCGGGGTTTCTGGGTGGCCTAGAGCTGAGCTGAGAATTCTCATTAATGGACTGCAAGACTTAGCCTATTGAGGTACATGAACTCAGTGACCAAAGAAAAGTGAGACAAAGATGTCCCTCACAGGAACACGTAGGTCAGAAGTGGACAAAAGCAGACACGGACCAGTCAAAGCTATTTGATTACTGAGCTGAAAAGGGAACACCGACCGATCCCTGTGGTGGGGCAGCACAGCTGATTTGAGGGAAATCTCCAAATGCCCGCACACTCTGAGAGTGAGGCATTTACTAGAATTGCAGGTGGTGTGTGAAGTTATTTTTAAAATGTTTTTTCTTCCACTTGTCTTTGTGGTAATTTCCTATTTGACAGTACTTAGAAAAGGCCCCAAATAACTAGAATGAAAAGAAAGGGCAAAATTGAACTGGAAAAAGCATGCTTAAAAGTGAAAGGTGATCACGGGCAACATTCCCCCTACTGCTGGTCCTCTGAGCTACTTTCAAGCTCTTAGGGACTAGAAAATGTTCTTTGAGAGCCAGAACTTTTGCATGTTTAGGATTATAACTTTAATACATTAGCATAATTTCAAAACTTTTTTACTCTAAGATATAGGATAAAAAATGTAAGTATGAAATTTTGCAAAAAGATAAAGGAAAAGCATCACTGGAAAAGTTTAAGAAATCAGTTTGGGATCTATGAACATGGTCAGTAATAGCATGCTTAACTCGAATTAATCCCATGCTCTTGCTTGTTGAGGTATACATTTCTGTGGGAGATATATTAGTCCCTTGTACTCAATGTGATCTGTGCAAATATCCAGAGAGCTAATACTTAGATGCATATGAAGTTTGAAAAGCATTCTGCAATTTTTCCAAATGGCATTTAAATAACTATACTAATATTAGGTTGGTGCAAAAGTAATGGCAAAAATCGCAATTACTTTTGCACCAACCTAGTAATTCATTCCAAACCAAGTTTAATTATTAGGACTTGGTTAAAAACTTTACAGCTTCTTGAGATAGCAATATATTTTAAAATGTTCAAAATGTTGGCGTTATGAGATTTGGGGAACCTAAAAATACCTATAATCCAGTTCTTTTTATAAAAGGAAAAGGGAAGAAAATGTGTTTTTTATCCCATCATGCATAATGCAACTATTTTTTTGAGGAAGAGATACAATTTAAAAAGTGTGGCCGAGGGTAAAGGAAGAGACACGTTTTAACAAGAGTCATATCCATTTATATTGAAACAACTTCATGGAGGAGAGGACTTCAGGGTCCATTTAACCTAGCTCTTCTGTTGTATCCATAGTGTTATTGAAGCCTACAGAGGTTTAGCAGGCTGCCAATGGCCCACCCAGCACCTGGATTTAAAAGTAACACTTCATCTTGTTATGGGAATTGTTTCATTAGAGCAGTTATAAGTCGTTTCTCATTAAGGGGCTAGAATCCTTAAATTTATGATTTGTTCTGCATGTTAAATTTAATAAACGTAAAATAGATTTATATGCTGCATACATATCTGTTATGATACTTCTAGTAAATATTTCCCTAACTGTTTAAAGCTCTAGTAAAAGCTAACAAGAACAACATCAAAAGTGGCCGTTCCCCAAAAACAAACCTTTGAGACAATCTAGCTTTGCCTTTTTGAGAATTTTTTAAGTCAGTTCCCTTTCTCTTACCTTCATACTGTCAGAGGTGTTTGAACCAAAGTGACTCCATCTTTAATAGGGGCTGGGTAAAATGAGGCTGAGACCTGCTGGGTCGCATTCTAGGTGGTTAGGCATTCTTAGTCACAGGATGAGATAGGAGCTCCGCTCAAGATATAGGTCACAAAGACCTTGCTGATAAAACAGGATGCGATAAAGAAACCAGCCAAAAACACATGGTTACAAAACTGACCTATGGTCATCCTTGCTGCTCATTATATGCTAATTACAATGGATTAGCATGCTAAGCAACACTCCCACCAGTGCCATGCCAGTTTACAAATGCCATGGCAACACCCAGAAGTTACCCTATATGGTCTAAAATAGGGAGGGACCCTCAATTCCAGGAAATTCCTGCCGCTTTCCAGGAAAATTCATGAATAATCTACCCCTTGTTTAGCATATAATCAAGAAATATCCAGAAAAAAAATAACCAACCAGCAGCCCTTAGGGCCGCTCTGCCTATGGAGTAGCCATTCTTTTCTTCCTTTACTTTCCTGATAAATTTGCTTTCACTTTACCCTGTAGACTTGCCTGGAATTCTTTCTTGGATGAGATCCAAGAACCCTCTCTTGGGGTGTGGATTGGGACCACTTTCTGGTAATAATAAGAACTCTTTAATTTTCTTTTGGCATATCTTATCTAGTTCACTTCTAATATTTCTCCTTTAGGCTACTTCAAAATGTGTAGGCAAAATACTTTTTTCCACCTATGTTGTATTACTTAGAAGAATCTTCTCCTGGAAATTCTTCAACTTGAGGCTTCAGTTGTTTTTTAGTGAAGAGGTCCAGAATATGCCACACCCAAAAATACCACTTTGGCATAAGGATTACTTTAAGCTGAAGGCAACTGAAGAAACAGCAGACCCAGGAAAAGTTCTTTGCCCTCCCTGCTTCTGTCTAAAAGCAGGGCATAAATTTCTCTTTGTAAAGGTGACAGAAATTGCTATTTGTAAAAGCATTTCCCTCTCCCATTCCAGGAAGACCAGAGAGGGCACAGAGAAGAGTGTGCATAACAAACCTTTCTAAACAACCTTTATCCATCATATATTTCCTAGTCACCTTCCCACAATTTATTACACCACCCCTAGGAGCTCAAACCCACTTTCCTTTGTCTAGTCACTTCTCTATAATTTATTGCCTTTTCTTAAAATGGTATATAAGCCCCCTGTCTAACTGCTTCTTTGGGTTTTTACTTATTTTCTGTGAAGCCCCTCACACATAACATGTGAACTCAATAACTATTTATGCTTTTCTCCTGTTAATCTGTCTTTTGCCAGTTTAATTCATAGGCCCCCAAATAGTGAACCTGAGAGGGAAAAGTTTTTTCCTCCCCTACACTAGCTAATCACTAAATTATCACTCCTTTTGCTCCAATCAAGTCCATGTATGTTTTTTTACCTTCAGTTTCCAGCTGTTAGTGCATGGTGCTTCCATGTTGTCTTGCCCAATATGGTTTTATTTCATTTGAATTATTCTTTTTAGTTAAAAATTTACTTGCAAATGCTTTACTATTAGTCACACATGTGTTGGCAATGAGTGAAAATGGGCCCACTAGGAGACACTGTAACATCATCTTTGTTATTGTTTTTGGAGGGCATGGCTTAGGATTAGAAGAAATGAGAATTTGTTTATACAATTTGAAACTGTCTATTCAATAAGTAATTGAATCTTTAGGGTCTCTTTTAAGGACAATGACTTTAAATATCTAAATTTTGTTTGAAGATACTGCCAAAGCAAAGTTGGGATAAATCATCAGATTATTATCTACTGAAATTTTATCTAAATCTAAGCTTTTTATCATATAGATTAATGGAAATAGGAATTCACTTGGGCGTTCATATCTTTGTTTTATTTTTCCACCGAAGAATCTGCTGGGTTTGGATTTATTACTATATTAGAGATATAATAATAGTTTCCATTTAGCTAATAATACTATGTGTGAGAAACCATACTAAATATTTGACATGCATTCTCTAATCCTCATAACAACCCTATGAAGTAGGCACTTTACTATCTGTGTTTGACAGATGGGGAAACTTCAGCTTTGAAAAGCTAAGTAACTTGGCCATGGTTACTTGGTTATTAAGTAAGGAATTGGATAAAGAGTTCTTAGAAATGGTTTAGCCCTGGTTCCTTTAAAGAAACAAAGTCTTATTTATAATTGTATCTTTTTTATTTTTATTTTTTTTCTGAGACGGAGTCTCGCTCTGTCGCCCAGGCTGGAGTGCAGTGGTGTGATCTCAGCTCACTGCAACCTCTGCCTCCCTGGTTCAAGTGATTCTCCTGCCTCAGCCTCCTGAGTAGCTGGGATTACAGGCCCAGCTAATTTTTTGTATTTTTAGTAGAGACGAGGTTTCACCGTGTTAGCCAGGATGGGCTTGATCTCCTGACCTCAGGTGATCCACCCGCCTCGGCCTCCCAAAGTGCGGGGATTACAGGCATGAGCCACCACGCCGGGCCTATAATTATATCTTATTATGCCCTATGAGTGCCCTTTCTCTTTACTATATTAATGACACATGATGCTTTCCCAGTAGTTCAAGGTCAGTAAATGTACAGCCAAGGGCAGGGAAAATGTATATGGATATGTCAGACCACCAAGTTGTAGCTAAGACTCATGGTCACAGCGGCCTTCATGTGGAAGATGCAGGGAGGAGCGTGCTCAACTTTCAGCCCAGTGCCTGGGTACATTCATATTAGGAACTTGTTTGCCAACATTGGCAGCTGGCTAGATGGAGGTGATAAAACGCTCTTGTTCTCATTTCTTATTATGCTCACTGATTCTGACCTCTGGTCCCACAGATCTCCTTCTTTTATCCTTCAGGTGTTCTGCCCTCTGTTTTGATTTCTCTGGGACACAAATGAAATTATTTTCTGAATTGTGAAAGTCCACATTATCAACTAATGCACTGTTACTGTCACGTTTCTGCTGTTTGGATGCTTGTTCTATTGTGAAAACTTACCCAAACTTGGGGTTTAGGAAAAGGCCTTTTATAGTTTTCGTCAACTGAAGAAAGAGCAGCATTAGGTATAATTATACATTTTGATAAAGTAAAGCACAAACCTGTCATGTTTTATGTTAACAGCCTACATGATGGTGATCTTACAAATGGTCTGAAGTTAGCAGCTCATGGGAGAAGGCTGACATGTTAAAACACAAATTTACCTAATCTGACACTTCAGGTTACTCCAAGGCGGGTGGAAATTTGGCAGCAACGGCTTGTGCCATTGCCCTAAGGAGAAACAAAATATAAACCTTTTACAATCTCCCTGGGAATTTTTTTTAAAAACTTGAGGCCCAAGTCCTACCTCAGACCAACAAAATAAAAATGATCTGGGGATGGGGTTCAGGGATCGGACTTTTTAAAAGCCTCCCCAGGCAATTCTAATGTTCAGCCATAGTTGAGAAGTGCTGATCAGGCATAACGTACAGATGAAATATTATCATGTGTAACATTGTACAGGGTTCTTTGGGAGATATAGAAATCAGGAAAGACGTGGTTCTTGCCTTCAAGGAACTTTTGATTTGGATGAAAAGACTCTTGCCACAAAAATGGTTACTAATAATATAATGCAGTCACTCACTGTTAGTAAGTGATGTCATAGTTTTAGTGGAGACTGCTTTCCAGAGTGTGTAGCTTCCAATCCCTATCCTCCTACCATCAGTGATAATAATTGCCTCCTGAGATTTTATATGCCCCATTTAATCTTCTCAACTGCTTATCAGTTAGGTATTATTCCCATTTCACTGCAGAAAAACTAAACCTTAAAGATATTGTTGTTTGTATAAAGTCTGAGAGACAAGTTTTGAACCCAGGTCTGTTGGGAACAAATATCCACGCTTGCTAACCATTAGGTTATACCATTTGGTCTCGGTAGATGCATAGTCGATAATAGCTAGAGTGAACTGTAGGCCATAAAATGTTTCTGAGCACTTTAGTATAGTTATATTTCTTAATTATTTTTTTAAACTGCAAATTAAAAAAAATTAAATCACAGAAAAGTTGAAAGAATAATACATTGAACATTGTATACCCTTTACAACTACATCCATCAATTATTAACATTTCACTACCTCTGCTTTATTTTGCTCCCTATTTATTTATTTACTTATTTAGAGACAGGGTCTCACTCTGTCACCCAGGCTAGAGTGCAGTAGCGCAATCTTGGCTCGTTGAAACCTGCGCTGCCCCTGGGCTCAAGCAATCCTACCACCTCAGCCTTCTGAGTAGCTGGGACCACAGATGTGCACCACCACTCCCGGCTAATTTTTGTATTTTTAGTAGAGATGGGCTTTTACCATGTTGTCCAGGCTGATCTTGAACTCTTGAGCTCAAACGATCCACCTGCTTCGGCCTCCCAAAGTGCTGGGATTATAGGTGTGAGCAACTGTGCCTGGTCCCCATTTATTTATATATGTATATATGTATCCTTTTTCTGTTATTATTGAACCACTTGAAGTTGCAGACATTGTGATACTTCACCCAGTGATACTTTGGTTTGCGCTATCTAAGTGTAAAGACAATTTTCTATATACCCATTACACTGTTCATACCGAAGACAATTAATGTGAATTCAGTTTTGTCATCTAACATGCAGCCCATTAAAAATTTCCCCAGTTATACCCAATATATCTATTTAGGTGCTTTTGTTGACCCAAGATCCTATGAAAGTTGGTTAATTCTGTGGTTGTAATGTTTAGAAACTTTTAGTCTAGAAGGGGTCTACGACTTCTTTTATTTATGATATTGACTCTGTTTTAATGATCTAGGCCAGTTGCCTTGCAAAAATGTCTCCTCTTTGGGGATTTGTCTGATTGTTTTCTCACAGTTAGGCTCAGGTTAAACATTCTTTGCAAGACTATTGGATAGGTCATGTGTATTTCTTATTGGATCCACCAGGAGGCACACACCAGGCTGTCCTACTGTTGATGATGCTAAGTTTGATTGCTTGGTTAGGAAGGTAATGTCATGCCTAATTTCCCTATTGTAAAGTTAACCTATGTGGTCATATTTTAAAACCATAATCTTTGACCTAGTGGTTTTGGTATCCACTGATCATTTTTACATTGGTGGTTGAAAAATGGTGATTTTCTAACTCTATCATTTCCTCAATATTTTTTAGTTGGTGTATTAGTCTGCTTGGGCTGCCAAACGAAACACCACAATCTGGGTGGCGTAAATGGAAATTTATTTTCTCATAGTTCTGGAGGCTAGAAAGTCAAGATCAATGTGCTGCCAGGGTTGGTTTCTGGCGTGGCCTCTCTTCCTGGTTTATAGATGCCACCTTCTCACTTTGTCCTCACAGGATCTCTTCTCTGTGTATATGCATGGGGGGGAAGAGGGAGAGAGGGAGAGAGGGGGGAGAGAAGGGGGTAGAGAGAGAGAGAGAGAGAGAGAGAGAAAGCATGAGAGAGCCCTTTGGTGTGTTCTTCTTATAAGATACCAGTTCTGTTGAATTAGGGCCCAATCCTTAGGGCCTCGTTTAACCTTAATTACCTCCCTAAAGATCCTCTTTCCAAATACAGTCACATTGGGGGTTAAAGCTTTAACCTACAAATGTTGGTGGGGATGTAATTCAGCCCATAACAGTTGGTATTCTTCTGTAAAGCGGAGCTTTCTTTTATTTTTCCCTTACCTCCTCCTCCTTCTCTTTTCTCCCCATCTCTGCCGCCCTGTTTTCTTCTAAGTATTGCTATGGACTCATGCATTTATTTTTTATTTAATGTGATAATCTATCTCTGTCATTATTCATTTTAATGATCAAATTGTCCAAGATATGGACAGTGGGAGCTCCTTCAAATTAGTTCTTGTGTCCTTTTGACATGCCTCTATTAGTATGTAAGCACTTTCTTGCTTTCTTGAACAACAAGATATTCCAGGTTGCCTTGTATTTTCCCTATTCCAACCATTTTTGGAATCAGCCATTTCTCCAAGTAACCCTGGTTCCTTTTAGTGGGAAACGGTATTTAGAAACACAATCTGTGTGTTTGTTGTTACTAGTTATGATTACCCTCTAAACCAGTTATTTTTAATAAAGTTCTCTATATTATACCTATAGAACCTGTGCCAACGAAGGCTTTATTGAATTAGAGACTAACTCTTCAAGAGTACAATCAGGCATTTAATAAGCATTTGGAAAGCCTTTGATTGGCTTGGGACATAACATGCACTTAGTATATTGACAAAAGAAAGAAAGAATGAATGAATGGCCTTGGGTCATGGGTTTTTCTTGATCTGCTGGGAGGGTCTTCTAACTCCAGTGAATTCGCGCAGGCTGTGGTGAGTGGAGGAGATTGGGATCAATCCTAATGTATTATCTACATTTTCAGCATGTATCACTCTCTCCCATTATTGAGAAAAGTCCAGATTCCCATCTCCTGAGCCTCTATAAGCTCTTACGGCTGTTTTTCCAGGAAATGAATCTGTGGTGCCTCCAACTCTTCGTTTGTGTTTCTCAGTGCATCCCCTCAGGTTTCTAGGGCGATGAGCTGACTTATCTTGAAAGAAATACTTGAAATTTTTTCCCTAGTTTTACAAAGCAGATAGCTAAGGAATTTTTTTTCACAGATGAAGAGAATCCAGTTAAAATGAAGCAAGGAATACAGATTTCAGAGCACTTGAGAATCTCGTACATTTAATATCTATTCTGAGGAGCAAGGATTCAGTAGCAACCACTCTTTGAGGATCTATTTACTGTCAAAGTGTAATTGGATTTTGATATAGCAGTTCATTTTGATGGGGGTGGGGATGGGAAGGTGATTACAAAGTAACAAACAAAATGTAAGCGATGGGACCTTTGATTTATTTATCTTTTCTTGCTCCTGGATCTTTACAGATACTGGGAATAAACCCCTTATCCCCCACAGTGGTCTTAGAAAACAAGGCATACACTTCAACTACTTCTGCTGTGAATAATCCATTGAATCCAAACAGTATTATACTAGATTCATCAGTGTTCACACAAAGGTCATATCCTTACATATCTCTTTGAATTTGTGGGACACATATGGTGTACCACTTCTATAGAAGAAATATTTTCATTTTAGAATTCAACTTTTATAACCTTTGGCAACATGTAGTATCAATGGCTCTTTGTTGTTCAAAAAAAAAGTAAAACTGTAAGCTATCCCCAAGGATATTCAGGGCGTTGCTATAGCAACAGAATCTGCCTCCCAGCACCACAAGAGAAGCTATGAATAAAAGATGGTGTTCTAAGGACAACAGAATAGAAGAGGTTGTTTCGATCCTTCTAATACCTGATATTTGCTGTTATTTTGTTAAATGCAAAATAAAAATCTTGGGGAAAGGCCCAGTTTCAATATAGAAAAGGATGAATTTCTATATTGTACTTCAGATGTTGTGAGGAAAAAGACATGCTTTCTGAATAGTATCAGCCTGTGGTAGGAAGACCAGGGAAGGGCCAAAATATTTGATTTATATATTTTTCTGTTTAGTTTTGTACTTCAGGTGAAGAACCTCAAAGACAAATGTGTTAATCAGAAATACAAAAGAATGGGATTATTTTAAATTCTGACCCAAAATAGTTTCCTGATTCCATATTTAAACACAAGCATACTTTACATAAAGGTACCATAAAACAAAATGTTCTAATTTCAGCTTGCATTGTTTATTCTGAATCCAATTCTTTCATGTATACCTACTTGGTCATCGATTTTTAATGGTTTCAACATAGCTACCTATCTACCTACCAACCTAGCTATGTTTCATGATACTGGGTATTTTAGGACCCAAATCTGAAGGTGAAACACAAGGTTTCAGTTGATTCAGAAGTGAACGAACTTTGAACCTCTCTATTCCCTCCCTCCTCACCCACATGTACATATGTATATCTTGCCACTTGTGTCTTCATATCATGTTTAGTTTTTATGAAGCTTATTTTGTTGTATGAAGCTATTGGTAAAATGTTATTCAGAGAGGAGGTGAAGAACTTACCCCTCTGTAAGTGCTTATTTTCAAAATATTCAGAGCTACATAAAATTACTGCCAGAAAATATGACTATTAGAGCAAATGGAATGCTATAGACTAAATCGTATCCCTCAAAAATCATGTGACTAACCCCCAATGTGACTTTATGGACATATGGCCTTTATGGAAGTAATTATGACTAAATGAGGTCATAAGGGTAGGGCCCTGATCTGATAGGATTAGTGTCCTTGAAGAGTAGGACACCAGAGCTTGCTTTCTCTTCACTTGCAGACATGAAGAAAAGGCAATGTGAGGTTACATCAAGAAGGCGGCTGTCTATAAGCTAGGAAGGGAGCCCTCACTAGAAATTGACCATGCTGGCTTCCTAATATTGGACTTTCAGCCTCCAAAACTGTGAGAAAATAAATTTCTGTTGTTCAGGCCACACAGTTTATGGTATTTTGTGATGGCGGCCCAAGCTGACTAATACTCCTGTATTAAAATTATAATATTTTGTATAATTATTTTCTTAATTTTCCATCAAAGTATAGCTCTGTTTGTGGGGGAAACAGGCAGGTGCACAAATAATCTTAAAGTTTCTCTAGAACTTTTGTTTTGCTTTTATCACCTTGGCAACTTTACACAATTAGTAATCTAAAGGTTACTTAGTTATCAAATGTGTGTCTCAAAAACATAATTTTGGCTATGATATCTAGAAAATGTGACCTTTGTTTTGGTTGGAATAATTTTCCCACTGAATTCATGGATAAGTACAATTATAGGAGCTTAAGGAAAATGTAGCATTTTGTTTTTGAGCTTTATTTTAGTTTAGGTGTAGGTAGATAATGTTTGGGAAGGATGGACTTGTAGATTGTGTATTAGTACTAATCTTATAAGAATAAATTCTGGGTAAGCATTGTCCAAATTTCAGAGACTTCCCTTATTGTTGTTAATTCTCCTTGGATCCTTCCATCATTTAAAGTCTCCAGGGATATTTTGATTAGTAAGGAATCTATTCAATCGAGCTGATTATATGACTTGGCTGTTTCTCTGACTCTTAAAACTAGGCAATACACCAAAATGTTAATAATGTGTGGTGAGAACAGTGGTGGGAACATGGGCAATTTTCTCTCCTTACTTTTCCACTTATTGTCTAAATTTTGTATAAGCAGTCATTACTTTCATAATGGAAAAATAATAGAGTGAAAAAATACTAGATATTAGAAGAACTTAACAAAAATTTCATCTTCTTTCAAAAAGAATTTGAGGTAGTTTACAGTAAAAGACATTTGAGGTACCATAAAGCTAGACAAGCTAGAAATTAGAAATCTAAAATTATGAAAAGAGGAGGAAAGTAAATACTTCAATGAGATTTAATAATGGTAACTGAACATTTTAGTAACCGAATGTTGTAGTTAGCACTGAGCTTCCTGACAGTCAAGAAAAAGCGATACTGGATTAGAGAATTCTCACTATCCAATCAAAAGAAAGTATATAGTATTTTGTAGAAGAACATTTTTTCCTTGATAAACTCTTAAAAGGAATTTGCCATAGTATGTTCTTATTTGTGTAAAACATAAAAAGGATATATTTACATGCTTGTAAATTCAGAGAAAATGTCTGGAACCTAGTATGTTTATTGTGGCACTATTCACAATAGCAAAGACTTGGAACCAACCCAAATGTCCAACAATGATAGACTGGATTAAGAAAATGTGGCAGATACACTCCATGGAATACTATGCAGCCATAAAAAATGATGAGTTCATGTCCTTAGTAGGGACATGGATGAAGCTGGAAACCATAATTCTCAGCAAACTATCACAAGGACAAAAAACCAGACACCGCATGTTCTCACTCATAGGTGGGAATTGAACAATGAGAACACTTGGACACAGGAAGGGGAACATCACACACCGGGGACTGTTGTGGGGTGGGGGGAGGGGGGAGGGATAGAATTAGGAGATATACCTAATGTTAAATGACGAGTAAATGGGTGCAGCACACCAGCATGGCACACGTATACACATGTAACAAACCTGCACATTGTGCACATGTACCCTAGAACTTCAAGTATAATAAAAATATAAAAAAAAACTACTGACGATAATATAATGTCTTTAGTCACTTTTGCTGTTTAGCACAACTTCTTGCTTCTTTTGATGACAGTGTCCACCTTCCTTAAGGGAACTGCTTTTCTTCCATTCAGTCATGAGTTTCTGAGCACTGCCAACCACAATAGTTCTAATTGACCTAAACCAAGCCAATTAGAGCATGCCCCTGGAATTTTTCTAAGGGGGAAAAAAATCTCTTTTCCTGTTGGATGATGGTGATGGAAGGCTATGGTCCCCCATCACTGGAAGTCCTGTTCTCCTCCACCGGAGAAAAGTGAGAGAATGACTAACAGATCATAGAAGCAGAGATAAGAAGTTTACACCCCATGTTCCATTCCCTGTGGCCCTTGGGACTGCCCTTCCCATTCCTCTCTTGTATTCCACTTCAAGCTACAGGTCTTGCATTTGCAATGAAAAGAATCCTGACTCCTTGATTGCTTCTAGGGGTTAGAATTGTGTGGGTAGGAAAGAAGATAGATGTGGGAGCTTTTCTATTGCTTAAAAACATTTTTTGTAACAACATGCATAAATTACTTTTATAATAAAAATGCCAGTAGAAATAACAAGGAATTTATCGTGAGAAAATCTGTGCAAGGGACATTGAACAATATAGAGATCAGTACCTCAGAAAAGACTTTAAAGCAAATGCTCCAGGGTTTTGTTCATGTCTCTTTCTCATATTGGGCTTTGTTAAAATCTGAGAATAACACTGAAGAGGTACTCAGTGAAGGAACCAAGTTAATGTGGTAACTTATACTAGATTACATGGTAGAATATTTAGAGAAGTGGACAGAGAATAAATCTCAGGCTATCAACCTTTCAACTCAATGGCCTTCCACCAGAACTGGAGAGCAGTCAATCCCAGGTGAACTTTTCTGGTGAGAAGTAAGTGTGCATATACTGTTGAAGGTACAGTGATATGATTTGGATTAAAGATGAGCATATGGCAGGGGTGACATATTTGGTTCTGCTCTTACCTGAATGAAGGGTCACGTCACTTGCAAATGGAGGTGAGTCACTCAGGTGTTTATGGTGGGGTCACGTTTTTCTTCAAGAGGCAACTTCAGATCTGCTCAAATCCTTGTAAATATTTCCCTGAGACCACAGGGTAGCTTAAGATGGATACAGCACATCATAGAGAAAAGAGACTTGAACTCTACCCTTCTTCAGCGTGACTCCCTGATACCTATAACCTCAGCAACCTCCCAATGCATCTACAGATCCACAGATTTAACTGCTCTTTAGACAAATATGTTGGAAGTACTTCAAAGTCAACATTCTGAAGCTGAACTTATTAAATATTCCTGTAAACATGTCTATATTTTTTGTTCCTTCTCTGGTTGTAGGATATCTCTATCTATGCAGTCATCCTAGTCAGGAATCTGGGAACTAGTCTAAATTTCTCCTTTCCCCTCACTCTCAATGTATAATTGCCTCTTTGCTTAAAATATTTATAGATTTTTGTCTTCTCCTTTCCATCTCAACTATCTATTTTTGGTTCCACCTGGTAATTTTTCCTAAGATTAATTAATTGGTGAATCAATTAATTCAACAAGTACTTATTGAGCATCTGTTGTGTGTCAAGCACTGTGCTAGGCTCTGAGGATTCAGTGGTGAGCAAAACCGACTGACCCTGTCTTCATGAAGCTTGTAGTCTAGAGAGTTACTGCAATGCGTCTCAACTGGGCTCCCTGCCTCAAAAACACATGCTCAGTCTATCCCTCTTAGTACTGCTTGAGCTCTTTCTAAAATAAAACTCCAAAATGCAAATCTGAGCTAAGTGTATTACTTTCAGGATAAAATACAGACTTCATAGCCTGGCACACAAGTCAGTCATGACCTGGCTCTGCCTTTAGTCTCATTTTTTTTTTTTTTTTAACTATAGTAGCATAAAGAGTGATTAAAGAGTGAACCTTCCTCCAAAGCCATTGCTGAACATTACTCTCATTATTTATGCCAGGCCTCACAGTAGGGTAAAATCACTAGATAGTCTGTATAAGGATATGAAAAGAAATAATATTTCCTTTCCTCTCTGTTTTAAAACTTCATATTTTGTTTCCCAGCTCAGAAAGTAATGGACTCAGGTAGTTGATTTGGAAGTTCCTTTGCCCTTTATGAAGTACTCTCTTAAAGGAGGGTTTATAGGCTAGGCGCTAAGGCTCACACCTGTTATCTCAGAACTTTGGGAGGCTGAAGCGGGCAGATCACTTGAGGTCAGGAGTTCGAGACCAGCCTGGCTAACATGGTGAAACCCTGTTTCTACTAAAAAAACAAAAATTAGCCATGCATGGTTGCGTGTGCCTGTAGTCCCAGCTACTTGGGAAGCTGAGGCACGAGAATCGCTTGAACCTGGGAGGCAGAGGTTAAAATGAGCCGAGGTTGTGCCACTGCACTCCAGTCTGGGTGACAGAGTGAGACTCTGACTCAAAAAAAGAAAAAAGAAAAAAAGAGGGTTTGCAGATAAATTATTAGGCCTTATGAGAAATTTCAGCAATATTACTGGAAAAAGTTCAATATACAAAAAAAATAGAAAATATTAAAACAATGACATGTGCAATAGCAACAAAAAATGTAAGGTACTGAGAATATATTTACCAAAAGGTATGCAGCACTTTAAAGGAGTTAATTGTAAAACTTTACTAAGGAATATAAAATAGAACTAAGTAAATGGAGATATGTAGTAAGTTTACAGTAAGAAGACTCAGTATTGATGTAATTTTTTTCCAAAGTAACCCATAAAGTTGATTTCTCTATTAGGAGTTCCAGTCTTTTTTTCTTGAAACTTGACAAGTTGAAACTAAAATTAATATGGAATAATAAAATGCTAAGAAGAGCCAAAACAATTAAAAAAATAAGTGAGGGGAGGGTTATCTTATTGTATAACAAGATTTAATAAGAAGTGAGAGCAATTGGCCGAGTGCGGTGGCTCACGCCTGTAACCCCACCACTGTGGGAGGCCGAGGTGGGCAGATCACGAGGTCAGGAGATGGAGACCATCCTGGCTAACACGGTGAAACCCCGTCTCTACTAAAAAATACAAAAAGTTAGCCGGACGTGGTGGCGAGCGCCTGTAGTCCCAGCTACTCGGGAGGCTGAGGCAGGAGAATGGTGTGAACCCAGAAGGCGGAGCTTGCAGTGAGCCGAGATCACGCCACTGCACTCCAGCCTGGGCGACAGAGCGAGAGTCTGTTTCAAAAAAAAAAAAAAAAGGAAGTGATAGCAATTAAAATAGTGTGATATTGGCACAAACATAGGCAATTAGACTATAGATAGATGTGAGATGTTAGAATGTAACAGAGGTGCCAGTATAAATCAAGAAGAAAATTACAGACCATTTAATAAATGATGCTGGGACAATTGGCTATCTATATGGAAAAGAATTGGGTATTAGTTTCATACCACAAACAAAACTAAATTCTAGAAATATTAAAGACCTGGAAGAGAACTAAAACTAAAACTAAAACTTTAAAAACTTGAGGGCATCTTTAATCTCCAGGTTGGGAAGGAATTTTTTACATGAAAATCACAAGTCAGATAGGGAAAATAAATATGTTAACCATATTAAAATTTGCATGCAAAAGGCACCATAAAGTTAAAATTAGCCATTTTGAGAAGATATTTGCAATATATTATCTGAAACTGAATTCATGAACTGTTACTAAAAAATGTGCCTGAATTTCTTTCTCTTTCTTTTTGCTTCTTTTCTTTTTTCCCTCCCTCCCTCCTTCCCTTCTTCCTTCCTTCATTCCTTCCTTCCTTCCCTCCTTCCTTTCTTCCTTCCTTCCCTCTTTCCTTCCTTCCTTCCCCCCTCCTCCTCCCTCCCTTCCTTTCTTTCTTTCTCTCTTTTCTTTCTTTTTTACTTCTGCAGCTCCAACATGTATCTTTATTTTCTCTCTGTATGAAGAATACTATTATCTACTCAGTAATCCAAGCCAGTGACTAACATATGAAATAAATTAAGAGGCAAATCAAAAAACAGAACAATAAAAGGGCAAATGATATAAGAGGTCAAATCATAGAAGAAGAAATCCTCCTGGTTAATATATAAAAGATATTCAACTTCACCTTTGGTAAGGTAAATGCAAATTAACGCTATAAGGCATTACTTCATGCCCATGAGATTGGCAAATTTTTTAAGTCTGGTGATACCAAGCATTGGCAGGAATGTGCTGAAGGAGGAGATGTTTTATGATGAGGGAAAGCAATTTGGCAAGACCTGATAAAGTGGAAGATGTACAGTCTTTAGTGATTCCACTTTCATTTTGTTAGTGTATTTTTGTAATAGCAAAAACTTGTAACACCTGAAACTTCCTTGAGAGATGGAGTGGATGGATGCATTATTGTGTATTCACATATTTATTGTAATTACTAATATATTTAGGATATGTATGCTGTCTTATCCTTTACATTTGTCCCATGTTCTCTGTTCCCTTTTTTCCTCCTTATTTTTGTCTTTTTAATGAATTAAACTTTTTTTTTTTTTTTTTTTTTTGAGACAGAGTCTCACTCTGATGCCCAGGCTAGAATGTAATGGTGTGATCTTAGCTCACTGAAAGCTCCACCTCCCAGGTTCAAGTGATTCTCCTGCCTCAGCCCCCTGAGTAGCTGGTACTGCACGTGCACGCCACCATGCCCAGCTAATTTTTGTATTTTTAGTAGAGATAGGGTTTCACCATGTTGGCCAGTCTGGTCTCAAACTCCTGATCTCAAGTAATCCGCCCACCTCGGCCTCCCAAAGTGCTGGGATTACAGGTGTAAGCCATCGCACCCATCCTGAATTAAACATTTTAAAGATTTTATTTACTCCCTCTATTAGCTCATTAGTTTTGCCCTTGTGCTATTCTTTTATTGGTTAACCTTGAGATTACATGTGTCCTTGGCTAATTAGATCTACTACAAATTATATAGTAAGACATCGTAGTTTTTTTATTTCTATTTAATCTCATTCCTTTTTGTACCATTACTGTCATTTTTTTTTTTTTTTTTTGAGGTGGAGTCTCACTGTGGAGTGCAGTGGCGTGATCTTGGCTCACTGCAACCTCCGCCTCCTGGGTTCAAGCGATTCTCCTGCCTCAGCCTCCCCAGTAGCTGGGACCACAGGTATGCACCACCACACCTGGACAATTTTTGTATTTTTAGTAGAGATGGAGTTTCACCATGTTGGCCAGGCTGGTCTCCTGACCTCAAGTGATCCACCTGCCTCTGCCTTTCAAAGTGCTGGGATTACAGGCATGCACCGCGCCTGGCCTAATTAAACCATTACTTTAAATATATAAATTAGCAGAGTAAAACATATCAAAATGAGTAACACTGTTGGAATTTAACTTGCTCAGAAAACCATACCTGATTCCTGTTGTTAGATAGTTAAAGCACACTAGAATTATTTGTATTACTGTCTCTGAAATAAAGAATGAAGCTGTCTGTAGAAAACACATTCATAGATTTTTATAAAGCCATAAAACTCAGCAATGAGGAAGCCTGACTTGTAAACCTTTCCTCCATTGACGTCATTAACATTTTTTTTGGTCTGGAAATTATTAAAAATTCTTTTCTAGGATTTCCTAACTTCCATAGCTCTACTGGTGAATAATAGTTTCTTTATGGCCTGAACTCACTGAATCATGAAAATCTTACCTAGGGTTCAGGTAAGAATTTTCCTATACTAAACTCTCTCTATCCATTAACTCTGTAGTCTCACCAGTGTGGATTTTATAAAATGAAGAGTCAAGTTGAGTTAGTGGAAGGAACATGGAATAGGAGTTCAGATAGTTCAGATTTCTAGTTTCTAGTCTTACTCTGCTACTGACTGTGATTTGGATAATACAGACTTCTCTGGGCCTCTGTTTCCTTATGAAAGTAGGTAGATTTTATTTTCTAAAGATGGCGTACCAATGAATATATCCCATCTCACATTTTCTTCTTACAGTGTGACTGGCACTCTCCTGACTAAGAGGTGGGAGTCTGTGTTTTCTTCTCTTAATCTGGGCAGGAACTTGTAACTACTACTATTACAGCAGAAGTGATGCTATGTTACTTCTGAGGCTAGATCATTAAAAAAAAAAAAAAAAAAAAAAAAGCAGCTTCCATTTGGCTTTCTCTTTTGGGACACTTGCTCTTGGAACCCAGCAATTCTACTGTGAGGAATCCAAATTAGCCCATGCAGAGAGACCAGACAGAGAGTGATGAGACCCATATGGAGAGGAATTAGTTTTACCATTTCAGCTTCGATCTGTATTCTGCCTTCCAAATTCCTAGGTATTTCTGTAGAATTGATGTATATCTTGTTGGCTTTCCTTAATGCAGGCATTTAGTTTTTAACTTTCTCTGGTCTGCTAGGTTACTGACTATTCATCCTTCTTTTTTCCAGATTCCAAGATTTTCTTTGTCTTTATCTTTCATTCGCTGTTGTCTACTCTCCTGCACTCTTTATCCTTGAGACATCATGTCTTTTTATTTCTCTTAATTTGTTTAACAGTGTTAGGAATGAAACAGAGATAAAACTTTGTATTCTATCCTCCATGGTTAACTGGCAGTGCTGTCTTTCTCTTTCTGGATTTATTTTACAACTGTATTTTCTTCTTTGGCCTCGCACGATCTTTGAGAGTTCTGACTGTAACAACTAATCAAACTTCCTGCAGGGTCAGAGGTTTGCTATGATGTTTCTAGTGAAAGACACTGTTAGGTGCTTTGTTTTAGTAGCCCATGCAGAACAGAGTGGGAATTAAAAGGCAACAAGTGATCACATACATGATCACTTGATTTTTTTTACAAAGGTGCAAAGGTAATTCAGTGGAGAAAGAATATTCTTTTCAACGAATGGTACTGGAACAAT